>NC_000014.9:104762716-105065716 GCF_000001405.40 Homo sapiens
GGTCAGGAGTTTGAGACCAGCCTGGCCAACATGGTGAAACCCTGTCTCTACTAAAAATGCAAAAATTAGCCAGGCGTGGTGGCAGGTGCTTATAATCCCAGCTACTTGGGAGGCTGAGGCAGGAGAATCGCTTGAACCCGGGAGGCGGAGGTTGCAGCAAGCTGAGATTGTGCCATTGCACTCCAGCCTGGGCAACAAGAGCGAAACTCCATCTCTAAATAAATAAATAAATAAAATAATGACTGTAAAATTTCCTAATTTGGTGGAAACATAAAGCCACAGATCCAGGAAGCTCAACAAACCCCAAAAGAAACATGGAGAAAATTACATGAAGCACATCATCATGAAATTCCTCCAAACCAGTGACAAATAAAAAAAAGCAGCCAGAGAAAAAAGACACTTTGTGTTTACAGGAACAAAGAATGGCAGCAAGACTTCTCACTAGAAACTGCAAGCAGACAGTGAACAACACCTGTGGGTTGGGCAAAGAACTTGAATAAACTTATTTATTTATTTTTTTGAGATGGAGTTTCGCTCTTGTTGCCCAGGCTGGAGTGCGGTGGCACGATCTCGCCTCACCACAACCTCCGCCTCCCTGGTTCAAGCAATTCGCCTGCCTCGGCCTCCCAAATAGCTGGGATTTCAGGCATGCGCCTCCATGCCTGCCTAATTTTGTATTTTTAGTGGAGACGGGGTTTCTCTATGTCGGTTAGGCTGGTCTCAAACTCCCAACCTCAGGTGATCTGCCTACCTCAGCCTCCCAAAGTGCTGGGATTTGTAATCCCAAGCCCAGCTTGAATAAACATTTATCCAAATTTAGTTTTGAAAGAAAAGAATGTCAACCTGGAATTCTATACCCAGTGAAAATATCTTTCAAAAGTGAAGGTGAAATAAAGACTTTTCAGACATACAAAGCTGGAAGATTTACAAAAATTGTCAAAAGAAGTTTTTCTGGCAGAAGGAAAATGACACCAGATGGAAACTGCTTGTACACAAAGATATGACGAGCACCTGAAATGGTCACTGTTTGGGAGGACACAAAAGGCAGGGTTTTTTCTGATTTTTAAAAGTGCCTGTTGTCCCAGCTACTCAGGAGATTAAGCTGGGAGAATCACTTGATAGGGGTTCAAAGCCAGCCTGGGCAACATGGCAAGACCCTGTCTTTATTTTATTTTATTTATTATTTTTTTTTTTGACAGTGTCTTGCTCTGTCACCCAGGTTGGAGTGCAGTGGCCTGATCTCGGCTCACTGCAAGCTCTGCCTCCCGGGTTCATGCCATTCTCCTGCCTCAGCCTCCTGAGTAGCTGGGACTACAGGTGCCCGCCACCACGCTCGGTGAATTTTTTGTATTTTTAGTAGAGACGAGGTTTCACCGTGTTAGCCAGGATGGTCTCAATCTCCTGACCTCGTGATCTGCCCACCTCGGCCTCCCAAAGTGCTGGGATTACAGGCATGAGCCACTGCGCCCAGCTGACCCTGTCTTTAAATATGTATATATATAATCTCTTTAAAAGACAATTGCCTAGGCCAGCTGCAGTGGTTCACACCTGTAATTCCAACACTTTGGGAGGCTGAGGCAGGCGAATCACCTGAGGTCAGGAGTTCAAGGTTTGGCCAACATGGCAAAAACCCATCTCTACTAAAAATACAAAAATTAGCCAGGTGTGGTGGCGGCGCACGCCTGTAATCCCAGCTATTGAGGAGGCTGAGGCAGGAGAATCCCTTGAACCCAGGAGGCAGAGGTTGCAGTGACCCGAGATCGCGCCATTGCACTCCAGCCTGGGCAACAGAGCAAGACTATCTTAATTTTAAAAAAGGCCAGGCGTGGTGGCTCATGCCTGTAATCCCAGCACTTTGGGAGGCTGATGCTGGCAGATCACCTGAGGTCAGGAGTTCGAGACCAGCCTGACCAACATGGTAAAACCCTGTCTGTACTAAAAATACAAAAAAAAAAAAATTAGCTGGGCATGGTGGTGGGCGCCTGTAATCCCAGCTACTCAGGAGGCTGAGGCAGGAGAATCGCTTGAACCTCGGAGGCAGAGGTTGCAGTGAGCCTAGATCGCGCCATTGCACTCCAGCCTGGGTGACAGAGCGAGACTCTGTCTCAAAGAAAAAAAAAAATTTTTTTTAATTGTCTATACAGATGCTCCTCAGCTTACAATGGGTTACATCCAGATAAATCCATCACGAGTTGAAAATATTGTTAAGGGCCAGGCGCAGTGGCTCATGCCTGTAATCCCAGCACTTTGGGAGGCCGAGGCGGGTGGATCACGAGGTCAGGAGATAGAGACCATCCTGGCTAACACAGTGAAACCCCGTGTCTACTAAAAATACAAAAAATTAGCCGGGCGTGTTGGCAGGCTCCTGTAGTCCCAGCTACTCGGGAGGCTGAGGCAGGAGAATGGCATGAACCCAGGAGGCAGAGCTTGCAGTGAGCCGAGATCGCGCCACTGCACTCCAGCCTGGGTGACAGAGCGAGACTCCGTCTCAAAAAAAAAAAAAAAAAAAAAAAAGAAAATATTGTTAAGGAGCATACTGAATGTGTATAGCTTTTGCAACATTGTAAAGTTGAAAAATTATAAGTTTAACCATTGTAAGTCAGGGACCATCTATACATAAAGAACTCCTAACACGCAGCAATTAAAAAAAAAATCCAAAAATGGGCAAAGGACTTGAGTAAACATTTGTCCAAAGAATATATAAAAACAGCACACACATGAAAAGATGCTCAACATCACTGATTATCAGGGAAATGCAAATCAAAACCACAATGAGATACCACCTCACACCCATCAAGATAGCTACTATTTGAAAATAAAACAAGTGTCGGGGAGGATATGGAGAAATTGGAACATTTGTGCACTGCCGGTGGGAATGTGAAATGGTGCAGCCAGTGCAGAAAACAGTAGGCAGTTCCTCAAAACACTAAACATAAGCCTGGCACAGTGGCTAATGCCTGTAATCCTAGTGGTTTGGAAGGCTGAGACAGGAGGATCACTTGAGCCCAGGAGTTTGAGACCAGCCTGGGCAACATAGTGAGACTATGTCTCAAAAAAATGAAAGGAAAATTAAAACTGAACACAGAATTACTGTTTGATCCAGCAATTCCACTTCTGGGTACAGACACAAAATAATTGACAGCAGGGACGTGAACAGGTATTTGTACACAAGTTTGTAGCAGCATTATCCCCAGTAGCCAAAAGATGGAAACAACCCAAATGTTCATCACAGGACAAATGAATAAACAAAATGTGGTCTATACATGCAATAAAATAGTATTCAGCCTTAAAAAGAAATAAAATTCTGACATGCTACAACACAAATGAACCTTAAAGATACTATGACTGAGTGAAATAAGCCAGACACAAAAAGACAAACACTGCATGATCTCACGTATATGAAATCCCCAGAGGGCTGGGGAGCTACATTCATTCATTTATTCAAAATATATTTATTCTAAATGCAACACAGTATCCTGGATTGTATGTGTATACTGGAATAGAAAAAGAACATCAGTGGGAAAACTGGTAAAATCCAAAAAATAAGCCAATAAAGGAGATAAAATGAGACAATCGGCAATACTTATTTAATACAAAAAAAGGAAAGGAAAGGAGGAACAAAGAACAAATGGAATGTATAGAAAAAGAGCAAGATAGTACATTTAAGCTCAACCATATCAATAGTTGCATTAAATGTAAATGGTCTAGACACCTTAATTAATGGGCAATGATTGTTAGACTTTTTTTTTTAAATAACAACAAAAACCCTACATGCTGTCAGCCCCTTCTGTAGCTCTTTCCCAGACTTGCTAGAAGCAAAAGGATGAAATAATTATCTGTTGTATGATAAAGTCAGCCTTTGAACAGACATTCACTGGAAGTGACATCTTCTGGGAAGGCAGGCCTAGCCCTTATCCTGACATGCCCCAGTAGCACTCTCAGCTCCTGGGACCTCGTCTACAACATTGAGGCCCCCAGACCCAGAGACCTGCAGAGCCTTCAGTTACCCACACCTGCTGAAACATGGGAGGTCTAAGTGCTCAAGTCACTTTTATTATCTTCCTCCCTTCCAGGCCGGCCTTGTGCTGGAAAGAGCATGATGTGGGCATGTGAGAAACAAACTCACCCATCCACACCCGAAGAATGGACTCAGAGACCTCAGAGACCGGAGAACAGCAAAAGTGAGACTTTTAATGATAGTCTTGCAAGATTGGGTGCCTGATGAGCTGGCACACCCAGCACAGTTTCAACAAGCAATTTATCCCCTAGTGTGCAGGTCCCTCCCCCGGTTCTTCATAGGCTGAGTACTATGGGGTCACAACCTTCCTGGACGTCACCTATTGGTTGTTGGGCAGGGGCTTTAGGTGTTTTCTTTAGAGTTGTCTTGCTGCATTCTGTTGCAGCCCACAATGCATTGCAATCCTAGTTAGCTCAGGGGCTCTTCAAATATTTGACTTCTGACCTAAGTAGCTGGGCAGGCTGATACGAACAGACAAAGCGAGCTATTTTGGAGGCTAGTAAACTTTCATTTTAGACTAAACTTTGGTTCAGGTGAGGGAAACTAAGGGACGGGGGCTGGCGGTGACAAACAGGCGTTGGCTATCCAAGCAGGGGCCTAGTATATCCTGTTGCTTCCGTAGTTTGCTGACCTAAGCTGATTTTAGGCACTTTGTCTTGGAAATGGACACTTTATGCATTGTTTCCTTCGGGGTACCTCTGACACAGGAAGGAGAGCTTCCTCTTGGTTGGCGTATTCCTGTTACAACCTCTCCAGACAGCCCTCGCTGTTCGGCAGGCCCTGTTGGGGCTGCAGGATCCTGGCCCTCTCCACCCGCTCTGGCCTCGCTGGCCAGGACTGGACTGCCCCTTGCAAGGGCACCTGCACCTCCTGGAGTTTCCTCTCTGAGATGTGCATCTCCTTGCACATCTCACCCCTCACTGACACCCTCCACCCCACTCCTGGGATGCTGCCTCCTGCTGTAGATGGTTCTGTCTGGGGCTGCTAGGAGGGTCGGGAAATTCTCAGAGGGTCTCCATTTCTGCGTTCATTTTGTTAGGTCCTCAGCCACTTGTAACGGGGACATAACACAGGGTCATGTCTGTATTAATGCCAATGACGTTGAAGCCTCTCTCTCTCTGGACTATAGAACTATCCCTAAGAGGCCAGGTGTGGTGGCTCACACCTTATAATCCCAACGTTTTGGGAGGACAAGGCAGGAGGATCACTTGAGGCCCGGAGTTCAAGACCGGCCTGAACAACATAGCGAGACCCTATCTCTACCATAAAAAAGGTAAGAAATGGCCCTAAGGCAATCCTATATTGTCAGAGGGGGCCGTGCTGGGAGAAGCAGCCCATGCTTCTCAGCCGGGCTGTCTGGGAGATGCTGCGTCTGCCTGACCATTTCCATACCTTGGTTACTTTCAGCAATGCTTTGCTCAAAGTTTGTGGATATTGGAAGGGCATTGCTGTATTTTTTGGTTTCTAAGAGTCACATTATTGATAGATCTGAAATCCAGATGCCTCTCACCCTCGGAACATCATTTACTGTGTCATGTTTCGTGTATTTCCCGAAAAGCGGTATCAGTTTTGCGGCCTGTTAGAACTGAAGCAATAAGGGATCACCCAGAGGAGAGCTTCGGGCTGCTCCAGATGTGGCTGTTCTTGGCTCCCACAGACCCAGAACATCCTCGCCAGCCTGTGCTCCCTATGGGGCACCCCCTCCAGTGGAAGTGAGGGCAGCCACGCACCCCTGGGAATGCCTTAGAGAGGGGCCAATTGCCATCGCCAGGGGCCTGACTCTGCAACCATCCACACCTACGGGGAGTCCATTTGAGAGATGAGGAAGCTGAAGCTCCAGGCCCCTGGCTCGTGCTGGTCACCCAACCACCCGGAACCTGGTCGCCAACCCGCTGTCAGTTGCTCGGCAGTGGACTCCTCTCCTGGCTCAGGGCGCGGTTCCGGCAGGCGTCCACCAGGTGGCAGCACCGGCACATTCTGCAGGCTGTTCCGGCTCAGAGCTCGATGTAGTGCTCTGGGGTAACCTGGGCCCCAGCCTGTCCCCTCCCGCCCCCTGCAGCCCCTCCTCCCACCGCCTGCAGCCCCTCCTCCCGCTCTGTCCAGCTTCGAACAGGCCACTCAGGCCTCCCAGCCTTACTTCCACCGTGGCCCAGGCCATGACCTTGGCCCCAACTCTGGGCCCTGCCCTATCTGTCCTTCCTGGTGGTCTGTCTCATTCACTGCCCTACCCAGGGGAACAGCACCTGGGGCTGGGGGGCAGATGGCCACGTGGTCCAATGGTCTCCTTCATGGCTGGGGTGAAGCTGGGTGGGGTCAAGGGAAGAAGAGGTGGATCCCAACGGGGGCAGGGCCAGCCAGGGCCTCCCATCTCCCCTCAGGCCAGGCCTCTGGAGATGGGGGTGGAACACCTTCCATGGGAGGCTGCCCCTGGGAACAGGCCTGTATACTCCCGCCTCGGCCCACCACACAGCCTGTCCCCAAACCTGTTGGGGTGGCGGTGCCCACCAGGAGGAGCTGGGGAGGACCAGCTGCTCTGAGGATGCTGCTTCCCTCCCAGGACTCCCCACTCCCTCCCTGGCCACCCACTCTTCCACCCAGCAAAGTGAGCCAAAAATTTGAAAAGCAACTTTTATTGAAGAATTTGGAGGGAAGGTTCCATATTATATTATAATAGTAAAAATACTAAAGTTGAATGTTGTAAAAAAACGCCGTGGTGCAGCGGCAGCGGCAGCGTCTGGCCAGGAGGCGTGGAGGGGCCCAGGGATGGCCACCCCCACAGGGAGTCAGGGAGGGCCTGGGGCGACAGCGGAAAGGTTAAGCGTCGAAAAGGTCAAGTGCTACCGTGGAGAGATCATCTGAGGGGGAGGCTCCCGGTGGGACAGTCACCAAGAACTGTGACACAGAAGGGGAAGGGGGAGGGCTTTCCTGTCACAAAGATTAAAAACCCCCAAAATGCATTTGAACAACATAATACACAATAACAAATTTAAACCTTGCTCCTCTGTCCCACTGGGTAAACCCTGGCCCATCCCCCATCCCTGGTCCCATCCCAGGGGCCCAGCCTCCGATGACGTCCTCAGAGACACGGCCTTAGTGCTGGGGGGCTGCTGTGTGCCTGCCACCCCCAGGAGAGGGTGCTGGCCAGCATACCATAGTGAGGTTGCATCTGGTGCCACCAGGTTGAACTGAGGCCCAGGGCCCCAGAGAGATGACAGATAGCTGGTGACAGACAGCCCAGGGCGGCTGGCTGACAGAGTGAGGGGACACATGGGCAGGACCTGCCCGGCCCCCCAATGCCACATTGCGCATAGCTGCAGAAGTCCTTAACATTTCCCTACGTGAATCGGATTGTTCTGAGGGCTGAGGCCACACCCGGAGAACAAACTGGATGAAATAAATTAAAACCCGCAGGATAGTTTTCTTCCCTACCCCGCTGCGGGGGAGGGTGCTGCCCACAGCACAAAAACGTCTTTCCATCTGGGCTCGAGAGGACAGCGTGGCTTCTCTCAAATGCACCCGAGAAATAAAAACCATTAAATACAGATCATGGCACGAGGCCGCCTCTCCATCCCTCCAAGCTATCGTCCAGCGCAGTCCACCGCCGCCTCAGGCCGTGCCGCTGGCCGAGTAGGAGAACTGGGGGAAGTGGGGCCTGCGCTCGCTGTCCACACACTCCATGCTGTCATCTGTGGGTGTAGACAGCTCAGACCCCGGTGCCCCACCTCCCTGCCACCTCCACCCACCCACAGCTCCAGTAGGAAGCCAACCTCTTAAAGCACGGCCAGCACGCTGCCATACTGCCAGGAAACTGAGACAGGGCCCCACAGATTGACACAGGGACCTGGGCCCTCAGAGCACTGCCTCCCACCCTGATCATTGGCACTCTCCAAAAGGAACCTTTTTAAATATTTAGATTTTAAAACATCTGAAGCCAAAAAAGCTGAACACTGCAGGCCTCTCTGAGTGTGGAGAGAAAAGGGAGTGGGCGGGGGCAGGCAGTGGCCCCTCACCTTGGTCAGGTGGTGTGATGGTGATCATCTGGGCCGTGAACTCCTCATCAAAATACCTGGTGTCAGTCTCCGACGTGACCTGGGGCTTGAAGGGTGGGCTGAGCTGCAGAGGTGGGCAGACGGGACAGTCATGAGCTTCGCTCCCCACTCCCAGCACACCCTCAAGTGTGCTCAAGACCTTCAAAGCACCTGGATCTCCAAGGGGTCTCCAGGCAGGACTGATGTCAGAGAGCAGCAAGCCACCAGCCCCCCACAGAGGCAGCTCTGGGAGGGAGGGACATGAGGGGTGCAGGAGCACGGAGACAACCCTCAACAGCTGAGACGCAAAGCTGCCCTCACAGCAGCCCCAGCAGGCGACAGGAGGTAGTGCAGCCCAGCTCTGAGAGACCCTCCCTGCTACCAGGAGGTGATAACTTTATTTTTCCTTTTTCTTTCTTGTTTTCTTATTTTTCTTATTGGTCTTCTTGTAAATTGGGAAAGAGGGAGACTGTGGAACAAGGTGCACAGGATGAGCCCACCCTGCCTCCATGGCTCAGGGACTACAGGACCACAGCCTGCTGGCATCTGGCTGCAGACAGGACTCTCAATGACCCAGGATGAAGGGTGACTATAAGGTGATGTGCACACGTGAGGAGCTGCCAGAGAGCCCCTCAGGTCCCACAGTCAAGGACCCCCTCAAGCACTGCCCCACCCCAGAGTCTGGGCTGGGCACCAGCATTGTCCATTGTCAATTAGCAAGGTCTCTGGTCAAGGCTGGGCAGAGGTTGAGCACTGCCCAGGCCCCCCATACCCTTGGAGGGCAGGGCAGGAGGGTGGCAGGCCTCAAGGCAGGAACGGGGACCAGGACCAGGGCACCCTGTGTTAATGGGAGAACAGGTGCCCAGCTGGGTCCCAGGGCTGCCCAGCCCGACCAGCTGCACACAGCCTAGGACAGGCATTCAGGGGAGGGGCAGGCTGGGAACGGGGCAGAAGCACACCTGGTGACAGGGCACCCAGCATCTCAGAGTGCAGGCTTCCGAACCCAGCTGGCAGACCCCATCAGCTGGGGTGATGGCCAGGGCTCCTAGGGTCCCTGAAAGATGAGCACCCAGGATGGCGACTCATGCAGAAAGAGCTGCCTCCCTCCAGGGCGGACTCCCCCATGTGCCAGAAAAGTAGGTGCTGTCCCTGTCCCTGCACAGCCAGAAATAGGGCTGGGCTCTCCTTGCGGCAGAAGGGATTGAGGTCAAACAGGAGGAACTCGTGGAGGCCAAGGGGCAGCACCCCTGGTCCACCACCAGCCAGCCTTCACTGCACAGCGTCAGGGAAGGGAACCCCAAGGCTGGCACTCAGAGTGTGACACACCTCCGAGGGGAGGAGGAAACTCAGAGTGTGACACACCTCCGAGGGGAGGAGGAAATGAGGACCAGGCCAGTTTCCTGGTGGAACCCGGCAGTGCCAGAGCCTCTGAGCACCAGGCGCTGAGGTTGGTGCAGCAAGGCCCTCCTTGTACCAGGACTGCAGCAGGCTCCTGAGGTGAGGGCGAGTGTGTGGGAAATCTGGCGAGCGTGCCACGTGCATGCGTGAGTGTGGATATGTGGGGAGCATGCGTGCGCGTGAATATGCGGGGAGCAGCCGCACCTTCTTCTCGTACACGTGCTGCCACACGATACCGGCAAAGAAGCGATGCTGCATGATCTCCTTGGCGTCCTCGGAGCCCCCGCCAAGCCTGCAGGCAGGAAACAAGGCCACAGTGTCGGTACCGCCACCTGCCCAGGCCCTGGGTTCAGGCCCCTTCCTCCTGTGATGTAGGGCCCGCCAGACAGGACGTTCCGGGGCCAGGGAGGGGAGCCGGTGGTGCAGCGTCCCTGAGCAGCTGTGGGTAGCAAAGCACCACAGAGCTCACGGCAGGGCAGGGGCTTCCTGAGTGGGTGGGTGCAGGCTGCAGGGTTGGGGACAGAGGCCCAACTGACCCCGGCCTGCCCGCCACTCTGCTTGGGCCTGAGGCTTTGGAGATCAGCCCTGGCCAAGGACATCAAGCTTTGGCTATCAGTGTAGTCTGGGAGGTGCCAGGACCGCCTGGCGCAGGGGCAGGTGCAGCCTGGGGATGAGGGGATGGAGGTGTAGCCTGTAGCTGGGATGGGCGGCCCTCACCTCTGCTTGGGGTCCTTCTTGAGCAGCCCTGAAAGCAAGGACTTGGCCTCGGGACCAAGCGTGCGCGGGAAGCGGATCTCCTCCATGAGGATGAGCTCAAAAAGCTTCTCATGGTCCTGGTTGTAGAAGGGCAGGCGACCGCACATCATCTCGTACATGACCACGCCCAGCCCCCACCAGTCCACTGCACGGCCGTAGTCATTGTCCTCCAGCACCTGCACGGGTGGCAGATGGGCAGGACTCGGCATCAAGGGGTGTCCGGGACACTGCCGGGGGAGGTGTGACGTGCTTGGGGCACAGAGAGGACACAGCATTGCGTGTGCTCAGGACGTGGGGACGCAGCAACGCGTATGCACGCAGGTGGGGCGCACACCTCGGGGGCCAGGTACTCAGGTGTGCCGCAAAAGGTCTTCATGGTGGCACCGTCCTTGATCCCCTCCTTGCACAGCCCGAAGTCTGTGATCTTAATGTGCCCGTCCTTGTCCAGCATGAGGTTCTCCAGCTAGGGGAAAGGTGGCCTCAGGTCAGTGCCGCCAGGCCCCCAGGGCCCTGCCCCCCTGCCTGCCCGCCAGCGCACCTTGAGGTCCCGGTACACCACGTTCTTCTCCGAGTGCAGGTAGTCCAGGGCTGACACAATCTCAGCGCCATAGAAGCGGGCCCGGTCCTCGGAGAACACACGCTCCCGGGACAGGTGGAAGAACAGCTGCGGGAGGCGCAACCTGAGGCACAGCCGTGGCTCGGGCCTCTGCCCCCATGGCCTGCAGGGCTGGGGTTTCTCAGACCGGGTCTCGGCATTGCACAGGGAAGGGACCAGCCACCAGAGGGCACGGGGGCCTGGAAAGTCTCAGAAGCCCTAACTCAGCAGGAACAAGTCACCCCACAGCAGGCAGCTGCCTGGGCAGGCATCACACCACCCACCCAGCAGGGAGCACCGTCTGGTGCCATGGAGAGTAGCCGAGGCTCCGGGAAGGACCGGCCCCACCATGGGCGGCCCACAGGCCGCGAAGTCCATCCCCCGCAGCCCCAGCCCCTACCTCGCCCCCGTTGGCGTACTCCATGACAAAGCAGAGGCGGTCGTGGGTCTGGAAAGAGTACTTCAGGGCCTGCAAGGAAGGGGAGCTGGAACTGCGGCCCCACAGGCAGGACGGCAGCCCCGCACCACGCTGCCCGACACCACGCTGCTTGATACCACGTCGCCTGATACCACACCGCCCGTAGCCCCACACCACACTGCCCGACACCACGCTGCCTGATACCACACCGCCCGATACCACACTGCCCCACACCACACACCCCATCACACTGCCCCACACCATACACCCCCACATCACACTGCCCCCATGCCACGCTGCCCCACACCACACTGCCCCACACCACACTGCCTCATGCCACGCCACCATCAGGCTGGGCCCCGGCAGCCCCTGAGGTGCCAAGGAGTGTTTGAAAGGTGAGCAAGGTGGCCTGGGCTCAGGTCCTCCAGGGTGAGTTGGGACCTCAGCAGGGGACAGTGCTCCCAGCACCAGGGCCTTCGCAAAGGGAGGACACACCCTCCCAGGCGAGACCCACCCTCCCGCCTTCCACCACAGGCGACTGTGCTTTTAAAGCAAAGGCCCCATCTGCAGGAGAATCGTCCCCAAACACAGTGACCTGGAACTAACCAAGTGGCTGGACCCTGGCCCCCTTCACAGTAAATACCTCCTGGGCCAAGTCCCCAGAACAGGTTCTGCAGGACAGAGCCCGGGCCTCAACAAAAGCCTGGCAGGCAGGGCTGCAGGGCATGGGGAGCTGGGGCCTCCTGGAGCCTCGGCAGAGTGCAAGGAAGACCAGGGCCACCTGCCCCACCCACCTGCCCGCACACGGGAGCAGCGAGCACAGCCCCTAGCCCACACTGGGCACCTCCACAGCCTGACCCTCCAGGGCAGGCCTGTCTCACCAGCGGCGGAGTCCACGGTGTGTAAAGCCCTCACGTGCCCAAGAAGACAGGACATCGTCCCCTAGAGACAGCCCCAGGAGTCGCTACCTGGCCCCAGCCCTTCAGCCCCATCTGGGCTCCCACTCACTGTGAGGAAGGGGTGCCTGGAGTTCTGCAGGACGCGGTTCTCGGTGAGTGTGTGGGCCACCTCGTCCTGTAAAGCAGGGCTGGGTGAGCTGCCACCCCGCACCCTCATCTCCACCCTGCCCCACCGCCCCGGCCCCACCTTGGCCACGATGACTTCCTTCTTGAGGATCTTCATGGCGTAGTAGCGGCCTGTGGCCTTCTCCTTCACCAGGATCACCTTGCCGAAAGTGCCCTTGCCCAGCAGCTTCAGGTACTCAAACTCGTTCATGGTCTATGGGCAGGCACCAGGGTCAGCAAGCGGCGCTGCCAACAGTGCCCAGCTGGTCGGCATGCGTGGGGTGGCATGAGGGGCCCCAGAGTCGGAGGCAGAGCCAGGAGAGGCGTCCACTTCACACCTGGTGGCCTACTGGGCTCAGCGGGGAGTCCAGGCTTACAGGGAACACATGGCTGCGGCCCCAGCTCAGAGCATGGGGTTCAGGGAAGGGTGGGGTAACATTGCCCAAGCCTGGCAGGGCTCAGCAACCCCAGTTTTCCTCTGACATGGGGAAGAGGACCCACCTGGGAAGCAGCTGCGCCCTACATGGAAAACCGGCCTAGGTGGAGATGCCGTGGAGTGCTGAGTGTCTCCTGGGCCGAGCTGGGACCCCATGACCCACCCAGCCCTCCACAGTCCAAGGCAGCCCCAGGCACAGGCAGAAGTGGGGACAGGCCTCACCACGCGGTGCTTGGGCTTGGCCAGGGACACCTCCATCTCTTCAGCCCCTGAGTTGTCACTGGGTGAGCCCGACCGGAAGTCCATCTCCTCCTCCTCCTGCTTCTTGAGGCCGTCAGCCACAGTCTGGATGGCGGTTGTCCACTCCTCCCTGCAGGAGGTCAGGTGAGGCTGCAGGCCTGTACCAGATCAGGAGCTCCACCCCACGTCTTTCACCCACCCGCCAGCCTCACAAGCGTGGTTCCACAGCTGTCGGGGTTCCCAGAGACAGCCCTGAGGAGGCCACCACTTGACCTGGTCTGGCCACATACACTCAGGGTCACGAAGCCCTCTTGGACGTGGGGGACACCCAGGCTTAGCCCCCCAGCAGGACTCTGTCCCCACAACCGGACTCCAACCCCCAGCAGGACTCCGCCCCCCAGCAGGACTCCGCCCCCCCCAAGCAGGACTCCGCCTCCCAAGCAGGACTCCGCCCCCCAAGGAGGACTGGCCCTCTCCACCGGGTTTTTCTTTTTTTGAGACGGAGTCTTGCTCTATCGCCCTGGCTGGAGTGCAGTGGTAAAATCTCGGCTCCTGCAGCCTCTGCCTCTCGGGTTCAAGCGATTCTTGTGCCTCAGCCTCCCAAGTAGCCGGGATTACAGGTGTGCACCACCACACCCAGCTAAGTTTTATATTTTTAGTAGAGACGGGGGTTTCACCATGTTGGCAGGCTAGTCTCAAACTCCTGGTCTCAAGTGATCTGCGCACCTCGGCCTCCCAAAGTGCCGAGATTATAGACGTGAGCCACTGCACCCGGTCCCTAGCCAGTTTTTATCTCCAGCCTCAGTTTCCCCACCCAAACCCCACAGGCAGGACTGGGCCAGTTTCCAAACTGGGCTCTGAGGAGGGCCTGGGAGCACTGGGGAGTGAGGATGGCTACAGGCAGAGGTGCCAGCACCCCGCCATCCCCGTGTCCCTCCTAAGCGCTGGGGCTGCCCAAGTGCCTGGCCTGGCCGCCACAGCCCACGTACCGCTCCTCAGGAGTCTCCACATGGAAGGTGCGTTCGATGACAGTGGTCCACTGCAGGCAGCGGATGATGAAGGTGTTGGGCCGGGGCCGCTCCGTCTTCATCAGCTGGCACTCTGCGGGCAGGCAGAGCCTCTGTCTGCGTGCATCCCCCTGCCCCTCCCAGGGCCCTCACCACAGCCCCCGCTGCACCAGCCAGCTCCCCTTGCATACCACCCACCAGGTCCTGGGAAGCCCCATCTCTTCCTCTCTCCAAGCCTCAGTTTCTCGCCTCACAGAGTGGGGCTAGGACCCCTGTTCCAGCTCAGACACTCTACTCCAGGCTGAGGCAGCCACACAGGGCATCTGGCCCGGCGTCAGGTCAAACCCCCACCATCGTCCACTCCTACAGTCCTTCCTTCAGTCTCTGAGCCCCGCCGTGCGCCAGGCCTCAGAGGATGAGGGGTATGGAGATCCCACAGAGGGGCTGGCATGAGGGGGGCACCCCAGAAACCTGCTTGTCCCACCTAGTGTAGAAATGTCCTGCTTTTTTCCCAACCTCACCCTGAGTACCTGGGAAATACAGCCACCTGGAGCACACCCACACCTGGGGCACACCCACACCTGGGGCACAGGCACACCTGGGGCACAGCCACACCTGGGGCACAGGCACACCTGGGGCACAGCCACACCTGGGGCACACATACATCTGGGGCACACACACACTGGAGGCAAAGCCACACCTGGGGCACACGCACACCTGAGGCACACACCTGGGGCACACGCACACCTGGGACACAGCCACACTGGAATACACAGACATCTAGAACACATCTAGACACCTAGCCACATCTGGGGCACACGAACACCTGGGGCACACGCACACCTGGGGCACAGCCACACCTGGGGCACAAGCACACCTGGGGAACACATACCTGGGGCACAGCCACACCTACAGCACGTACACCCTGAGGGCTGTGGGAACGTGCGGGGCCCTGAGAGGTGTGAGTGAGTGGAGTGTGTAGCCGCTGGGGCTCCGTGGCAGGCTCTGGCCCAGCCTGTGCAAAGCAGGAGGAGGCTGAGGGGCCAGTGGGGGGCCTCTGACATTCCAGCATCGAGGCCCTGGCAACCACAAGGGGGCCTGGCCAGGCAGCAAGGAAGCTGTCTTCCAGGCCTGGGGGCCAGGAGGGGGCTCGGGACCAGCCTGGTGGGGAGGGTGGCCTGTGTCAACACAGGCCAGAGAAGTGGAAACCGGTGTGAAGCCCCGGCACACCCACCTCCCACTCGCTCCTGGATGGTCCGATCTGCCCCAGTATGCAATCCCCAGGGCCAGAGTCTCGAGCCCACTGCCCCGGAACCGTTCCCCGGAGAAAAGCCCCGGACAGAGGCCCAGCACAGCCCCTGGCCCCTGCCCAGCTCTGCTCCTTGGCCAGGCGCTCCAGGCCACTCACCTATGGCCTAATCTGAAGGCCCCAGCCTTGCCAGCTGCTCAGGCAACACCTCCAGCTGGTACCCACCCGTGTGCCTCTCCAGAGAGCTCCCCACCTCGTTCCTTCCCAATGCCTCGGCCTGGCGAGCACACCCACAGCACCCACCCCCAGCAAGGCCCTGTCCCAGGTGCCACCAGGCACGCTGCTGGCACCCAGCCTCTCCCTGATCCCTGAAGCCCCCAGCCCCAACCGAGGAGACACTGGGGAGGGTGTGGGACAAGTCACAGTGAGTCTCCTGCATGGTTACGAGGCTGTCAGGAGACAGGGGTGTCTGCCTTCCTGGTCTCCCCTCACCCCTGGGGTGCCCTACTCTATCAGGCTGCCCTGCTACTGCTGGCTTGAGGCTGGAAGAGCCAGGGAAGGAGACCTCGGCTTACAGGAACCAGGTCCTGGTAAACCCCACCCCAACCCCAGCCCCTCAGCCTGGGGCTTTGCAGGGCAAGGCCTCTGCCCCTCCCAACTAGAAGCTTCAGGGCACGGTTTGCTGGCCACAGACCACCTAGCAGCCAGGGTGCCAGACTGACCCCACCTCCCCTTATACGTGCAGGCACCAAGGGTGGGAGTCCTTCCCTGCCCAGCCTGGGGACGGATTCCCTGCATTTAACCTCCTCCCAGACCCTGGACCAGAACCTGGGGGTCCAGCAAGTTCAAGGGAGTCGGAGGACCGCAGGCCTCAAAGAAAGGAGGGCAGAGCTACTTGGAGGGGAGGGGCCGATGCAGCACATGGGGATGGAACCTAAGGCCAGCCCCTGGTGGGCACCTCGCTCTGCACCACAGACCTGCCTGAGACAGATCCCAGAGGCCTGCAGTTACCCAGCCCTGCCACATACAGATGGCCCACAACTGGGCCCTAATTAGCCACTCAGTCACACCTGCATGCCCAACCCGTGTCTCTGGCTGCCACAGGCAGAGCTGGGCTCCAGGACAGGGACACAGAAAATGGGGACCATGCTGGGAGGCCCACGTGTCCCCAGCCTCCCACCTAGCAGGGCGCCTGGGTCTCCATGCCAGGGTTCCCGTCTGACATGGGTAGGGTCGCACCTGCCCCCGCTACAGGTAAGGAATAAAGCCACAGCAGGGCGGAGCAGGGAGCGTCACATGTCTCTCATCTCTGTGGGATGCTCCGGCCAAGGTCCCCCGCTGGCCTTTCTGCACCTGCCCCTCCATGGGCAAGGAGGCAGCCTCACAGAGGGGAAGCAAAGGCTCTGCCATGGGGTCTGGAGGCTGAGAGCCTGTGCAGGGAGAGGCACGAGCTCTTCCTCGAGTGATGGAGGCTTCAGAGCTGGAGACCCCAATGGACTCTTGCCCCCTCACCCAAGGGGTTTCCCAAGGAGAGGCCCTGATGGGCTCTATCTAACCCCCTTGGAGGAGGGGCCCCCGGGGCAGCTGTCCACCCTGAGACTGGGCTCTGCTGCCACTTGTCCGGACCCTCCAGCTTCCAGAGCATGGGCACCAGGGAACTGCTCCAGGGTCAGCCAGCCTTGGGACTCGGCCCAGAGACCCCCGCCCAGCCAGCCTCGGCCTCAGGACTCTGCCCAGAAACCCCTGCCCAGCCGGCCTCGGCCTCGGGACTCAGCCCAGAGACCCCGGCCCAGCCAGCCTCGGCCTCGGGACTCGGACCAGAGACCCCCGCCCAGCCAGCCTCAGGACTCAGCTCGGAGACCCCTGCCCAGCCAGCCTCGGCCTCGGGACTTGGACCAGAGACCCCTGCCCAGCCAGCCTCGGCCTTAGGACTCAGCCTGGAGACTCCCACCCAGCCAGCCTCAGCTTTGGGACTCAGCCCGGAGACCCCTGCCCAGCCAGCCTCGGGACTCGGCCCAGAGACCCCCACCCAGCCAGTGCTTGTTGCTTGCCAGCCCAGGACTTGGAGGCTCCAGGGGACCCCCATCGTGGGGCCTGGTGGGCAAAGAGGGCTCCAGCCAACCCCCCAAATCTGAATCCCGAGAGGCCAAGGGGATACTTACGCGCCACAGAGAAGTTGTTGAGGGGAGCCTCACGTTGGTCCACATCCTGCGGCCGCTCCTTGTAGCCAATGAAGGTGCCATCATTCTTGAGGAGGAAGTAGCGTGGCCGCCAGGTCTTGATGTACTCCCCTACAGACGTGCGGGTGGTGAGAGCCACGCACACTCTACCCGTCAGACCCTCGCCAGGCAGCCAGGCAGGAACTGGGTGTGCCAGGACAGATGTGCCTGGGATGCCTGAGTCCCAGGGGGCAGGCGCGGTACGGGAGCTGTTTCTTAGGGCCAGCGACAGAAACGGCCCTGGGTCAACGGGAAGGCAGACTCGCCCCACCACAGCGCCCCTCTCAGAAGAGCCACCCCGAGCTGTGTCTGAAAACGGGCTGGGCCAGCTGGACGCAGGGGATGGAGTACCATGGACAGGAGGCTGGGAAGAGGTCTGGGCCAGTCTGCACAGCCTTCCTGGAGGAGGCAGCCCTAAACCAGCCAGTCCCCAGCAGGCACCAGCAGCAGCTCGGGCCCCAGCTATGGCCACAGGGGCTGCGGGGCTGACAGCATTCCCCAATCAACCAGGGTCGGCCAGGTGGCGACAGCAGGTGACAGTGGCTTGTGTGGGCTGCCCAGCATGGCCGCCCCCCCCGCCCCGCCGCCACCCACCAGGAGGATGGAGCATGGCGTCCACAGTTAGAGGTCAGCACCACTCAGACTGAGGGCCGGGCTCGCGGGACAGGACTGCCCACTGCCGTGGGATCGCACTCCCTGTCTAGGGGCCTGGAGCACCGTCTTGGGGACTGCCGATGAAGCCAGACACGGAGGTGGCCCAGCCAGCTGGGCAGGGGCCCCAGGGCACAGAGGGTGCCAAGTCCCCAGGCTGAGACCCACACTCAGGCCCTGCCGCCGTCGGCCCTGCCGCGTCCCACCCGTGGGTCATTCAGGTACACGGGAACATTCTCCCTCAAGTTTTGCAGCATCAGCCGTACGCAGGCGTTCACACTTCAGAATCAGAGCAGCTGTCCTCGGTGATAGCCCAGCAAGTACCATTTTTCATACTGACACTCGGAAAAAAATGTTCCACTTACATTTTGCCAAGCAAGGAGTTTGAACAACAGGGAACTTACTAATTAGGCAACTGCTTCATCTGAGGGGTCACTGGGCAGGGGTTAGGGAGGGGGCCAGGGTAAGGGGTTGGGGTCCCTGAGCTCTGGGGCCTGGGTTTTCATGCCACACTGAGCCCCAGACAGGGACACCTGGAGGGATGTGGGGGACAAGCAATTGTCCCATCACCAGACCACCCACCACCCAGTCCTGCTGGGTCTTCGTGGTGAGCCCAGACGCGTCCAGCCCTCCCTGGTGCACAGGGAAGTCCCAGCAGGGCAGCAGCCCCAGGGGAGCTCAGAGGACATGGGTCATGGGCATCCCAGCAGGCATTCTACTTTCCAGGGAGCCACGGGGGAGTTCTTTAATAGAGGTGAGCCACCAAGGCTCGACACATGGCCACCCCCCGGCCAGGTGACCTCTCCCTCCTACCCCGGCCCCAGCTGCCCAATGCCCTTCCCACCAGCACCACGGGGCGTGGTCTCCACAAGACCAGCCCTCTCTCTGCCCAAGCCAGGGCTGCTGGGGGGATGCTGGTGGAGGGTGGGGACACCCCACCCAGCAGGGCCTGAGTGTGGGAAGAGGCTGTTGTCAGGTCTGGGGTGGACCAGGAAGGGGACAGCCACAGCCCACTCATAGCTGCCTGACACCTCTGGAGGACGGCCAACACCCAGTTGCAGGGAGGATGATCCAGGGCCCAGAATCTGCCCCTGTGCCCAAGAGCACTCATCAGGAGACCCCACCCACTCCGCAAGCCCTCCATGCCCCTGCCAGTGGGCTGCCGAGCAGGCGTGGTCCTGCCACCCTTGGGTGCCGGCTCCTGTCCCTGACCTGGGATCTCGCACACCCCCGAGTGTGCACATACACGCACATACGTGCCACGCAGCTCCACCCCGCCTCCCACGTCCCCTCCCCCAGCCACAGGGCCCCTGCAGGTGCAGCGGGCAGGCAGGGGCGCTCAGTGAGAGCAGAGCAGGCTCAGGGGGCTGCATGCAGCCCACCCCACCCGTCCCCCATCCTGGGCCACCCCGCTGCTCACGCCCACCCGCCTGCATGCCAGTCTGGAGCTGTCGGCCCCTGATGGAGTGCCTCCCATCCTGCCAGCTGCCACTCCCCGGGACGCTAACTGAGCGGGAAGACTGATGAGCGCCCAGGCCCGGCACCCCTGAAACCCATCTTATCCACCAACTGCTGCCAGCCCCCACCGTGCCCAGCATGGCCCCGTGCTGCCCCCGAGCACGCAGCTCCCGTGCCCAACCCCAGCCTTGCCCCTGACCCTGCTGCCACAAGCCCAGCCCCAGGTTCTGTGAGCTGCATCTGGGGGGTTCTGGGAGCTGGATCTGGGGGTGCGGGAGGGGCAGGCCCAGGGGCGGCGCTTACCAGGCGTGGGGGGTGGGAGAGGACAGGTGCCCAGCCCCGAGCATTCCTGGGGAGTCCTGGGATGGGCAGAGGCCCAAATGGGCCCTGGGCTTTCAGTGCCTTCCCCTCGCCTGGCCCCACAGACCCAGGGAACAGACGGCGATCAGGGCCTACCCCAGGAGACGGGTGTGAGTGAAGGGGCCTCACGTGGCCTTTGTCTTCGGCATCCCAGCCCAGCACACAGACCCCTCCAGGGGAGGAGCAGGATCCCCAGGGACCCGGGGTAAGGGGTCCAGAGACACACAGTTCTCTTTCTTCATCTCTCGCCTAGAGGGTCAGCTAGAGGATCACTTGGGGGGGTGCCAGCTGCAGCCAGGGCCGTGGCGCGCATCTTAACGAGTTCAGCCCAGACAGGATGCTGGGTGGGCGGCCAGCCCCGACAGCAGATGCGGCAGGGCCCCACTACTCCCTGATCCAGGACTGGGGTGACACAGGACGGGGCAGGTGGAGGAGACAGCCACCCGGGGCCCAGCATCACTGTCCTCATGGCCACAGGACGCCTGCAGGCCTGCACCTGCCTACTCCGGGTCCCTCAGGAGGGTGGGAGCACAGACACATCAGCCAGGGCTGCCCTCCCAGACCCCTCACACAAAGAGACCAACCCACATGGAGTCTTCTCCTTCACTATCCTGAGGGTCCCCAGGGGAACTGGAACCTGTCATCCAGGACTTAACTTGAGTTCCCCACCCTGTTGTGGTCCTCAGATGCCCCCCACTCGAGGCAGGAGTACAGTCCACTTGAAGAGTGGCCTCTCAATCCCTGACACCCCAGGAAAAGTGCCCTGCATTGCTGGGGGAACTGGAACCAGGCAGTAGGGACCTCGTCCTCCACACCGACCATGGGAAGCACCCGCCACAGAGGGGCCTTCCATCTCCCCACCATCAGCCAGCTGGCATCCCCCCACCCCACCCCAGTCACCCCCCCAACACCACCCCACCCACCTGCCTGCACAGCTGAGGGCACCAAACACAGAGTGGGCACAGACCCCCAGGTTGCCACGCCAGGCCCTCACTCCAGACGGGTACAGGCAGGCAACAAATGGGGAGGCCAGGGCACGCCCCACCCCACACACAGCCAGAGTCATCTCCTGCCAGCAGCCACTCCCAAGGGCAATGGAGACCGCCCAGCATTCAGGCCCAGGGGGCCTCTTCAGTCCCTAACTCTCACACCCCCATGCTGGGCTCAAGAACCCCCAAGTCCCCACCCGCTGCACATGTTTCAGACCCGGGACCTGGAGCAGGCAGGGTCCCAGTGCAACCCCGGCCTGGGCCTCAGGGTCTGGCAGGGAAGACGGCTAGGTGCCCCTTCAGAAATGTCAGCAAGTCCGGATGGGGGACCCCACACCACTGCCAGAAGACCTGAGTGGGGGGCCGAGTGGAGGACGGCACTGGGGACTGGTCCCACCTTCCTGCCCCATGGCTGGTCCCCTGGGCAAGGGGGAAGCAGCAGCTCCGGTCCCACCCTCCTGCCCCATGGCCGGTTCCCTCGGCAGCGGGGAAGCAGCAGTTCCAGTCTCACCCTCCTGCTGGCCCCCTGGGCAGTGGGAGGCAGCAGCTCCGGTCCCACCCTTCAGGGTTCTCTCAAGGCCAGCCCTGGGCCAGGTGGGAGCCACCCTGACCCTTAACCCTGTGACACTGCACCTATCCAAGACCAGGTCCTGTGAAGCCACAAGGGCAGGGGCTCCTGTGCCTGATGAAACCCGTAACCCTCCCCACCAGCCAGCACATCCATGGCCCAGGGCTCCAGGCATGGGAGGTGGCTGCCCTCGGTGGGGGGTAGGCAGTTGGCCAGACTCCTGTCCCTGCCCGGGGGGACAGCGGAGACCAGGCTCCCTCGACTCCTCCTGCACCTCCTGGGCCCCACACAACCCCAGCCCTGGTCCCTCTGGCATCCCGATGTCCCGGGTGGCCCTCCGGCAGGAGTGACCTTCCATCCCCAACCCCGCTCATCCCCAGGAAGGGGCTGGAGCACCCCCAGGGAAAGAGGGTTCCTTCCCAGAAGTCCTCCTGGACCAAATACCGGGGTTCTGAGAGGAAGCTGCTCCTGCCTGGCCTCCCCCAACCCACCCCACCACCACCACGGGGACCACATGGACAGTCACAGGCAGCCCACCCTCTCCACGCCTCACACACGTGTCCCAGGCCACACTGTGGGTCAGGCCCCCCAAAGCGGCACCCACTTAGACATGGGGGCCAGGACCCACGCGCCATGGGCAGGACTGGGTGGGCCCCTGAGGGCCAGCTGGTGGCCCTCCACGTCCCGGGACTGACCACCTCCTGAGCCACCAGGTGTGTCAGCCCCCCTAGGCCACCACGTCCTCAGCTCCCTGAACATTCTCTCAAAGTCCCCAGTTCTCAGGAAACTGCTGGATAAACACTTCGCAGAGACGGTGGTGGCAGCGGCTGGCAGGGTGCCAGGCGGCACCGAGCTGCTTCTCCACAGCAAAGTGAGCCCAGCAGGCCCTGGGAGCGGGCGCCAGCTGACAGCGGCCACCGTGGTCCCCACTGCCGACACATCCATCGCCCCGACAGCTGCCGGGGGCCCATTTACCTTCTCCAGCACATTGAGCAGACGGCTCCGCTGACGGCAGCCCATGAGGGGCCCGCAACCCACCCTCCCCGCCTGCCAGGAGACCGCACAGCTCACCGCGAAGGGCCCGGCCTGCCAGGCCTCTGCCCGGGCCCGGGAGTACACACCCCTTTACCAGCAGCCCTCGAACCCTGTAAACAACCAGGCTGGGGTGGGGGCAGGGGAGGGGCCACACAACGGAGGCCAGCTGACCCCACTTGGCTGGAGCCCCCAGGTCTGTGGGTGAAATACATCCACTGCTCCTCCCGGCACAAGCCCTTCTGAGGGGGCACAAGTGGCCAGTCTGCACAAGGAGAGGTGTCTGTTCCCGCCAGGCAGAGGACTGGCGCTCCACCTGCCTGGGCCTCGCCCAGCCCAGGACCCATTCTGCTCTCCCAGAAAGCCCACCAGGCAGGCAGGGCGGGCAGGGCTCATCATGCCCATCAGCTCCCTGGGAAAACGGAGACTTAGGGGAGGTGACCCTCAGAGGCAGATCATGACCAGAGAGACCCCAGGTCCTGCCGCCAAGGCAGGGGTTGTAACTTGACACAAACTGCAAATTCTTCACCTCCTTCCGCTCCACCATGGAGCAGGCCTCAGCCCGACACACACACCCCGGGAGGAACATGGTGCGGGCAGGCGGCACCACCATGACCCCGTCCACCTCGCTGAGGCACAGCCGGAGGCGCTGGGGCCTCTCTTCCTGCCACTCCAGGGAAGCACCTGGGTCTCAGCTTTCCATTCTCCTGGGGCTCTACTGGGTGGGGTACTGGGCCTCCCTGGTGCTGCCCCTGACAGACCACCTGGGCCTGGATGTCCTCCCCCACAGGCACTGCCCGTCACCCACCCCTCGGGCCGGCAAAGGCACCCCACCTGCCACACACCCATCCATCGCAGAGCCCAGCACATCCCAAGACCCTGTCCCTGTCCCTGTCCCCCACCTCATTTTTGGTCTGCCCCAAACAAGCCCCACCCATGTCATGGCCCACCCTGCCTACTCAGGACCCCTGCAGATGAGGCTGCAGCCCCTCCCTGGCGCCTCCTACTCTGCCCCCGCCCACTCTCCCCATAACTTGCAGCAGGCTTTGCCAAGTGCCCTCCACCCAGTGGGTTCCCAGGGCCCTCACCCTCGCTCCCTGCGTGGGAGGAAGCTGGGCATGGGGACAGCACACAGTGCCTGCTGCGAGGGAGGGCTGGCCACAGTGTCCCACGTGTAGACACTGCCCTCGGGAAAGGAAGTGGGCACGGGCACAGGCTCCTTCCGGGGCTCGGCCGGGGGCACGCAGCCATGCCCACAGCCCCTCCCTCCTCCCGTCTCTCTTGGGCAGGGCCCCTGGCGGTTGAAGGGCTCCAGTGCTGGCCTCTCAATCCCTGACACCCCAGGAAAAGTGCCCTGCATTGCTGGGGGAACTGGAACCAGGCAGTAGGGACCTCGTCCTCCACACCGACCATGGGAAGCACCCGCCACAGAGGGGCCTTCCATCTCCCCACCATCTTGTTTCTGCCCCAACTTGGAGCCACGCCTGGGGCAGGAGGGCCCCCAGAGCACGGCCAGCTGTGGAGGGTGCTCCTTCTGATCCCCCGGCCTGCTGGGACATTGTGGCCCTGACCCCCGTGGCCTCACCCCACACCTCACCAAGCTTGTGCAGCTCAGCGTCTCCGCGCCCTACACCTGGCTGCTGTGCCCCTGGCCCCAGTCTGTGGGGAGGCCAGCCAGACCCTGGCCAGCCGAAGGGCCTCTCTGCATTCTCCAGGCCCAGGGAGCAGCCACCTCCCCGCCAGGCCTGCCCAGGGGGTGTCTCCACCCCTGAGCTGGACAACCAGCTGAGGGCCTGGGCAGGTGGGCCCGCCAGGTTACAGGGTATGGGTGGGGTCTGCAGTCACCGGGCCCGCCTGGGGGGTGTGTGAGCCCAAACACAGCGCCCCAAGGATCCCACCCCAAAGCCCGCAACATTGGCAGCAGAGTCACCCATGAACTCCCAACCCCCTCAATTCCAACGTTTCTGAAATCCAAACCTATCATTCCTTAAGGTTCAAGGAAAACACACCTAAAGGCGGCATGGCAGGGAAGGGAACTCCCGTTGGAGATGAGGAAGTAAGGGGCCTAGGGTTCGCCTAACAGCCCCATCCTGGCCTGGAGCCCCAGGGCCCTCTGCCAACCTGCCCGGGGCCCCAGCGCTGGGCTGGGGGAACCTTCTCCTGAGGCCATGGGACTAGGCACAATGGTCCAAGCAGACAGAAGCAGCAGGCAGCTGCCCACCCAGGGTGGCCTGGGGAGCAGGCCCAGAGCCACAGCCACAGCCACCAGTCTCAGCTATGGGAGGGCCCGAGGGCAGGGTGCTGGCCCCAAGCCGGGCCGGGTGTGCCCAGGCAGAGGGGACGCCAGCGGGGGCCGCGCCAGTTCCCTCCGCTCAGCCTCGTGCAGGACTTCTAGGAACCCGGCCTGATGCAACCCGGCCAGGCTTCTCCTGAGAGTGGAAGGTGTACGGGGGTCTAGGCCCCAGCACAGGAATCATTCCACCCACATTCTGTCCACTCTCCTGGGCCTCAGTTTCCCTTCCCGGAGTCCAGCCCCCCACAGGGCATCCCTGCCCAGAGAGGGCCAGTGACCAAGAAACACACAGGAAGAAGAGCTGTCCACTCAGGAGCCACCAGGCGTGGGGGCTAAGGTCCAGGGCTGGGGCCAGCAGTGACCCCTCACCCCCACTCAAGGCCACCTCGGCTTCCTCTTTTGTTGTTTTTGAAGTGAGAACTCAACAAGCTCCCAAAACAGGAACCTCCCTGATGCTGGCGGCCTCCACCACAGCCATGCCATGACCTCCACCAGCCTGTGCCTCCTGCCCCTCTCCCGGGTAGGCCCAGGGCTGTTGGGACCCCCACTCTCTGCCCAGCCCTCCCACCAGGAGCCAGCACACTTGCCTCCCCATCTCTGTCCCTGGCCTGCCCACGGGGGCCGTTCCAGACCCTCAACGCTCCCCCAGGGGAGGCAGAGCTTGGCACTAACCAGCCCAGGGCCCGCGGGTCTCACACTGAAGCCACCTAGACGCAGCCTGGGGTTGACCCTCACCTGACAGCCTGGGAAAAACTGAGGCCCAGGAGGCACAGGCAGCCCTGGCCTGGAGCCCAAAGGTTCCCACAGGCTGAGGGGAGAGTCTGCGGGCTCCCTCCCTCAGGGTCCTGCTGGGCCCCTCATCCTGGCGGGGTAATGAGCAGCCTCCATCTGCACACAAACAATTAGCCCTGCGGGGCCCTCCGCAGCAGCTGCTCTCTGGAGTGGGCTCAGAGTCCCCCACAGACCTCTTCTCAAGGGTGTTTACTCAGCAAAGCCAAGGCCTCCTCCAGGATGAAGGGGAGTGGCCTGTACCCTCTGAGGTCCCCCACCTCACGCAGGGACCCCAGGACCAGCTGGATGGCTGAGCAGCAGCTGGGGATGCAGTGAGGTTCTATGTCGCTCACCAAAGCGAAGTAACACACTGGGGTAGGAACCACTCTCTCCCTGCCTCAGTGCCCCCCCGCAGGGACAGCCAGTGCCAGGACTTCAAGGCGGGGAGAGGGGGTGGGAAGGAGGCCCAGCCTAGGCACCTGCTTGGGGTCAGAGACCAGCCTCCATACTCCCCACCGGGACGCCTGGGGCTAACTCAGCAGGAGTGGTGAGGGGGCTGCCCTGAGGCCTGGACTGGGGGGTCTATGCCAGGCATGGGCCCGGGGTAGGGCATGGCAAGGACTCAGATGTCCGGAGACTGGACCCTCCGTGAGCCGCATGGACACACGGTCCCGTGTCACCCGGGCCCGGCCAGGCACCCAGATCCGTGGCTTGGACACGCTGCCCACACACTCAGGAGCGTCTGCCGCGTAACCCACGCGCCCCAGGCAGCTTCCCTCGACCCCCGCCCACTCGGCCTTGGCCTGCTGGGTCACAGCCTGCCGAAGGCAGCCAGGCCTGCAGCTCTTCCCCGGCCCCTCTCGGACAGCGACCAGCCTGAGGGAGTCCAGGTGGTGCCCCTGCGGCCGGCACCCACTCCTGGCCTAGGCCCAGCCCTTTCTCGAGAGCCCAGAGCACCTCATCCTGGGTCCCAGCATCCCGGCCACCCGCCTCGGCCCTCTCCTGACCCACTTGGTCCAGCCATGTGGACGGGGGGACGCTCAGGAAGACAGCCGCGAGTGGACAAAAACAGGCTCCAGGCCGGGGCTGCACCAGGGCAGCTCTCCACGGGGCTAGGCTGCAGCCAGGCTGGTGCACGGCCCCAGGAGTACTGGGGCAAGCGGGCAAGGTGAGCAAGCTGTTTGGGGAAAGTACCTCAAAAGAGCCACACAGCCTCTGGCCAAAGCCTGGCACGGAGCTATCAAAGGAAGGAAAACTGCAGGCTGGAGGCCGAGTTCAGCCAGACCTGCGCCCTGGCCCAGGATTGATTTTTTAAAATTGTCAGCCTTCAAAAATCAGGAGACTTCACACAACAGAACAAATCTTTGAAAATGCAAACGTCTGAGCAACACTGAGCCCACCAGACCACCAATGGCCAGAGCTGAGCTGGGCTGCTTATCCAGTGAGACAGCCGAAACAGGAGGGGACATCTGGCCCCCTGTCCCTATAGGCCCCACCAGCCTCCTCACTAGCTCCTGCCCTTAACAGCCTAAGCTCACCCTCCAGGAACCATCTCCCTGTTAGATGTGCAGACCCAGAGGCCTCGCCTGGGTCCAGCCACAGGTCCACACAGGCCTGCAGCCGGAACTCCTGTGTCCCCATGCCCGGTCCCTTCTGTCCCTGAAGCTCCTCTGACTCAGAGCACACACATCAGAACAACAGAAAGCAGCCTGGGCCACTTCCCAGAGATGACGCTCACCTCCCAAGGAGCAGGAGAAGGAGCCTGCAGACACTGCCACCCCACCCCTCACACACAGGGCATACCCGTCCCCTCTCATCTCAATGACCACATCACCCCTGAAGGCACCATCACGCCACGTGTGGCCAGCCCAAGTAGCCGTGGTGGGACTGTCACCTGGGGATTCAGCTGAGAACCAAAGTGCCCCAGGCCACGGTCGTGGGGAGTCCCGGCAAAGGGGACAGGTGCGGGCCAGCCTCTGAGACAAGCACCCTGACCTGCAGGAGCAAGGCTGGGGGGGAGTGGAACAGGGCGTCTGCAAGGGGCTGCGGCCGGGCCTGGAGGACAGTCACTGCGTCCCTCCCTCCCTCCCCACCCCCAGCCAGGCCTGAGCACTGTGAAGCACGGGTGGGGTCAGCCCAGCACAGCCCTGCTAGGGACAGGAAGGCAGCTAGTACCTCTAACCAGTGTTGCGGGTGGGGCTGGCCCTGCCAGGAGGGTGGCACAGCACATCTGCAAGACACACAGGGGACCCCAGGGACGGGAGTGGCGAAATGCGGCAGGCCCCGGAGGACAGGCTTTCCTCCGCAAGGAGCGGCCGGCCATGCGGGTGGACGCCACCTGCTCTCGGCAACAAGAGGGGCTATGCCTGCCAAGGGCATATGTCATATCCACGCCACCTCCCATCCTCAGCGCCCACTACACTGGGGATGGAGGAGGAAGAGCCGGGGGTAGAGGTACAGGACCCTCTCTCCTGGCCTGAGGCTAGGGGCCAGATGACAGAGCCCAGAGGCTGCTGAGGCTGGCCGGACCCCAACTCAGGGCCGCCCACAAGCCATTCTCCACTCCACCAGGTCTCTCTCCCACCACCGCTCCCTGGTGTAGATGGGGAAACTGAGGCCCAAGGAGCTCAATGACCTTGCTCTTGGAAAGGGTCATGGCGATAGAGTGGCTAACCAGGGTTCAAACTCAGCTCTCTGGACGCCCCACTGGGCCTGATGTCCTGTCCCTGCCAGGCCCCTCCTGAAGGCACGACATCAGCAGCAGCCTGAAAATCACCTGGCCTCGGGGGAGCACTCCTGCCTAGGCCCAGCTGGCTGATGGGTGCCCCAGTAACTGGGGCCTGGGCCCCTGGGCAGTCAAGGCCCTGGCATCTCCTGGGTCAGCCCGAGATCCAACAGTCTATCAACAAACACACATTTGCCAAGGATAAAGAAGCAGCGGCCCCAGGCAGCAGACTATGTGACACAGAGAGGAACAGGGCCAGGGTCGGGGCAGGGGGTCCCTGACACCAAAGAGGGCTGTGAGGTGAGGAGAGGACCTCCAGGCACAGGTGGCAGGACTCCTGGGGAACAAGCAGGGGACAGCACACGGGGAGGGGATGGAGAAGGCAGGATGCGGCAGGAGGCCTTGGGGGGAAGCAGAGCCAGAAGCTCCCCAAGGACCACAGGCGTCTGCAGCCTCCTTGTCTTCATCTCGAGGCCCCGCGTGCCATCACTGGTAGCTGCCCACTCAAACACTCCAAACACACAGCCAGCCACACCCCTGATTCCCCCAGCATCTCATCTCGGTCACTCCTTCACCCCACCCCCAGGCTCCTGTGGCTCCTTAGGCCTGCTCTTCTGTGAGCTCCTATACATCCCACAATGCCCCATCTTGTGACACCTACTTTTGCCACACCTCCCTGTCTGCTCCAGCTGTGTTTGGGGTCTCCCCACTACCAGATGTGAAACCCATCTGCTAGAGGGTGTACGTAAAGCCGGGGGGCTGCTGGCATGAGATCACTAGAACTTAGGAGGGAACAAGTCTGGAAAAAGAAGTCAGGAGAGGGCGGACCGATTCCGCCTGGGGCAGAAGAGAGTGACTTGGCCAGAGGACCTGGACCTGAACAGGAAGCCCACCCTAGCAGGACAGAGGAGCAAAACAGCCACCCAGACTCCACCGCACCCCGCTGAGCAACGGAGGGTGGGTGAGGCAGAAGGGCCTGCACAGGGTTGGAAGGGGTGGGGCTATGTCCCCAGCTCCCATCCCACCCAGCTGCTGGCCAGGCCCCTCGGGCAGCACCTCCTCCATAGGCTGCAAGGCCAAATGAGTGAGGAGGGGGACACAGGGGCTGGGGGACTTGGCTCAGCCAGCTCTGCAGCTCCAAGGCAAACATGCCCTGTGCCCAGGCGGTACGGATTCCCCCCACCCCCAAAGCTCAGGCCTGAAGCAGGCACCAGGCCAAGCCAAGCAGCCCTGCCCTGCCCTCAGGAGCCCTTGGGCAGTGCCCTGGGCCGCCAGCGTGCCAGACCCTGGAACAGCCCAGTGTCCTCGCTGCCTTCCAGGAAAGCCAGGAGAGAGGCTGGCAGCAGCTCCCCCGCCTGCCAGGGCCCACACCAGGAAGCCACTCAGATGGCCGGCCCTGCACAGGGCCTCATCCTCCTGGCCTCCCCGAGGCCGTGCCCTCCATGCCATGGGAAGACATGGGGCCCAGGACACTCACCCTAGGCCAGCCCAGGAGCCCCAGGGGAGGCAGCCCCTCCCACCCAGCAGGGCACAGGCACTCACAGACCCTGGGGCTACTACCCCCATCTCTCCCTCCCCAGGCCCAGCCCTGGCAGCGGGTACTAACCTCGTTTGTGCAGCCAACCCTCCTTCACAATAGCCACGTCGCTCATGGTGCCCGAGGCTCCCGCGACGCTCACGCGCTCCTCTCAGGCTGGCGCTCCCCGAGCCCAGCTGGCCTGGCCACAGCCTCTGGGAGAAGCAAAGGAAGCTGAATGTGAGGCCACGCCTGGCTAAGGGCAGCTCCTCGCCCTGGGTGAGCCAGAGACCCACTGCACGTGCCTGGGGGCTCCACCCGCACCTGCCTTCCCAGGTGGGCTGCCATCCCTCTAAGCTCTCTGACCCCCATCTGCCCGCCTGCCTTCCCTCTCCCCAAAACACTCAGGGCTGCCAAGTGTCAAATCCATGTAATTGAACACAGTTCCCTGGACCTGGGCCTCTCCTTATTCTAGGCTTAGAGCCTCCAGCCCCTGCCACCACCACCCGCAACAGCCAGGCCCTGAGAGCTGCTGCCTTGCTCACCTCCCCATTCCCACCTCCCCCAGCCGTTGGACAAATCACCCCCATCCCCAAAAGGCCTTCCCAGCCTCCCTAACCTGATGCACCAGCTGACAGGCTGCCTCCTCCAGGCAGCCCCTTTGACTTCTTTGACCCAGGCTGGCTCGGCCTTCCCTAAGCCCCTGGTGACAGATGGCCCCGTTTGCTCTCCCTGTCCATGGTGTTCCTACCCATGGATCCTGGGACAGGGCACAGGGCTCCTCCCTGCTCCCCAGACTAGGAAAGCAAAGAAATTCAAACATGAGGAAGACAGGACCAGGATGCAGGCCACTGGCGCAAACGGGAGTCCAGAGCCCTCCAGCGCAAGCCCAAAAACCTCCTGGGAGAAACCCCAGGCCCCTCCTAAACCACAGCGCCCCTGCCGGTCTGAATCTGGTTCATTCATTTGGCCAACATGTACCGGGCGTCTCAGGTTTTGCCAGGCCCAGTGCTGGGCGCTGGAGACAAAGAGAGGTTCAGACAAGTCCGTCAGTGAGGAGCACCCAGTCCAGGGTGGTTACAGACCCATAATTACAGCAGTCGGGAGGCAGCAAGTAAGTGGGGGAGCACTGGACAGGCCCCCGCCCTGCAGCGGCCCACCAGCCAACCCTCACCTGAGCACACTTTATCCATTGATCCTGCATGGCTTCCTCATTTCCCCTCTGATGGATGAACTCCTAGGCATCCCTCAAAACCCAGTTCCCACATCACCAACTACAGGCATCCCCAGAAAGAGCACTTCGCATGCTCTTCCTGTGAGCAGTCCTCTGCTACCCTTCCAGATGGGCCTTCCTGAGGGGAGGAGGGTCCTCTCTGGGACCTCCAGGCCAGGCAGAGACCCCTGACGACCTCTGTGGAATGGATCCCAACATGGGTCTTTCCACAGCCAGCTTAGACGCTCTCCCCCCAGGCCACCTTTCTGGCCTCCCGAGGCAAGGGCTGGACACCCACAAAGGGTTGCTTTGCACTGATTGTCTTAAGCTACACTTAGAATGGCAGGAAGGCCCACTGCCTTGTGTCTAATGCCAGGACAGGGAAGACCACACCTTACCCAAAGAGGGAAATGCCCCAAGTACTTAGCAGGATGGAAAGCAGGCCAGACTCGAGGAAGGCACCGCAGGACTCCGAGGGCAGGGCTCCGAGCCGCGCACGCCTCAGGCACAGGGGGCTCTGACGACACTGAGTGGGCGTGGCCTGGAGGCAGAGGGCTGGACTCAAAGACCTCTGGATGTCCCCCCACCCCCACACGGGCCTGAGCCCCTCCAAGGCCTGCTGCTGACAGAGTCAGACAGCTGTCCAGAGCCATGTGTAAAAATACATCTGTGCTCACACAGGGTGGTGTACGTCTGCACAGAAACGTATACACCAGGCCAGCACAGGGCTGCCTGTGGGGGCGGAGGGACCCCGACTTCCCACAGCCTCCGTACCTGCCGCCTGCCTTTACCATAAGCACATATTCTTGCTACTATTATTAAGTCACAACTTAAAAAAAAATACTCTGTTTTCGAAAGGGCTCCTCCATCTGCCTCCAGAACCCTGGTGTATGAGAAGTCTACACAGCTCCCGGGAGAGGCAACCGGACCCCCACCAACGGACTCCGTCCGCCCTTCGCTCGGATGAGGGACTCAAAGCAGTCAAGAAGTGGCCACCTGGAGCAAGGCCGAGAGACCCAGGAGTGAATGTGGGGCGGCCTCTGGCTGCAGAGCAGGGGCCCAAGCTCACCCGCTGACCAAGGCAGCACTCAGAGGCCGTCCCGACAGGACCAAGCTCGCTAGCGCCCCAGGATACTCAATCTAAGGGGCAAGCCCCAGCTGCCCTCCAAGCCTTGGCCTCTGGGATGGGCGGGCAGGACCTCCAGGGCCCACCCAAGACAGGAAGCAGTTCCGGGGCCCAGGAGGGTCACAGTCCTTTGTGGCTAGCCTGGGTACCCCGCCACCACGTACAACTTTTCGTCCGTGGGAAACGAAGTCTCCTTCCGGGGCCCTCCCACAAACTTGAAGGCCGGCCGCGGCGAGTCTTTCTCCAACCCCGGGGCACCTCCGCCGGCTGCCTCGCTGGCCCAGCGCCCGGGGAGCCCCACGGCCCGCAGGGGCACCCCGAGCCCCAGCTCCAGGCCCGGCGGCGTCCCTTCTCTCGGGTCCCGGCCTCGCCCGGCGGAGCGGCCTCCCCAAGGTCATGAGGGAGGCTGGGGCCGGCAGCCTGCACCCCCGGCGCCCGGCGTGGGGCCGCCCTCCCTTGGCCGGGCCCGCGCGCCCCGCGCCCTCCCCGCCCAGGCCCGCTCGGCCACTTCCTGCTCCCGCTCCTCCATTCTGGCGGCGCCGCGGCTCGCGCCCCGGCCCGACCGGCCGCGAACAAAGCGGCCCGGCCCGCGGGGAGGAAATCCAGGCCCGGGCGGCCACGGCGGGCGGGGACTCACCGGGCCGCCGCGTCCGGGCGCGAGCGCGGGCCTAGCCGGGCCGCGGCCTCCGGCGCCCGCCGCTCCGCATCCCCGCGGGCCGGCGCTGGGCGGGGCCGGGCTGGAGGCCGCGGCGGGCGGGGGCGCTGCTCGGGGCCGGGCCTCGCGTGCCGCCGCCGCTCGGTGCCCGGTGCCCAGCGCTCGGTGCTCGGCCGCCTGCTCCCGTCTTCGGGCCGCGCTGCGTGCGCTGGGCCAGCCGCCTGCCGCGCTCGGTCCTGCCGCCGCCGCCGGCCCGCCCTCTCCCCGCCCCGCGCCCGCCCCGCGCCCGGAGCCGCCCGCCCACATCCGCCTCCGCCGCCCGGGGCGTCCCCACCGCGCGGCCGGCGGCGAGGGCGGAGCGCGCTCGGGGAGCGCGCGGCCGGGCTGAGGGGCAGCTCCCGACGACCTGGGGCCTGGGCTGGGCCGCTAACGGAGCCCGGCCACCAGCCAGCCCGTCCCGGGGCCACGCCCTCTCTGGCCTCAGTTTCCCCGTCTGTAAAGTGACCCGGCGCTTCTGGGCTCGCTCTGCCGTGACCCTAGCAGAAGGGGCCCGAGACAGGTCAGGGACGAATCCCGGACTTCTGCCTCCGCGCGCGGGGCGGGGGTGGCTTAGGTTGACTTTCAGGCTGCCCCACTCTGGGGGGCGTGGAGGGGGCGGCCAAGAGTGACCTAAAAGGCCCAATCCCAAGACCTTGTGCCTCTGGGGGAAGTGCGGGAGGATGCCAGGACAGGAGGTCAGTTGGAGGTGGGCCTCCAAGGAGCAGGAAGGCTCCGAGGGGAGTCAACCATTCACCTAGGTACTGGCAGCTACACTCACAAAAGGGGGACTTTGCTGGGGAGTGGGAGAAGAGGGGCACACCTTGCCTGGCTCCCACCTTGAGCTGGGAGCAGACACCAGACAGAGGAGGAGCGGTGTCTAGGGTGGGCTGTGACAGCTGACAGCCCAGAGCCCTCCCTGCTGGGTGGACTTGGTCAGCCCGGACACCCAGTCCGAAGTCCACTGGGAGGCAGATGGCCCGGGTATGGAATGAGTAAGTGGGACACAGACCCCTTTCTCCTGGACACTCACAGGAGAGTGCAGGTGACTGCCACCCCGACCCCTTCCTAGCCAGAAGTTCCTCCGACAACTGCCCCTCCCCCATTCCAGAGGCCCACAGTTGATAATAACCCTTTTGTGAAAGACAGACTCTTGTGAGTTACCTTCCTGAGGCTGCTAAGTATTGGGGTTGGGGGAGCATTTTTATTTTCAGCCAGAGTGAGTTCAGCTGGCAGCAGGGGAGGGGGTGGGAGGAGATGCAGACAGAGGCAGCAGGTTCGGCCCAGTGCTCAGGACAGAGTCTGCAGCCAAAACTCGGGCTTCATCCCTGCCTCTTGGGGCTGACCAAGAGAAGGACTCTCTCCCCCTGCATGAGGGCACTCGCTCCTCAGACAGGGGACTCCCCATTCCTGCCTCTCGCCTGAGCACCTCTGCTCCCTCCCAGCTCAGACTTTGTAACCCCAGGAAGGGCCCACCTCCAGGGGGCCAAGTCAGAGGCCCAGTGGTCTGCGCCGCTTGGGTGGGATACCTGACACAAGGGTTGCCCCCAGAGCCTGGGCGTCTGGTGTCTGTCTCTCACCCAGCAAACCTGCACCATGAGCCACCTGGGGCTCCCTCTGGGACTGTCCCACCTGCCCACTGCTCCCCGAGGAAGAGTTCCTGGTATCTGTCCACCATCCTGGGCTCTGCCATGCAAGGATGGAGGAAGGAATTCAGGGAGGAAGCAGAGGGTAAGAGGGCCATGAGACAAGGCCAGCAAGTGGCCGAGGCTTGGGGATGTGGGAGGGAGCAGGGCACCCTCTCATGGAAGAGGCAGTGACATTGCGGGCTGTTCTTGAAGTGGTTGGACCTCTTGCTTATTTTGCACTGGCTGTCTCCAAGGAGGCCTCCCAGTCTTCCCAGCCTGGTGCCCTGGCATCTGCTGGTGCCTGCAACCCACTGTGGGCCCCACACTCCAGTCCTGTCTTCACCTTGGCATGAACTGCCCTCCCCCAAGACGGGGATCTCCCAGTGGGCAGGGCCATCTCCCTCTCCTCCAGCGTCCCAGAGGGAAAGCAGAGTCCTCTCTTCAAGAACACCCCCTCCCACCCCAGACAGAATGGTCAGGAGAGAACCCAGCCCCACGGCTGCTGCTGGGACTGCTGAGGTGCTCTGTGGCCAGATGTTTCCGACAAAAACTGCTGCACCAGGGAAGGGCCCGACGGCTGCCTCCTCCCAGAGCTCAGGGGCCTCCTGCCCTGTCACCTTCTGCAGCTGCTGGCCGGGGGCAGGACTCGAGGGCCCTGGGCTGTGTAGGTCCCAGCAGCAGCTGCAGGGCGGGGCCTCAGGGCAGCTCCCAGGCCAGATGGCCGCCTGAGTCTGCAGAGGTTCTGCCTGAACCACCACCGCCGCGACAGTGGCTGTGTGACGGTGTCCTGTCATTCCTGCACTTGAGACCCAGCCAGTCACAGGGGCTCTGAGGACTACAGGCTGGCCAGGATCCCAGCACCAACTCTGGGCGGTCTCTGCCTGGAACAGCCCCCCTTCCCTGATCGGTGTGGGGCAGGAGGGACTTGAACCCAGACATCCCGACCTGAGAGGGATAAGGAGCTTCTCTCCCACTGTCCCCTCCCCTTCATCTAGCCCATTCCTAGCTGGGCCCTCCTTCCAGGTCCTACCCTAGGCTCCTGAAGGCAGCATCCTGACCCTCCCTGTGTACCACAACCCCCATTAAGTGTCCAGGCTCTCTCTGTCCCGCCAGCCAGGCAGGGCAGGCTAGGGTGCTTGCTCCCAGCCTGCAGTGGGGAGCTGTCAGCCTGTTGCCCAGAGCCCCAGTGTGGCAGGCCACCCCTACTTGCTCTGAAGGTTCAGGGGCTGGGGGTGTGGGCAGGCAGGGCTGGAATGTTGCCACAGAGGAGTCAGGATTAGGGATGGTGGGACCATCGTAATCACTCACAGAAGCAACCGTCACACATTCACTCAACAAACATTTACTGAACACCCACTTGCGTCCTGCCAACTTTTAAGCACCAAGTGACCAAACAGCCCCTTCCCTTTCAGAAGGTGCTGGAATATCCCACAATCACAGGACACCCGGAATGGGCTGGAAAGGAGGGTATGCAGCAGAAGGGACTGCGAGGGAACTTAGCGAAGGTGGGCAGGAATGGCCACCCTGACTAAGGAGTGGACTTTCAGCAGAGACAGGGATGAAGAGAAACCAGTGAAGGGTTCTTTGGGGAAGAACATTCCAGAGCCTGAGAGCTTGCTGAGTGCCAGGCCCTGTCGTTAATGTTCACGAAGACCCCGGGATGCACTCTGACTCCCATTTTGCAGATGAGGATTACTGAGGTTCAAAGAGGTTAAAGGTTTGGTCGTGCTCAAGGTTGGGAGGGGCCGGGGCAGGGCTGTGATCCAGGCAGGGCAGGAAGGGAGCAGTCACATCTGAGTTCACCCTTAACTTACTTGAATTCAGCTATTCCTGCTGGTGGCTGGGGCAAGGCAGATGATTATTTAAATGCGTGGAGAGAGGGGAGTTGACCTTCCTCAGGAAGGGGTCCTTAGGGTGGATGGCCGGCGGCAGTGGGAGCCAGGCCTCTGCCGTCCCTAAGCTAGTCTCAGTGGCTGTAAGTGCAGTGTCATTCCAGGGGTCCAAGCTGCAGTTGCCAGGTTTAGGAAATAAAGATGCAGTCCATCCGGTGAAACAAGGAATGATATTTTAGTATAACAACGAGGCCTTCCTTCCCAGACTTCAGATCCCACTGTGGGCTCCACTCCTCCTGCACACACATACCTGGCCGGGTCCTGTCCTTTGTGATCCAGCCCCTCTTCCAGCACCACCCCCACCCCACTGCTTGGCCTTGACTGGGGTGACTCCTCCACTACATTCTCCATTTCCCGGACTCCAAGGCAGAGAAGAATGAGACCGGCTGAATTCAAATCGTGGTTCAGTGACTTACTGCCTGATACATGGCTCTGGGTACCTTACCTAAACTCTCTCACCAAAAAGGTATGAAAATAAGAGCGTCTAGTTAATGGGACTGTTGTGAAGATGATCCGGTGGTCTAGAGTACCTTCAAACCTGCTCAGTCAAGGGCAGCCCAGGTTGTGCCCCTGGGAAAAGGCTCCATCTGCCTGGGAGGGACCCTAACCCCGCCAAACACACTCTCTACTTCTCTGGCGATTCCCTCTCCCACAACCAGGCGTCCCCCTCACATCTTCTCAATGCTTCTTTGCCCTAGAACACTTTCCCCCACTCCTCCCTACCCCCACTCCCATGCCAGCCCCTGTCCGGAGTCTCCTCCTCTTTGAACACGTTCCTGCCTACCCTGGGCTCTGGAGGGCTTCCGACTGTCTCTGTTATGGCGTTTGTCCCCCCGTGCCACCATGTCTGCTGGGAGGTGCCCGTTTTCCGTGCCTCTCTGCGCTGGGTCCCCCATAGACGCTGGGCTGGGGTCTGTGGAGAGGGTGGAAGTCCCCGTTCTGGACTCTAGGATCGACATCCTGCTTGAATGTTTGGAAGAGGGTCCCAGCTGAATTAAATTCAAAAAGAGGCTTTCAAGGAAGAAGGAGGTGTCATCTTTGCAAAATTAACGACCCCCAATCCACGCAACCCCTACGCCATCCCAAGGCCGGCGCCCTGCGAGGTGGCGGGAGGCCAGGGTCCCGGGTTTACCCTCGGGTGACTGCCCAACGCGGGCTGGGATACAAGCGGACCCTCGGAAGGGTTCCTTTTGCAGACTGGCGCAGTAAGGACCCCATGCCGGGAAAGGTTGGGAGGTGGGGGACCCAGGCCAAAGCGCCAAGTATCGCGAGAGACCCCCTGCCCCCGCGCAGTGCCCTAAACCCCCCTCACACCCCAGCGCCCCTGCTGGCTGCGCGCGGGGCCCGGCCGGGTGGGGCGGACAGGGAAGGGGGGGCGAGGGTGACCTCAGCGGTTCCGCCGCTCCGGGAAGTCGCTCGGCCCGCCCCCTCCGGCCCCCGCCCCGAGTTTCGCTCTCTCTGGGGCGGGGCGAGCGGCGGGCGGCGCTGGGCCAGCCAAGTTGGAGCGCGCCCCGCCCGGCGCCCTCGCCGTCCCCGCGCCCTCCCCGCCGGGGCGCGCTGCCCGCAGCTCCACGCGCGCCAGGGCCGCCCTGGGGAGGGCGCGCGCGCGAGCGGCGACCGGAGAGGAGCTCGGGGCGGCGGAGGTGAGCGCTGGGGGTGGGCTCCCGGCTCTGCCCGCCCCGCCCGCCCGCCGGCCCTCTCCCCGCTCCCCGCGGCCGCGCTGCCATAAATGGGGCCGGCGGCGGCGGCATCTGGTGGGCCGGGCGGCAGCTGGAGGCGGCGCGGAGGCGTGGGGCGGGTGGCGGCGCAGCCACCCGGGCGTCGGGGACGCCGCGAGCGGGCGGCCGCCCGGGAGTGAAGTTCAGGAGCGCCCGGGCGGGGACGCGCGCAGGTTTGCGCGGCTCCGGCTCCTGCGCCTGAGTCCCGGGACCCGCCCCCGCGGCGGAGCTGCTACTGTTTACTTTCGATCGAGTTTTTCCTGCTCGGGGCAGGTGCCCGCGGCGGCTCTGGACGGGAGGTTGCGCGCGTCACTCCCGCGCCGCTCTTTCCGCGCTGCCTGCAGCCGGGAAGGGCGCTTCGTGGGCGCCTCCAGGCGCGCTGACGGGCGTCCCGTTTGTGCCCAGGTGATGACGGCGGCGGCATGGAGTTCCCTGAGCACGGCGGACGGCTGCTGGGCCGCCTGAGACAGCAGCGCGAGCTGGGCTTCCTATGCGACTGCACCGTGCTGGTGGGCGACGCGCGCTTCCCGGCCCACCGTGCCGTGCTGGCCGCGTGCAGCGTCTACTTCCATCTCTTCTACAGGGACCGGCCCGCGGGCAGTCGCGACACGGTGCGGCTCAACGGCGACATCGTCACGGCGCCCGCCTTCGGCCGCCTACTGGACTTCATGTACGAGGGCCGCCTGGACCTGCGCAGCCTGCCTGTGGAGGACGTCCTGGCAGCCGCCAGCTACCTGCACATGTATGACATCGTCAAGGTCTGCAAGGGCAGGCTCCAGGAGAAGGATCGAAGTCTGGACCCGGGGAACCCTGCCCCTGGGGCAGAACCTGCTCAGCCACCGTGCCCCTGGCCTGTCTGGACCGCGGACCTCTGCCCAGCTGCCCGAAAGGCCAAGCTCCCCCCGTTTGGGGTCAAGGCTGCCCTCCCTCCTCGAGCATCTGGGCCTCCTCCCTGCCAGGTCCCAGAAGAGTCAGACCAGGCCCTGGACCTGTCGTTGAAGTCTGGCCCAAGGCAGGAGCGGGTCCACCCACCGTGCGTCCTCCAGACACCCCTCTGCAGCCAGAGGCAGCCAGGGGCCCAGCCACTGGTGAAGGACGAACGGGACTCACTGTCCGAACAGGAGGAGAGCAGCAGCTCTAGGAGCCCCCACAGTCCCCCGAAGCCACCTCCTGTTCCTGCAGCCAAGGGCCTGGTGGTGGGCTTGCAGCCGCTGCCCCTCAGCGGAGAGGGCAGCCGGGAGCTGGAGCTTGGTGCAGGGCGACTGGCGAGTGAGGACGAGCTGGGGCCTGGTGGGCCCCTCTGCATCTGCCCGTTGTGCAGCAAGCTGTTTCCCAGCTCCCACGTGCTGCAGCTGCACCTCAGTGCCCACTTCCGTGAGCGAGACAGCACCCGGGCCCGGCTCTCACCCGACGGCGTGGCACCCACCTGCCCGCTCTGTGGGAAGACCTTCTCGTGCACATACACACTGAAGAGGCACGAGCGGACACACTCGGGTGAGAAGCCCTATACGTGTGTGCAGTGTGGCAAAAGTTTTCAGTACTCCCACAACCTGAGCCGGCACACCGTAGTGCACACTCGAGAGAAGCCGCATGCCTGCCGGTGGTGTGAGCGCCGTTTCACGCAGTCCGGGGACCTCTACCGCCACGTCCGCAAGTTTCACTGTGGCCTCGTCAAGTCCCTTCTGGTGTGATGCATCCCTGTGGGTCCTGAGGGTGGGGTGGAAGGGAAGGGATGGGCCCTCCCAGGTGGGACACAGCATGGGGTGTGAAGCCTGACCAGGTGGAGGTCCCTGCTTGGGCCAGATGGCTCCACCCTCCTGGCAGAGAGAATGCTGCCTCTTCCTGGAACTTGGCCTCAGACTCGGTAACTTGGGCAGCCTTCCTCCCACCTTGCCTCTCCTTTCCCCTCACTCTCCAACTCATTCCGGCCCCCAGGCTGTGCCCTGCCTAGGCTGTGACACTATCTTCCTCTCCCGTCCCCTCCAGCCAAGTTCTGAGGGGTGTCCAACCAGCACCTGGCTCTGCCCCCGTTTCTCCGTGTGAGATGGCACATCCATCTCCCGGCCCGGGACTTTCCTGACCACCTCTCTGGCAGGCTTGGGGAGGTCTTCATGAGCCTGGCCCCACGCTAGGTGAATTATTCACATGTCAGAAAAGTTGTTGGTGTGCGTCCCAATGGGGCGCTGGGAGGGAACAGGACACTCCTGGGGAGCGGCAGCAGGAACCCCTGCCAGGAAGGCCTGGGGCACAGTGAGTGCCAGCAGGGGCCATCTGGGCACAGCTGGTGTCTCGGGGTGGGGGGGGGGGTGCAGCCCCAGCAGGGATCCTAAGGCAGCAGGAGTAGAGCCAGCTAGAAGCTGAGTGGCTGTGGCATCATTGTCACTCGGGTGGGACGTGGGTCCATGAGAGCGTGCAATTATGACCACACTGTAACTTTGAGCAGAGAAAGTGGGAATTTGGAACTGGATTCTCTTTAGAGCCAGGAAGAGCCTCCTGAGGCGGCCAGATGTCTGCTGGTGGCCGCCCAGCCACATGCTTGTCTGCCTGAGTGCAGGTCTAGGAAGCCTCTGGGCATCCCCCAGGGTGGGGTCTGGGCCGCTGAGCTGTGTGCTGCTGCTGGGCCACCGTGGGCCTTACCTTGACGGTCACTCTGCCTGCTAGGGGGTTTCCCTGGAGCTGTGGGCATTTCCGTGCACTGACTGAGCAGAGGCAAGGGCTGCCCTGTCCGCCAGGGGCAGGGTTTGCGGGCCTTCCTTTCCCCACGGCGAGGCATGGGTGAAAGTGGCCATGGCGGCAGGGTTAGGGGCAGGTGAGGAGTGGGAGTCGCAGCACCCTAGGGGCCTCCATCCGCAGCCTTGGGAGACTGACGCTCCTCGAACATGAATAGAATGTGGAGACCACAACCCCCACACATGTCGTTGGTTCAGGTCGCCCTGCTTTGCCTGCCTAATGGAGCACATCTTGCTGCCAGAACCTCACTGGCCTCTGGGGGTCGGCAGGTGCAGAGCCACCTGGACGCCTGGAGACCACCTGGGATGTTTCCTCTGTGACTGGGAATGGCCTTGACAACAGAGTCCAGCCAAGTCTACGTTATTTTCTCATCTCCTGACAACACTGGATGTCATATTTATTAGTCAGCCTGGTCTGGAGTGAAAGACCGTCCCTAGCGCATCTCCCACGCGCCCTGGGCTCCTGGTGTGCTGGGTGCCAGCCTGGGAGCCCAGCGCTTCTGGGTGATGCCCCAGGGCTCAGAGGCCCTGGATGGCTTTGGTCTCGAGACAGCTGGGGGAGGGGCCCTGCTTCTGATTGTCCTGGGCCCCAGCCCCCACCTCTGCAAGGGATCGGTGTGATGTGCTCCATAATCGGGTGGGGGGTGTGTGTGTGTGTGTGTGTGTGTGTATGTATGCATGCGTCTGGCACATGGCAAGGCCCAAGCCAACCCGGCACCCCGTAGATGGGCAGCTACACTGCCACCCAAGCACGGAGATGTGGCCGCGGCACTGGGTCCCCCAGTGGGTCCCATGGGGGAAGAACTTCCCTTTGCTGGGGTGGGCAGCCTGCCCTGAGCTATCAACACTGGATTTGTTGTCTTCTGCACAGCTACTGTGAAGATAACGTAAGGAGAAGTGGTCAGTTTTCATTTTATAACTGACACAGTTGGGACAAAATATATACGTGTACATATATTTAAGACACTAATTGTGTGGGAGAGTTTAGTAGAGGCCTGTGCAGACACAAGGCAAACAGCGTCAGCAGCGTGGGGGTCTCCTGGGCCAGCTCGGCACCTGTGGGTGCTCTGACCCTGGGGGTGGGGACAGCTCCGTGCTAACCCCAGCAGACAGTTGTTGGTGCACAGTGTCTAGGAGGCGTGGGAATGGGTGCTGTCTTCCTCTTTTCACATCATGGCGACAGTAATAAAGCCCACCTCCAGTGGAAACGGCAGTGACTATTCCTGAGGACGGGTGGGAACAGGTGTCCCAGATGCCACCACGTGCTCATGCTGGTGGATGGGGGAGGCTGGGACAGGGCTGAGGTGGCACCCCCTCTTTCCCCAGGTTTGTCCCCAACTGCCAGCGTTTGGGGGAGGGGAGTCCAGGGAGGCAGATCTGTCAGGGAGGCGGAGCACACAGGCCAGCTTGGGCAGGGCAGTCCACGGGGGTTTCTTGCCCTGGGGAAGGAGGCTGGACCCTGGAGGAAACCTGTGAACCTGGGGATGCCATGGCCCTCCCCACTACCCTACGCCCTTGGCCTCTTGTTGGTGGGAGAAGGCACAGAAATTTCTAGAGCCCTGTGCAGGCTGGGCTGGGCTCTGGGTTGATGAGGCTGGGGTGGGCAATTCCACGCCTCCTCCTCTGCCCTGCTCCCTCCAGAGGCCTTGCAGGGGGTCATTAGCCCTGAGCCCTCCCTGGCGGGAGCACGGCCTTCCTTTCCAGACCAAATGGGGCAGGGCCTCTACATGTGCTGTAAGCGTCAACACAGTGCCCTCTTGACTTGCGAAGAGCCAGGGTAAGCCCCAGGCCCAGGACAGGGTGGGGATGGTGCTGGCCAGACAGTCCTCAAAGTCAGGCTGAGCTGGTGTGCAAGGGCCTGCCCCTCTTGGGTCAGCTCCTGCCGCCTTCCCAGTCCTGACCCCAAATGCAGGTCCTTCCTTCTGGGAGGTGGTGCTGGCTCCTCCCCTACCCCCTCCCACACCCACCGTGCCTCCTGCTGAGTTTGGACCAGTGCCCTGTCCTGCAGGGAGGCCCTCTCATGTTCCCAGTTGGGCCCATGACTCAGCCCAGGCCTTCTCAACCCAGAGGAGGAGGCTGTTGCTATGCTAACCATGCAGGAAAGGAGGATGGTCTGCTGTCCCCTAGGGCGCATGGGGCTTCCTGGGGCCCCTCCAGCCTGCCCAGCTCTGCCACACTGTGCTCACACTCAGCTGACTGCTAGAGCTGTCGTGGAAGCTTTCAGTCCCACTCCTGGCCAGGGTGGGCCTCCTGGCACCCTCCTTGGAGGCCATCCAGCCGGCTTCCTTGGCTGGATGGTAAACTGAGGCACATGGAAGGGACCAGTACTTGTCCATGGTCCCAGAGCCAGTTGGTGGCAAATCCAGGACTTCCTTCCACAAACTCCAGGAAACCTCAAGCTGTTTACCCACAGTGCTGGGCACAGGGCACCAATGCTGTCAGAGGCACGGTGGCAGGTTGGGGCAGCAAGGACGAGGCCAGAGGGAAGGAGAGGGTCAGACTCTGCGGAGGAGGTATCCCTGGAGGCTCCCCAGGAAGGGTGACCTCTCAGGAGCCTGCGAGTGGACAACACAGACACAGGCACCAGGCAGGGGCTGGCCCCCCACAGAGGCCCGATCATGTCAGCCCAGGTGCGTGGACGCCACCCTGGGGAGGCTGCCTTGCAAGTGGGAAGCAGGTGAGTCGGCAGCCTTGGCCCTTCCCTTCTGCCACCTCCCCAGCTCCTGCCCACTCCCACACACACCTGGTCTTACCTTTCCCAGTGTTCCTGAATGGTGCTGAGTCCTTCCCGGTGTGGGAGGCTCCACTCCACAGACACCCCTGGAGAGCCGGTAACAAACAAACCCGGTGCAGACATGGCTCCAATCCTGGCTGTCCCAGCTCTCAGGGGTGAACTCCAAGCCCACAGAGGCTCTGCCCTGGTTTTCTATGACTTCTTTCATCCCCACCTCAGTCCCATCTTCAATGAACACATCCCACGCTGTCATCATGGTCATCATCACCATCACCGCCCCCTCCATGGAACCACAACTGTCACCTCCACCATTACCTTTACCTCCGCCATCAGTATCATCTCCACCACCATCACCTCCACTATCACATCACCTCCACCACCATCACCTCCACCCCCACCATCACCTCCACCTCTACCACCATCACCTCCACCATCATCTCCACCTCCACCATCATCACCTCCACCTCCAGCACCATTGCTTCCACTTCCATCACCATTACCTCCACCATCATCACCTTCATCTCTACCTCCATCTTCACCATCACCATCACCTCCACCTTCACCACCACCACCACCTTTATGGAAGATCCCTAAAGAAACTGAGCCAACTCTAGGTCGGCTTCCAGGCTGAGGAAGTAGGGCTTGATTATGTTCAAGCTGAGAAGTGGTTGGAGAAAGGGGTAATATCTGCCCTCCTCACTCAGTGGAGCTTCAGTATCTGCACTTCCCTTTTCTGTAGCCTTCAAGTTCCAGGATTTTTATTTTTATTTTTTGAGACATGGTCTTGTGTCGCCCAGGCTGGTCTTGAACTCCTGGACTCAAGTGACCCTCCCCACTCAGCCTCCTGAGTAGCTAGGATTCTAGGCATGAGCCATGGAACCTGCTAGTTCCAGGGTATTTTCTGTTTCCCTGCACCTCCTCCCTCTCGCCACTACCCTTCCATATACAGAAGAAGAAAAGTCTGCATCTCTGTGAAAGTAGGTCTGTACCTCTCTGCACGCACACCCACTGGCACCTCTGAACACACAGCACAGAAGGAAGGCCGCCCCTGCAAGTCCCAGGAATTCGGAATTCCATGGCACACAGGGCCACCGGTGCCTGTCCCGTCAGCCACCTGTCCTGTGCTCATAACCATGTCACTCCCTTTCTTCAGCCTCAGCATTCTCGCCTGTGAAATGGGAATGGCAGACAACCGTTGATGGGTGAATAGGGTAACATCCACACTAAGTGTTGGCAGTGTTGCTGCTGACAAATGTAACACCTGCCTGCCTCCCTCTGGGGCCATTGCCAGGTCAGAAGGGAACCAAGGGTGAGGAGCCTTTGACAACAAGGCCGTACAGAGCACCCCCAGACTCCCCAGGATAACAAGGCCGTACAGAGCACCCCCAGACTCCCCAGGATAACAAGGCCGTACAGAGCACCCCCAGACTCCCCAGGATAACAAGGCCGTACAGAGCACCCCCAGACTCCCCAGGATAACAAGGCCGTACAGAGCACCCCCAGACTCCCCAGGATAACAAGGCCGTACAGAGCACCCCCAGACTCCCCAGGATAACAAGGCCGTACAGAGCACCCCCAGACTCCCCAGGATAACAAGGCCGTACAGAGCACCCCCAGACTCCCCAGGATAACAAGGCCGTACAGAGCACCCCCAGACTCCCCAGGATAACAAGGCCGTACAGAGCACCCCCAGACTCCCCAGGATAACAAGGCCGTACAGAGCACCCCCAGACTCCCCAGGATAACAAGGCCGTACAGAGCACCCCCAGACTCCCCAGGATAACAAGGCCGTACAGAGCACCCCCAGACTCCCCAGGATAACAAGGCCGTACACAGCACCCCCAGACTCCCCAGGATAACAAGGCCGTACAGAGCACCCCCAGACTCCCCAGGATAACAAGGCCGTACAGAGCACCCCCAGACTCCCCAGGATAACAAGGCCGTACAGAGCACCCCCAGACTCCCCAGGATAACAAGGCCGTACAGAGCACCCCCAGACTCCCCAGGATAACAAGGCCGTACAGAGCACCCCCAGACTCCCCAGGATAACAAGGCCGTACAGAGCACCCCCAGACTCCCCAGGATAACAAGGCCGTACAGAGCACCCCCAGACTCCCCAGGATAACAAGGCCGTACACAGCACCCCCAGACTCCCCAGGATAACAAGGCCGTACACAGCACCCCCAGACTCCCCAGGATAACAAGGCCGTACAGAGCACCCCCAGCCTCCCTGGGGCGCCAGGTGTGCTTGGGCATTGCTGGTCTGTGGACCTTTGCAATCCGGCCCTGGCCTGGCTCTGTTCCCCTGCTCTGGGCAGCCTCTTGCTCCCCTCCCCCTCCCACTTTCCCTCAACACCCCTTCACCTCCAGCTGTTGTGGAGGATGGTGGGGTACACCACAGCAGTGAGGAGTCCAGGGACAGCAGCCTGGAGGGCTAGGCCACTCCCAACACGGGCTGGCAGCAGCAGAAGATGCTGCCTCTGGAGCCTGTGCCAGAGCCTGTGGCTGAGGCGGAGAGGGTGGCCGTTCAGAAAGGTCCCAGGCCACGGAGGACTGTCCCCTGCCAGGCAGGAATGATTGAGCACCAAGGCTGCTGCTGGCCCAGCTATAGCCCTGGTATCGGAGGTGGCAGTGGATCTGGGGGAGAGCCAGGGACTCACCTCCCTCTGTGGAACCCTCCTGGTTTTGTTTTCACTAATTTTAGCAGAAGTCTGAGTCTGAAGTCAAGACATCCCTTTCTTTCTTTCTTTTTTTTTTTTTTTTTTTTTGAGACGGAGTCTCATTCTGTTACCCAGGCTGGAGTGCAGTGGCGCCATCTCGGCTCACTGCAAGCTCCACCTCCCAGGTTCACGCCATTCTCCTGCCTCAGCCTCCCGAGTAGCTGGGACTACAGGTGCCTGCCACCACAGCTGGCTAATTTTCTGTATTTTTAGTAGGGATGGAGTTTCACTGTGTTAACCAGGATGGTCTCAATCTCCTGACCTCGTGATCTGCCCTCCTCGGCCTCCCAAAGTGCTGGGATTACAGGCGTGAGCCACCGCGCCCAGCCCAAGACATCCCTTTCTTTGCTTTCTGAAGCAGACGCTGGGGTATGTTTTTTGTTTCTTTATTGGCTGTAGTAGTTGGCTCTGGCTGTCATAATAAGGTACCACAGACAGAGACAGGGTGGCTTGAACAACAGACACTTATTGTCTCACAGGTTTCAAGGTATCTGCAGCGTTGCTTCTTCCTGAGTCCTATCTCCTCAGCTTGTAAAGGGCGGTCTTCTCTCTGCAGCCTCACGTGGTCTTCCCTGTGTGTGTGTCCTAATCTCCTCTTCTTCTTCTTTTTTTTTTTTTTTTTTGAGACGGAGTTTCGCTCTTGTTGTCCAGGCTGGAGTGCAATGGTGCGATCTTGGCTCATCGCAACCTCCATCTCCCAGGTTCGAGCGATTCTCCTGCCTCAGCCTCCCAAGTAGCTGAGATTACGGCACCCACTACCATGCCCAGCTAATTTTGTATTTTCAGTAGAGACGGGGTTTCACCATGTTGGTCAGGCTGGTCTCGAACTTCCGGCCTCAGGTGATCCACCCGCCTCGGCCTCCCAGAGTGTTGGGATGACAGGCGTGAGCCACGGTGCCTGGCCCTAATCTCCTCTTCTTATAAGGACACAAGTCCTATGGGATTAAGGCCTACCCTAATGACCTCATTTTACCTTCATCACCTCTTTAAAGGCTCTATCTCCAAATACAGGCACATTCTGAGGGACTGGTAGTTAGGACCTCAATGTACGAATTTGGCTGGGGACAAAATTCAGTCCAGAACCCTGAATGTTTCAGAAGAACATGGAGGCCCAAGGACGCTGGGCTGGAGCCAGAGGCCCAGATCCCATCCTGGCTCTGCCAGTTCTGGGCAAGCCACTGCAGTTTTCTCATCAGTAAAATTTGTTGATGTTTCCATTTTTGTCCCACAATATTCCAGGTACACCCACGGACACTTGGGTACAGTCAGGGGGTACAGCCTCACCCACAAAGAAAACCCAGGTAACTCCATTGCCTAGGCCCTCCCAGTAGCGCCCTTCCCTGGCTGTCACCCCACCCCTGCATCCCCAGAGCAGACCGGGGTGTGGGACAGTCCAGGTCCCCTTTGTGCTTGTTCTCCTGGACACTCAGCTGCCCCCGCTGCTGTCCCATGCACTGCTCCCCTGCAGAAGTCCGCCTGCACCACCAACAGGTCGGGAAGGAAGGTGGGGGCATCCCTGACCCCTTCCCGCTTACCCAGGCCCAGCTCTCCAGAGGCTCACACCCTCCTCCTCTCTGCGGGGCTCTCGACCCACCCCTGTCTCCCCCATATTTTCTCAAGGCTGCAGCTTTGGGCACCCCATCTCCTTCATCTCCCATCCCACGCGAGCCCCCCACTCCTGGGTCTGTGGCCTTTCCCAGGTCATCTCCAGAGGCCGCGGCTCCCCTGGAATGTGAGCTTCAGGCATCCTCACTCATGACACAAGCTGCTATTTTCCTGTTTACCTAATCAAGCAGGTAATTTCTCTATACAGTAATTCCTTCATTTCGTGGTTTTCCAATTCTTGACCTTGCCACCTTCACGAGTCTGTCTCCTGCCCTCTCCTGCCTGCCTCTCGACTCAGTGCCTTGGCCGTCGTTAGATTGACCCCAAGCCCCTGCCTCGAGCCCTCCCCTCCTTTTCTATCAAACTACTTCCCAAGACCCAACCTGGATGAACCCACACATTCCCTTCACTGCACAGGTCACAGAAAAGGAAGGGCAAGCATCTCCACACCATCTATAATAAATATAATTTAAACAAGTAAACTCGCCCCACAGGGAGCAATGGTGGAGCAGCCTGGGTGGACTGATCCCCCATGGATAACAAAGATAGATTCTGAACAAAAATAGACATGTTAAAAAAACTCCTGGAAGGCACTGGAGAGCGGGTGGAGACAGGCGGAAGCTGGAGAGGAGGCTTCCCTTGAAAACAAACTGCGGCGGGTGAGGTCTCTGTTTGTGGCAGCAGATCTGATAGACTTTGCACAAAGGAAGTTACACAAATGGCTAATAAACACCTGAAAAAGTGCTCAACATCATCAGTCACAGGGAAATGCGACTCAAAACCCACCGAGGGGCTGGGCGTGGTGGCTCACACCTGTAATCCCGCACTTCAGGAGGCCGAGGTGGACAGACCACCTGTGATCAGGAGTTTGAGACCAGCCCGACCAACACCGTCTCTACTAAAAATACAAAAATTAGTCGGGCGTGGTGGCGTGCACCTGTAATCCCAGCTACTCGGGAGGCTGAGGCAGAAGAATCGCTTGAACCTGGGAGGTGGAGGTTGCAGTGAGCTGGGATCATGCCACAGCACTCCAGCCTGAATGACAGAGCGAGACAGTGTCTTGAAAACAACAAAAACACAAAACAAAACACACCAAGGCCAATCATGGTGGCTCATGCCTATAATCCCAACACTTTGGGAGGCCCAGGTGGGAGGACTGCTTGAGCCCAGGAGTTCAAGACCAGCCTGGCCAACATAGTGAGACCCTGTCTCCACAAAAAGTAAAAAATTAGCTGGGTGTGGTGGTGCATACCGATGGTCCCAGCTACTCGGGAGGCTGAAGTGGGAAGACTGCTTGAGCCTGGGGGATCAAGGATACAGCGAGCCATGATTGTGCCACTGCACTCCAGCCTGGGTAACAGAGAGAGACCTTGTCACAAAACAAAAGACAAACAAAAAAGTCCCACAACAAGATACCACTACACGCCAGCTCTGAAGACTGACAACACCAAGCACTGTTAACGTGTTAACACGCACCTGCCACTTGACCTGAAGATTCTACCCCCAGGTGTCATCCAGAAAAGAAGTGAAAGGTGTAACCACAAAGGATGTGTCCTCTGATGCTCATAGGAGCTTTCTCCAACCCCTGTGCCCACCCACAGGAGAACAGATAGACCAACTGCAGAATATTCGCACAACAGGATCTTATGCGTGGATGAAAGAGAGGAGCTGGCGGTGCACCCGATGTTGATGAAGCTCCCTGAGCTGATGGAGAGAAGCCTGCTGCAAGATTGCCCACTGGTGAGTCCTCGCAGAGGCAGAACTCATCCACGGCAGAAAAAGAGGGGACCAGCAGCTGCCTCAGGGCAAGATCATGAGCAGGGACTGGGAGGGAGGGACACAAAGGAACTTCTAGGGTGATGGATACGCTTAGATTTTTATTGGGGGGGGGGGTGCGGCTACACAGGTGCAGCCATTTTCAGAATTTACAGTTAAGATTCATGCATTTTGGCCAGGCGTGGCCATGCCTGTAATCCCAGCACTTTGGGAGGCCGAGGTGAGCAGATCACCTGAGGTCAGGGGTTTGAGATCAGGCTGGCCAAAATGGCGAAACCCCGCCTCTACTGAAAATACAAAAATTAGCTGGGCATGTGCCTATAATCCCACCTACTCGGGAGGTTGAGGCAGGAGAATCGCCTGAACCTGGGAGGTGGAGGTTGCAGTGAGCCGAGATCGTGCCGCTGCACTCCAGCCTGGGTGACACAGTGACGCTCCATCTCAAAAAAAAAGAAAAAAGAGGCCGGGCACAGTGGCTCACACCTGTAACTCCAGCACTTTGAGAGGCCGAGGCGGGAGGATCACGAGGTCAGGAGTACAAGACCAGCCTGACCAAGAAGGTGAAACTCCATCTCTACTAAAAATACAAAAATTAGTAGGCTGGACGCGGTGGTTCATGCCTGTAATCCCCGCACTTTGAGAGGCTGAAGTGGGCGCATCACGAGGTCAGGAGATCGAGACCATCCTGGTTAACATGGTGAAACCCCGTCTCTACTAAAAATACAAAAAAATTAGCCAGGCGTGGTGGTGGGCGCCTGTAGTCCCAGCTACTTAGGAGGCTGAGGCAGGAGAATGGCGTGAACCCGGGAGGTGGAGCTTGCAGTGAGCTGAGATCGCGCCACTGCACTCCAGCCTGGGCGACAGAGCGAGACTCCGTCTCAAAAAAAAAAAAAAAAAAAAAAAAAAAACAAACAACAAAAAACTTTCCTTAATAAAATGTTCATAAGAAAAAATATAGATACCATTCGGTATCAGACTGGCAAAGATAAACACTTTGTGTCTTAGTTCATGGTGCTGTTACAAAATACCAGACTGGGTGGCTTAAACAACAGAAATGTGTCTCCCAGTTCGGAAGGATGGCATGTCCAAGATAGGGGTGCCAGCAGCTTTGGTGTCTGGTGGGGACAGCCCTCTTGTTGTGCCCTCACATTGCAAAGAGAGCAAGCTCCAGTCTCCTCCTTTTCCCGTAAGAACATCAGTGCCTCCACCCTCATGACCTCACCTGAACCCAACGACCTCCCAAAGGTCCCGTCTCCAAATATCATCGCATTGGATAGTAAGATTTCCTGTGAATTTTGGGGGGACGTGAACATGCAGTCCATAACTTTGAAACATACATTACTGGGGGAGCTATGGGACAACAGCACCCTCTACTACATTACTGGTAAGGTATAAATGGGCACACACCTAATTCAGATGGCAATTTGATCACTGCTGTCCACATTATAATTACATAAGTGTTTTGACCCAGCAGTTCTGGAAATTCTATCCCATAAACTTGCACATAAGCAATACGATCTCGGTATAAGGGTATTTGTTGGAGTATTGTTCAGTACAGCAAAGCACTGGAAAAGGCTCAATGTCCATGGGCAGGGGGCCAGCTAATAAATCATGGTCCATCCATTGAGCAGAATACTATAGTCACAAAAACGAAGGCACTCTTTTGCAGCCTTTGGGAGGTCATTAGGTTTAGACGGGGTCCTGAGTATAAAAGAGTGTGAAGAATAGGGAGTAGGATTGTACCCTGTCCTCCCGTGGTGTAAAGAGAAGGGAAACTGGATGCACATGAGCACAGTATGCGTTTTCACATGTACGAAATACTTCTGGACAGATCAAAAGAGGTTTGGTTGCCTGTGGGGAGGGAACTCGGTGGCTGGAAAACGAGAGAGGGTAACTTTTAAACTTTTGAACCATGTTACCAATCACTAATTATCAATTCAATGGATTAGCTTAAAATAAAATTCAAAATTGCTTCCTTGATCCCTTACCTCCTTCCACTTTTCTGCCCTTTCCGGTCAGCGTTCTCACATGACTGGCCACTTCAGTGTACTTTCTCTTTCCTTTTTTCCTAAGTATTGTTTTAATCTTTATCCTTTGTCATTAAAAAAATAGACATTGAGACTCCCTGTGGCCTGTGTTCCCTGCCTACCCTGTACCTCCATCCCCACTCCATTTCCCTGCCTTCAAGGAACCACTATTAGTTTCTTGTGTATTCTCCAGTGTTTCTTTTCGCAACTATAAGCAAATATTTTCCCCCATTACCACCCAAAAAGCAGCATACCATGTATGTTGTTCTGCACCTTGCTTTTTTCACTTAAAAATAGATTGTAGGCCAGGTGCGATGGCTCACACCTGTAATCCCAGCACTTTGGGAGGCCAAGGCAGGCAGATCACCTGAGGTCAGGAGTTCGAGACCAGACTGGCCAACATGGCAAAATCCCGTCTCTACTAAAAAATAGAAAAATTAGCCGGGCATGGTGGCAGCGCCTGTAGTCCCAGCTACTCGGGAGGCGGAGGCAGGATAATCGCTTGCAGCTGGGAGGTGGAGGTTGCAGTGAGCCGAGATCACGCCGTTGGACTCCAGCCTGGGCAACAGAGTGAGACTCCGTCAAAAAAAAAAAAAAAAAAAGGAGATTGTAGACATCTTTCCATATCATATAGGAACTTTTTTTTTTTTTTCTTGAGGTGGAGTCACTCTGTCGCCCAGGCTGGAGTGCAGTGGCACCGTATCGGCTCACTGCAACCTCGTTTCATGGGTTCAGGCAATTCTCTTGCCTCAGCCTCCTGAGTAGCTGGGATTACAGGCGCCCAACACCACACCGGCTAATTTTTATATTTTTAGTAGAGACGGGGTTTCACCATGTTGGCCAGGCTGGTCTCGAACTCCTGACCTCAGGTGATCCACCCGCCTCGGCCTCCCAAAGTGCTGGAATTACAGGCGTGAGCCACCGCGCCCTGCCAAGCAACGTCACTTATTACCCCTGCTGACTTGGGAGCAAATGTCACATATAAATTCCCCCACGTGCGGAGGTGTTTCCCTTTCCTTGCTGTGTCTGCATTCGACAGCAGCCACGCTAAGCGGCTGGACCAAATGGAGCATCATAACGTGTTATTTTATTTTATGATTTTATTTTATGTTTTTTGAGACAGAGTCTCGCTCCTCCCGTCCACCTGCCGGCGCTCCTGGGGCTTCGGGCCACGGCTGTCTCCTCCGGGAGCGGCGGCGCTGTAGGAAGCCTGGTCCTCTCCCTCAGCGGTCACAGCCATCGCTCGCGTACGCCCCCGGACTGACGCCTCCCGCCGGGAGCCCTCTTCGAATCCCGCCTGCGCAACTCCCACGCCACAGCCCTGGGCCATCCCTGCTCCCGCGCAGCCCCGGCCGCCTGCCTCCTACCTCGCCTCCCCAAGGCCCCAGCGCGCCGGGGCTTCCCTGTCCCGGGCGCCTGCTCGTGGCGGCGGGCGGGCTCCTTGTCCGGCTCTTAAGGGCCGGCGCCGGCTCCTGGGCCTCCCCTCCTTCCCATCGCGGCCTGCTCCTCCCACCCGCCTTCTCCGAGCTGATGCCAAGGCCGGACGGACGCGACAAAGGCCTGCTGCCGAACGTGACCTGTCCGCAGAGTAGACAGACGGGCCCCCTGACCGCCAGACTGAGGAGACCCGGCGGGCGGGAGCGGATGGGCGCGCCTGCGCACCCCCTCCCGGCGCTCGCCAGTCACGTGGGGCCGCGAGTGGCGCCGCTGCCGGAAGCGCCCCCCAAGGAAACGCAAGCAGTGGCGGAGCGGGGTTCCGCCTGGGCCGGGCTCTAGCGCCGGCGCTGCGCGGGAGTCATCGCGTGCCGACTTCCGTGTTGTCGCTCTCCCCTCCCAAAAGCGCGGCCGCGAGGACGGGCGCTGCCAGCGATTTCCTCGCCTTTGTGTCGCGGGGCTGTCCGCTGCGCGTTACTTGGTGCGATACGCGCATTCGGCGGTGATCCCGAGCCCCACGCGAACCTCCCTGTGTCCTTGCTAGTGCCTGGCGCCGTCACTGACGCTGAGGCGTGAACACGGAGTCGGCCCAGAGGGGCTGTTCTCCCGGACGCCGAGGCCACCCCACGCGGCCGCAGGGCCGGGCAGAGGGGAACTGCAGGGAGGCGCGGGCCGCATCCCTCCCGGAGGTCTGCGAGCTTCTTGAGGCCTCACGCCCCCTTTTGAGCCCCGCTGCTGCCCTGTGGCGCTGCTTCTCCATCCCTGCGGGTGACCATCGACGCGTTCCCCTTGCTCGCTTCTTGGTTACGGGCCAGGGGATACTCCTGCCCGACCCTCGGCATTGCCCAAGGGAGTTTGCACTTCCCACTGTGCTCTGCCAAGCCTCTGTGGAGAGGAGCCCTCCACCTGCCTGACCGGGCCCAGCTTTGGGGAAGACCTTCTTGGTTTTGTCTGCTGGCTGGACTGACCCTGGCCCTCAGCCCAGGTGAGGCGACCAGCGGCATGATGCCCGGGTGGAACACGGATTTCTCTCCAGGGTGGCCGAAGAATGGTTTAGAAGCAGCAGTGGGATGAGGGAGAATCCCGACCCCGTCTCAAAAGGTGAAGATACGTCAGGTCTGGGGGAAAAATATCCCTACTCTAGAGGGCTAAGAGAGCTTGGTTTGGTGCAAATCTGAGAATCCCTCAACACTTTAATTTCTTTAATCCTGCTAACAGTTAACAACTTCCTACAGGCTGACACCTCAGGAATAAGCTCCTTCACCTGCGTTCCCTCTGTTTCCTCTATTCTTTCCTCCAATCCTTAATTTTTTTTTTTTTAGATGGAGTCTCACTCTTGCCCAGGCTGGAGTGCAGTGGCATGATCCCGGCTCACTGCAACCTCCACCTCTCGGGTTCAAGCAATTCTGCATCAGCCTCTCGAGTAGCTGGGATTACAGGCGCCTGCCACCACACCCGGCTAATTTTTGTAATTTTAGTAGAGACAGGGTTTCACCATGTTGGCCAGGCTGGTCTTGAACTACTAACCTCAAGTGATTCACCCACCTCAGCCTCCCAAAGTGCTGGGATCAGAGGCTTTTTTTTTCCTTTTGAGATGGAGTTTCACTCTGTTGCCCAGGCTGGAGTGCAGTGGCGTGATCTCGGCTCACTGCAATCTCCGCCTCCTGGGTTCCAGTGATTCTCATGTCTCAGCTTCCCAAGTACAAGTAGTACTTCCCAAGTAACTACAAGTGCCACTTGTATTTTTAGTAGAGATGGAATTCTGCCATGTTGGTCAAACTGGTCTGGAACTCCTGGCCTCAAGTGATCCGCCCACCCTGGCCTCCCAAAGGGGATTACAGGCATGAGCTACCACACCAGCCTCCTCCAATCCTTTCTAAAAAGCAAGTTTAACCATGTCACTCATTTGCTTAAAATCTAGGCCAGGTGTGGTGGCTCACATGTATAATCCCAGCACTTTGGGAGGCTGAGGCAGGAGGATTGCTTGAGCTCAGGAGTTGGAGACCAGCCAGGGTGGGCAACATTGTGAGCCCCCATCTCTAAAAAATAAATAAATAAAAACTTTGTTAACTATAGGATGGATGGATACGTAGATGGATAATGTATCAGAAGCACTTTTGGCTTCACAGCAGAAACTCCAAGTGTGGTGATTTGAACCAATAGGGATTTATTTTTCTCCCATAACAGGAATCCTGGAGGTAGATGTGACTGGCATTACTTCAGCAGCCCAGTGCTGTAAGGGCCAGCAATTGCAGGGACAGGCTTTGCAATTCTGTGACTTTCCCTCATGGTCACAAAAGGATTGCCACAGCTCCAGACATCACACCATGTTCTGGCTGTAAGAATGGGGAAATGATAGTTACAGAGATGTTTATCTCTTTATTATGAAAGCAAAATTCTCAGAGGCTCCCCAGTAGGCTTCTATGTACATCGTACATGGCTGAGCAGTGCCATGATCTGTCAGTCTGTCGCCTGCATGCTGGAGAAGGAAGACAGCCATGGTGTCATTAGTCTGAGTCCAAGGCCCGAGGGCAGGAGAAGATGGCCATCCCAGCTCAAACAGAAGCAAATTCTTCTTCCACCTTTTTGTCCTTTTCAGGCCCTCAGATTGGACAGTGCTCACCCACACTGGTGTGGGTGGGTCTTCTGTACGCAGTTTACTATACTAATTCAAGTGCCAACTTCTTCCAGAAACGCCCTCACAGACACACCCAGAAATCACATTTACCAGCTATCTGGGCACCCCCTTGCCCAGTCAAGTTGACATAAAATTAACCATCCACCATGTGACAACTGAGGCAGAGCTCGAAGTGCTGCAGCTTCAAGCTGAGGAAAGCAGGACTGTGACCCCACACCAGATGCTGCTAGGAGAGCAGCGAGGGAGGGGCCTCCTCTCAGCCTTCAGAGGAAGCGCAGCCCTGTGGCACCTTGCCATCCGGCCTCCAGAGCTGTGTGAATGCATTTCTGCCATTTGTAGCATGCAATTTGTGGTCCTTTGTTACGGCAGTGGAACCCCAGCGCAGCCCCCGACCACAGTGTCTGGGCAAGTGGGAGGGAGGGGGTAGACAAGCAACCAGATCCCACAGTTGGGTTTTGCTTAGTGATTCCAAAGAGAGACCCAACCAAGGGCCCAGGCTTCTACCCCTGGGCTTTCAAGGAAGTGACAGAAGCTACACAGCTTGGCCAGGCGCGGTGGCTCACGCCTATAATCCCAGCACTTTGGGAGGCCAAGGCAGATGTTTGAGACCAGCCTGGCCAACGTGGTGAAACCCCATCTCAGCCAAACATGCAAAAATCAGCCGGGTGTGGTGGCACATGCCTGTGATCCCAGCTACTCAGGAGGCTGAGGCAGGAGAATCACTTGAACCAGAGGCAGAGGTTACAGTGAGCCAAGATTGCACCCCTGTATTCCAGCCCAGGTGACTGAGCGAGAGTCCTATAAGCTACACAGCTCTGGCAGCCTCATGTCATACCCTCTCCTGTCCTACCTACAAGAGGGGAGGGAATTCAGAGCACATATCCTGATAGGCAAAATGCAGTGATTCCCACCCCTGTCACCCCTGAAGCAGCGAGGGTGTGCATTTGAAATGCTTGCAGGTGAGGACTCTGGCATCTCACCCCCCAGCTGGGAGCCAGCCAAGCTACATTCCCTGCAGACAGTCCTGCTGTCTCCCTGGGAGCAGAGCGATCCTTGGGGCTGGGCTTATTGTCCCCGAAGGTGGGCTGTCCAGATGAACGTGGAGACGATGCCCACCACCTTGGGTATTTCCGAATGTGGGAGCCCATGAGAGCAGCAGGCACCAAACTAGTAAGGAGGCAGGCAGGGTGGCAGGCCTGGGGCGAGAACGCCCTGGGTGGGGCCTGCAGAAACTGGAGCTCTCTCCTTCGAACTCATTTAGAGGTGCAGGCAGGGGTCAGGGAGTAGACCAGGGGCCGAGGTGCCCGGAGGCCAGCCATGTAGGGCCGTGAGGCTGGTGAGGTTTGAGAGTCAGGGACCCTGACCTTCACGCCCTTTCTCAGGGCCCTGGGAGGGACCCCAGAAATGTACTTGCAGAGTCATGTGACATAATTTACATACCTTAAATAAATACACATATCTCTACATTTCTCTCCATACCATCTGTCCATCTATCTACAGTCTGCCAGGGCTGCCAAAACAAAATACTACAGCCTGGGCAGCTTAAACAATGGATTTTTTTCTTTTTTTGAGGCAAGGTCTTACTCTGTTGCCCAGGCTGGAATGCAGGGGTGCGATCTCGGCTCACTGCAACCTCTGTCTCCTGGGTTCAAGTGATTCTCCCACCTCACCCTCCCCAGTAGCTGGGACTACAGGTGCCCACCACCATGCTCGGCTAGTTTTTGTATTTTTGGTAGAGACCCAAAATACAAAAATACAAATTTTTTTCACTATGTTGGCCAGGCTGGTCTTGAACTCCTGACCTCAAGTGATCCACCTGCCTCGGCCTCCCAAAGTGCTGGGATTACAGGCGTGAGCCACCATGGCCGGCCGACAATGGAACTTTATTTCTCACAGTTCTGGCGGCCGGAAGTCTGAAAAGGGGTGTCAGCAGGCTTGGGTTCTCCAGAGGCCCCCTCCTTGGCTTGTAGACGCTGCCTTCTCCCTGTGTCTTCACGTTGTCTTCCCTGTGTGTGTCCTGATCTCTTATGAGGGTATCCGTCAGATGGGATTAGGGACCTCACACTCTAGTGACCTTATTTAAAGACTCCATCTCGAAATACAGTCACATTTTGAGGGATAGGGGTTAGGACTTCAACATATGAGTTGGTGGGGGCAGGGACACAATTTAGCCAAAAGTAAACAAAGAAAACATATTTCTATATTAAAATATACATTGTGTGTGTGTGTGTGTGTGTGTGTGTGTGTGTGTATCCTTGTACCTTAAAGAGGAGCTTAAAGAATGTGCCTGTTGGGCCCTGCAAACCTTCATGTGCCTCTGCCTGGATCCCAGCAGAGCGAGCACCCCGTGGGCGCTGCGGGGCACGTTTGGCTGCAGAGGCAGCGCCTGAGCAGGGAGGGGTGGCGAGCAAGGCCCTAGCCGCCTCCTGCCTTTCAGTCTCCTGCCAGCAGCTCCCACTGGCGGCTTCCTGCAGGAACTGGCGGGAAGGGGGTGATGTCCCAGGCAGAGCACAGCACTGGGCGGCCGATGGAGGTTCATGGCACAGCCCACGTTTGCACTCTGCGTCCTGTCCTCGGTGACTGTCCTTCCCTAAGAGAAAGAATTTCTAACCCCAAACGGAAGAAACCACAGCGGCACTTCCCACAGAAATCGGAGCTGTGTTGTGAGCCACTAGTAATCCCTCCTTAGAGGTGGCAGGGAAGAGGATCAAAGGAAATGGTAAATTAACCTGCAATACGCTGCGTCCGGGAATAGAAGCTCCTGCTGCGGCTGGCCCACTCCTCATCCCTGCACCATGGAGGCTCTCCCAGAGGCATGTCAAAACCCCAGCCTGACGACCAAGCTCTGTCCACTGCCCACCACCAACAGCCACCACTTGAGCCTAGATGTGTGCACGCAGCGGCGGCGTCCACCCAGGAGGCAGACCCCAGGAAGAGGCCTGCCGTCTGGGAAGCAGGCTCAGGCCTGTGTGGGCAGCAACCTAGACGGAAGGGGCTAGGTGCTGAGGGGCCATGTCCCTTGAGCTGGAGGAGGGCACAGCAAGGAACTCTGCAGCATGGACCTCAGGACAGAGCTCCTGGGTCGGGGCATTGCCGGCCTGCAACGCAGGAGCGGGTCGGGGGCCCGCACTGGTGAGTACAGCTCCAGCGTTGGTGTGCTAGGGCCACTGTAAGGAGGTGCCTCCAACGGGGCGTGAACAGCAGCAGCGTGTGGTCCCAGTTCTGGAGGCTCCAGCTGTCCACAGGGCTGGTTGGGTCTGAGGCAGTTGTGGGGAACCTGGCCTCTCCTCCACTCTCGTGGGGTTTGCAGGCCATCTTTGCTGTTCCTTGGCTGGTGGAGGCAGCGCCTCAATCTCTGCCCGAATCTTCACATGGTATTCTCCCTGCGAGCTGTGTCCAAATTTCCCGTCTTTATAAGGACACAGTCACACAGGATCAGGGGCCCACACTCCCGGGATGACTCACCCTAACTTGATGGATCACATCTGCAAAGACCCTATTTCCAAACAAGGTCACATTCTGAGGCCCTGGGGGTTAGGCCTTCAACATATGAATTCGAGGGGACACAATTCGACCCGTAACAGCTTCTGTCTCCCCACACATCCGATGTGCTTCTCCCTCTGCCACGCTTAGGCTGGGGTCTCTACCAGGCACCTCGACCCGAGTCCTCACTCAGGCCGGCTCTGAGCCTCACAGCTCTGTCTGTGGGAGCTGCCCTAGTTTTCCACGGACCTTTATTAGGTGACATGGGAATATCGAGCAGTGCCCCAGAATCCCTGGGTTTTGACACAGTGCTTCCTCCTCACCTGAGGCAGCATTCCCACCCTCCTGCAGGGATCTCTCCGAAGAGATTCCTCTGCAGAGATCTCTGGCCCGCGGAGCTCCCTTCTCCAGCGGTCAGCTCGGCAGTGAGCGGCCCCACATGGCCAGAGGGCATCTCTGCTCCTGTGTTTGGGAAGCAGACCCACGTTCCCCAGAGGACCGGGAGCCAGGACTGCCACTCCTGCGACCCCACCTTACCAGAGTGGGAAAGAAAAATCCCTCCATAGCCGATTAGCTGTCACGGCCACTCTGTGTAAGGACTGCAGAGGCGTGGCAAGGCCGTGACTGGCGTCCGTCCACAGAAGCCCTCTCACAGGCATGGCCACCTCCAGTTCGGCATTCTGGCGGTGGGGAAACGGCCTCCTAGGTCGGTCCCAGGTTAGAAGCCTGTTCTGCCCCCCACAGGCCTGCATCTCAGTGTTAAGGGGTGCAGTCTCCCCGCTGCAACCATTCCACCAGTCTGTTAGGCCTCCTGCTTCTAGGTGAAGGGCGTGGAGTGAGACCAGTGGAACTGATGGACACAAGCTTATCGCCACACTGGTTTTCCTCTGAAACAAGGCCCTGGATTACAAGTGTCATTTGTGGAATCCCAAGGCAGCGAAGGAGGCCAAGGATGGCATGCTGGCGGGAGAAGCCTGCGAGGACCCGTCCCTTTGAGGATCCATCCCTGCAAGGACTGGCTCTCGACAAAAGGCACGCCGTGTGCTCTGCCTGCTTCCTGGAGGCTGGCTGCCCTCCCCACAGGGGGTGGTGCCACATCAGGGCTCAGACACCATCCTCGCTGTTGGAAAGATGGGCGCCCAGCTGTCCATGCTGCTGGAAGGGTCTGGTGGGGGTGAATAGGCTACGGAGCCTGTGTGGCCACCATGCCTGTGGCCTCAGCCACTTTGTGCAAAGGACTGCAGAGGCGTGGCAAGGCCATGATGTGTCCGTCCACCGAAGGCCTCCCTGGTTTTGAGCCCCTCCTCTGCAGGGAATGCTTCCAGCATTTTCATGGATTACAAATGTCTTAGCCCCTGCCCTTTCAAGCAGTTCCTTAGCTCCCCTCCCCAGTCCACAGAGCCATCTCCTGCCTGTGAGTTAGGCCTAATCAACGTAAATCTGTCCTCCAGGCCCTCCCTTCCCTCCAGATGAGGTGCGCAACCAGTGGTGCTGCTGGACGTTTGAAAATACAAAAGGCCGGGCGTGGTGGCTCATGCCTGTAATCCCAGAATTTTGTGAGGCCGAGGCGGGTGGATCCCAAGGTCAGGAGTTCAAGACCAGCCTGGCCAAGATGGTAAAACCCTGTGTCTACTAAAAATACAAAAATCAGCCAGGCGTGGTGACGGGCACCTGTAATCCCATCTACTCAGGAGGCTGAGGCAGGAGAATCGCTTGAACCTGGGAGGTGGAAGTTTCAGTGAGCCGAGGTGGTGCCAGTGCACTCCAGCCTGGGTGACAGAGCGAGACTCCTGTCTCAAAAAAAAAAAAAAAAAGAAAAAGAAGAAGAAGAATACAAAAATTAGCTGGGCATGGGGGCACGTGCCTATAGTCCCAACTATTCACTGGGAGGTTGTATTAGTCCATTTTCATGCTGCTGATAAAGACGTATTTGAGACTGGGCAATTTACAAAAGAAAGAGGTTTATTGGATTTGCAGTTCCATGTGGCTGGGGAGGCCTCACAATCATGGCAGAAGGGGAATGGCACATCTCACATGGTGACAGACAAGAGAGAGAAGGAACTTATGCAGGGAAATTCCTCCTTATAAAACCATCAGATCTCATGAGACTTATTCAGAATCACGAGAACAGCATGGGAAAGACCTGTCCCCATGATTCAATTACCCACTGGGTCCCTCCCACAACACATGGGAATTCAAGATGAGATTTGGGTGGCGACACAGCCAAACCATACCAGAGGCTGAGGTGGGAGGATTGCTTGAACCCAGGAGGCAAGGTTGCAGTGAGCCAAGATCATGCCACTGCACTCCAGCCTGAGTGACAGAGCGAGACCCCTATCTCAAACCCCCCCCCAAAAAACAGATACAGGTGGATGATTGGATGGGTCAGGGATGGATGAATGGTTGGATGGGTGGAAGGATGGATACAGGGTGGGTGGATTGTTGGATAGATGGTGGGATAAATATTCGGGTGGTGTATGGTTGGATGGATGGTAGGATGGTGGATGGTGGATAATTGGCTGGATGGATAGTAGGATGGATGGATGTTGGATGGATGGATGAACAGTGGGGTGGTAGATGGGTAGATAAATGGTTGGATGGACAGTAGGATGGTGGGTGGTTGGATGGATGGATTGATGGATGGATGGATGGATGGAGGGTTAGATGAATGCATATTGGCTGGATGATAGAATGGTGGATGGATAGATGGGTGGTAGGATGGTAGATGTTTAGGTAAATGGTTAGATGGGTAGTAGAATGGTGAATGGTTGGATGGATAGATTAATGGATGGATGGTAAGATGGTGGATGGTTGGATGAATGTTTGGATGGATCGTAGGCTGGTGGATGGTTGCATGGTTGGGTGGGTGGATGTATGGTTGGATGGTGAATGGTTGGATGAATTGATGGATGGATGGTAGGATAGGTGAATGGTTGGATGGATAGGGATGATTGGATGGATGGATTGATGGTGGACTGATGGATGGATAGATGGTTGGTAGATGATAGGTTGGATGGACAGTTGAATGGTTGGATGGATTGATGGATGGTTGGTTGGGTGGATGGATGGATGGTTGGACAGATGGTTGAATAGATGGTATGATGGGGTTAAGGACAGATGCATAGGTGGTGGAAAGATGGATGTTTAAAGATGGTTGGCTAGGAAGATAATTGGATGGATGGAGGATCCCCCAGGGTTGCTACCTGAGCAAACTCTGGGAGGTTTGGAAATCTTGATCACAGGGGTCTGTGGGCCTGTCCTGTGGATGAGAAGTCAAGACTGGAGAGGCTTTGACCTGGGCTGGTTTTAGGGATAGGGGCCACTGTGAGGACAGAGATGCAGAGGCACAGACAAGGAACTGGGTGGAGGTGCACTCTGCAGGATTTCTGGTGTCTGATGGAGATGGTTATTTGTGGACTCCAGATGATTCTAGAAGTCCCCAAGACTCTTCTGGGTGGGATTCATGAAGGCAGGTGGCAGGTTCCCCAGCTTAAAAGCCAATAGAAAAGTAAAGAATCGGGCCGGGCACGGTGGCTCACGCCTGTAATCCCAGCACTTTGGGAGGCCAAGGCGGGCAGATTACGAGGTCAGGAGATAGAGACCGTCCTGGCTATCACGGTGAAACCCCATCTCTACTAAAAATACAAAAAAATTAGCCAGGCGTGGTGGTGGGTGCTTGTAGTCCCAGCTACTCAGGAGGCTGAGGCAGGAGAATGGCGGGACCCGGGAGGCGGAGCTTGCAGTGAGCCGAGATGGTGCCACTGCACTCCAGCCTGGGCGACAGAGTCAGACTCCGTCTCTTAAGGAAAGAAAAGAATCGGAATGACAGATACCGGCAGTCTGAGGATTGGCGGAGATGGCCTCGCTGACTGGGAATATTTGAGCAGAGGCAGGAAATGGCTGGGGCGGAGGGACTGGCAGGAGCAGAAGCCTGATGTGGGGCTTGGGGCGTGCTGGGGCGTAGCGAAGTGGCAGGAGATCCCGGAGCACCGGCAGGGAGGGGAGCCAGAGGGAGAGGAAGGTGTGGAGGCCTTATGGAGCTCTCCTGGGGTCTTGGATGTTCACTCCGAGTGCGATGGGAGCTGCAGGAAGGTTTGATCCCCGGAGAGACCAGATCGGGCTTGAGCTCTGACCGCAACCCCTGGCGCTGGTTGGAGGGCACACGGGCAAGGCGGTGGTGGGAGCGCTGCGGCAGTGCAAGACCACAGAGCAGGGGGATATGCGGGGGGTGGGCTGGGAGGGCTAGGTGGGGCGTCTGACGAGGCTGGGGAACTCCTGTTCTTAAGCTCAGGCCGGGGTGAGCACTGTCCCTAGGAGGGTGTGGCCAATCCTCGCCCTCAAGGCACTGCGGCATGAATGAAGCGCTTTAAAGGGAGTTCCCAAAATGAAATCCCTAAGCGAAAGGTCTGGTCCTTCTGGGAAGCGGAGCAGACTGCGACAGCTGGCGTTGGAGCGGGGGGCGGTCCCAAGTCATCCTCAGGCCACCCGTGGCCAGCCCCAAGCTCTCTGCGGCGAGGAGCGCTAGCCCCAGAGCCTGGCGTCCTGCTGGGGAGGCGCCTTTCCCGCGGCGCTGGGCGCCCTGGGCATCCGGGAGGAGCACCCGTCCCGCCCTCTCCCCGCGCCCGGCTCCGCACTCCCCGCCAGCCCTGCGCCCCGCTCCCCGCGCGCCCCCTGGCGGCAAACTTCGCAATGGCTCCCGCCGCGCTCTGCTTTTCGGGGTTGCCGGAGGGGCGGGGCTGCCGGAGGGGCGGGGCTGCCGGAGGGGGCGGGGCTGCCGGAGGGGGCGGGGCTGCCGGAGGGGCGGGGCTCGAGTGGGAATGCAACCCTTGGACACGGTGGATCCTGGGAATCTAACCTTCCGTCCCGGGGCTGATGAGCTCCAGCCCTGCCCCAGGAACTGTGCTGGGGGCCCCTGGGGATGGGGACGCAAGCTCAGAGGGCGGAGACCTCGGGCGCCCCGGCTTCGTCCGCAAGGCGAGACGGGCCGCAGGGGACTGCTAGGGTCTGCAGGGGGGTCTGCGGGGGTGAGGGGGCGGGTGGGCTCGGAGGATGGCCCCGGGCTCCCAGGGAAGCTGGAAGGGCGTCGGGGGAGGTGACGGCGCGGAGACCTCGGACTCTCAGTCCTGCAGGGGCCGCGGACACAGGTGGGGAGGAGTGGGGGAGTTTTTCCCTGGGAGAAATGGGAAGCGTCGAAGGATTTTAAGGAGTGCGGCTGGTCGGGTTTGCATTCGGGGAGGTCGCTTTGTCTCTTGAGTGGAGAATGAGGAGGTGGCAACAGCAGGGGAGTCACCGGGAGGCTGCTCGGGTCCAGCTCAAAAACGCCAGGCCCGCCCCCGCCCCGCAGGTCCGCGGGAAGGAAGGAAAAGGCGTTGGGGATGCGTAGGAGGCAGAGGCCTTGGTGGTCGATCCGGTGTGGAGTGGGGCAGGGGCTGCGAGGAGGGCGCCCAGGACTGGTATCAGTGAACAGTGACGGTGGGGCAGGGCGGTGACCTTAGCACCAGCGCTTCGGTGGGGGGGAGGAAGCACCTGAGCCGCGGAGAAAGGCCTGCGTGAGGTGGGCACAGGCTGGCGTTGAAGCCCTGGGGTGGACTCACGTCCAGGGGAGGGCGGTGCTTCACACGTCCCAGGCACTGTCTTGTGTGGCCCCAAGTGCTGTCTGAATCTCTCCTGCGTCTTGGGCCCCAGCACCAACAGCCGTCGCCCTGGAGCCAGGCAGCAGCCTTAAGCTTCCCTGGGAGGCTGACTGGCTGGGAGCAGGGAGGTCCCATCGGGGAAGTAGGGGCGTGCAGGGGGCTTGGCGCCTGCAGTCCTGGAGGGGCAGGGCAGATGATAAGGCTAAGTACCTCCTGTCCTTTGCTCAGCCAGCCACTAGGAGGAGGCCGCAGAGAAGAAGCCGCCAGGGGCTGGGGGAGGCCAGGGACGGGGCAGGGAGGAGGGGCTGGGCTGAATGCAGGTGCCCCAGGAGCTGCGGGCTCTCCTTCCACAGGTTCGTGTCTGGTACACGGCTGGAGAAGGCAGGGAGGGTGGGAGGAGCCTGGCTTGGAGAGAAAGGGCTGGCCGGAGACACCAGAGTGCTCAGGGCAGGGGCGGGAGAGGTGGTCCCTCAGGCCTCAGTGGCAGAGGCATGGGGATCCAGGGCTGAGAGTGAGTCTGTGGTTCATGGGGTTACCAGAAAGGGGTCCTGATCCAGATCCCAAGAGAGGGTTCTTAGATCTCACGCAAGAAAGAATTCAGGGCGAGTCCACAAAGTAAAGCGAAAGCAAATTTATTAAGAAATTAGAGGAATAAAAGAATGGCCACTCCATAGAGCGGGCCAGAGGGCTGCTGGGTGACCATTTTTATGGTTTTATTTTTATTATATGATAAACAAAGGGTGTATTATTCATGACTCTCCTTTTTAGACCATAAGGGGTAACTTCCTGATGTTGCCATGGCATTTGTAAACTCTCATGGTGCTGGTGGGAGTGTAGCAGTGAGGACGACCAGTGGTCACTCTTTTTTTTTTTTTTTTTGAGACAGAGTCTCGCTGTGTCGCCCAGGCTGGAGTGCAGTGACACGATCTTGGCTCACTGCAGGCTCCGTCTCCCGGGTTCACACCTTTCTCCTGCCTCAGCCTCACGCCTGTAATCCCAGCACTTTGGGAGGCCAAGGCAGGCGGATCACGAGGTCAGGAGATTGTGACCATCCTGGCTAACACGTGAAACCCCGTCTCTACTAAAAATTCAAAAAATTAGCCAGGCGTGGTAGCGGGTGCCTGTGGTCCCAGCTACTCGGGAGGCTGAGGCAGGAGAATGGCATGACCCTGGGAGGCAGAGCTTGCAGTGAGCTGAGATCGCGCCACTGCACTCCAGCCTGGGCGACAGAGGGAGACTCCATCTCAAAAAAAAAAAAAAAATTTTAAAAGACCAGGTGCAGTGGCTCACGCCTGTAGTCCCAGCACTTTGGGAGGCCATGGTGAGTGGATTGCTTGAGCCCAGGAGGCAGAGGTTGCAGTGAGCTGAGATGGGGCCACTGCACTCCAGCCTGGGTGACAAAACAAGACCCTGTCTCAAAAAATAAAATATTTAAGCTTATTTTGTGTGTGCTATGGTTTGAATGTTTGTGTCCATCCAAAATTCATATATTGGAACTTAAGTTGCAAAGTGATGGTATTAAGAGGTAGGGCCTTTGGGAGGTGACCAGGGCAGGGCGGACGGGATTAGTGCTCTTACACAAGGGCTTGAGGCAGCGGGTTCTTTTCTTTAGGCCTTTTGGCCCCTTCCTCTATGTGAGGGCACAGCAAGAGGGTGTAATCCCTCCCAGACACCACATCTGCTGGCCTTGACCTAGGACTTCCCCGCCCCTAAAACTGTGAGGAATACATTTTTAGTATTTATAAATTACTCAGTCTGTGGTATTTTATTTATTTATTTGAGATGGAGACCAGCCTGGGCAACATAGTGACACCTCATTTCTTTAAAAACAACAACAAAAAAATTAAGGGAAAATCAGCCAGGCATGGTGGCATGGGCCTGTAGTCCCAGCCACTGGGGAGGCTACAGTGGGAGGATCCCTTGGGTTGGGCCTGGGAGTCCGGGCCATGATGATATCACTGCACTCTAGCCTGGGTGACACAGCAAGACCTTGTCTCAATTAAAAAAAAAGAAAAGAAAAGAAAAGAAAGGCATAGATCTTTACTGCAAGACGCCCACAGAATGCTGTCTACATGCCATGCCTCTAATTCCTCTTCTTTCATTCTCTTTTTAAAAACTTTTAAGATTGAGATATAATTCACATACCATAAAATTCATCTTTTTTTTTTTTTGAGTCTTGCTCTGTCGCCCAGGCTGGAGTGCAGTGGCGCAGTCTCAGTTCACCGCAACCTCTGCCTTCCAGGTTCAAGCAATTCTCCTGCCTCAGCCTCCTGAGTAGCTAGGATTACAGGCGTGCGCCACCACACCCAGCTAATTTTTGTATTTTTAGTAGAGATGGGGTTTCACCATATTGGCCAGGCTGGTCTCAGTCTCATGACCTTGTGTCTGCCTGCCTCATCCTCCCAAAGTGCTGGGATTACAGGTGTGAGCAACCGCACCCAGCCTTTTAATTTCTTTAAATGACGTTTAATAGTGTTCAGTGTTGGCTGGGCACAGTGGCTCACGCCTGTAATCCCAGCACTTTGGGAGGCCGAGATGGGCAGATCACGAGGTCAGGAGATAGAGACCATCCTGGCTGCTACGGTGAAACCCCGTCTCTACTTAAAAAAAAAGAAAAAAAAATTAGCCAGGTGTGGTGGGGTGGCGGGCGCCTGTAGTCCCTGCTACTCGGGAGGCTGAGGCAGGAGAATTGCTTGAACCTGGGAGGCAGAGCTTGCAGTGAGCCAAGATCGCGCCGCTGCACTCCAGCCTGGGTGAGAGAGCCAGACTCCGTCGCAAAAAAAAAAAAAAAAAAAAAAAAAAAAAATATATATATATATTTGGTAGAATTCACCAGTGGAGCCAAAAGGGCTAAGGTTTTCTTTATAGAGAGGTTATTTTTTTGTTTTTGTTTTGTTTTGTTTGTCACTAATTTAATCTTCTTACTTTAATTTTCTCCAGAGAATACTTTTTCTTTTTTCTTTTTTTTTGAGACAGAGTCTCACCCTGTCGCCCAGGCTGGAGGACAATGGCGTTATCTTGGCTCTCTCCAACCTCCCAGGTTCAAACAATTCTCCTGCCTCAGCCTCCTGAGTAGCTGGGATTACAGGCACCTGCCACCATGCCCAGCTAATTTTTGTATTTTTAGTAGAGATGAGGTTTCCCCATGTTGGCCAGGCTGGTTTCAAACTCCTGATCTCGTGATCCGCCTGCCTTGGCCTCCCAAAGTGCTGGGATTACAATTGTGAGCCACCGAACCCGGCCGAGAATAGTTTTTCTTAAGTCCTTAAGGACTCAGCTCCTTACATGAGCTTTGATGGTGGTTGTGGGGCAGCACAGACAGGTCTAAATCCAGGTAGGGTTGTTTGGTCCTTGCAGGCTGCACGACATGGATTCCTGACTGCCTTGCTGTGAATCGCACAACTCACACAGCAGTGTAGCGTCACGTGCAGCTTGGGAAGCACGTAGGCTTTGAAGATGCTTGTTTCAGAAACGTTACTGACTGCTGTGGCCTCTACTGCTTCAAATGATGAATTTGTTAACAGCCTTGTCTTTGGACACAGTTTGTGCAGCAAATAGGCTGCACATGGCCATGGCCCTTTTTGGCACAACCAGTGTTCCTTCTTTTCTTTGTCATCTTGAAGGCACAGACCCAAGAGAGTTATCTTTTTACTTCTTAAAGTCCTATTCAGCTTTTTAAAATTTCTTCTTGGATTAGTTTCATTAGTTTGTGACTTTTCGGAAATGTGTCAGTTTCATATAGACTATCTCATTTATTGGCCTCCAGTTATTCCGAGCATATCATCCCTTCTATTTCCTGAAGGTCAGTCCTACTGTACCTACTTTCATTCCTGATTTTATTAATCTAAGGCTTTTCTATTTTTTTTTTTTGTAGGTCAGTACAACTTAAGGTTTGTCAATCTTATTGATTTTATCAAAGAATTCACTTTTGGTTTCACTGATTTTTCTCTATTTTTTATTCTCCATTTTTATTTATTTATTTATTTATTTTTGAGATGGAGTCTTGCTCTGTCACCCAGGCTGGAGTGCAGTGGCACGATCTCAGCTCACTGCAACCTCCACCTCCCGGGTTCAAGTGATTCTCCTGCCTCAGCCTCCCGAGTAGCTGGGATTACAGGCGCCTGCCACCACGCCCGGCTAATTTTTGTATTTTTAGTAGAGACGGGGGTTTCACCATCTTGGCCAGGCTGGTCTCGAACTCCTGACCTCGTGATCCGCTCGCCTTGGCCTCCCAAAGTGCTGGGATTGTAGGCATGAGCCACCATGCCTGGCTTGTTCTCCATTTTATTTATTTCCACTGTCACCTTTGTTATTTCCTTTCTTCTTTCTGCTTTGGGTTTAGTTTGCTTTTTCTCTAGTTTCTTTTCTTTTTTTTTTTTTTTTTTGAGACAGAGTCTCGCTCTGTCGCCCAGGCTAAAGTGCAGTGGCACAATCTTGGCTCACTGCAAGCTCCGCCTCCCGGGTTCACGCCATTCTCCTGCCTCAGCCTCCCAAGTAGCTGGGACTACAGGTGCACGCCGCCACGCCCAGCTAATTTTTTATATTTTTGGTAGAGGTGGGGTTTCACCATGTTAGCCAGGATGATCTCGATTTCCTGACCTCGTGATCCACCCGCCTCGGCCTCCCAAAGTGCGGGATACAGGCCTAAGCCACCACGCCTGGTCTAAATTTCCCTATTTAGCCACTTTAGCTACATCCATAAGTTTTGGTATGTTATGCCCCCACTCGCTTTCATATCAAAGTACTTTAAATTTTTTCTTGACATTTTTTATTTGACTCATTGGTTATTTAGAATTGTGTTGTTTAATCGTCACCTATTTGTGAATTTCTCAAATTTCCTTCTGTTATTGATTCCTAATTTTATTACATTATGATTGGAGAACACACTTTGCATGACTTCAGTCCTTTTAGGTTTATTGAGGTGTTTTTTTTGGCCTAACATATAGTCTATCCTTGAGAACCTTCCATATGCTCTTGAGAAGAATATGGATTCTGATATTGTTGTGTGGACCATTTTTTCAAGATCTGTTAGGTTTAGTTTAGTTGATTTATAGTGTTGTTGAAGTTGTCTACTTCCTCGTTATCTTCTGTTAGTTGTTCTATCCATTATTGAAAGTGAGGTATTGAAATCTCCAACTAGGCCTGCGTGTGGCAGCTCACGCCTATAATCCCAGCACTTTGGGAGGCCAAGGTGGGCGGATCACCTGATGTCAGGAGTTTGAGACCAGCCCAGCCAACATCGTGAAACCCCATCTCTACTAAAATACAAAAATTAGCCCGGTGTGGTGGCAGGCATCTGTAATCCCAGCTACCTGAGAGGTTAAGGCAGGAGAACGGCTTGAGCCTGGGAGGCAGAGGTTGCAGTGAGCCAAGATGGCACCACTGCACTCCAGCCTGGGAGATTTAGCAAGACTCTGTCTCAAAAAAAAAAAAAAAAAAAGGAAGGAAGAAATCTCCAATTAATTTGAATTATCTATTTCTCCCTTCAATTTTGTCAGTTTTTTTTTTTTGTTTTTTTTTTTTTTTAGACAGAGTCTCGCTCTGTCGCCCAGGCTGGAGTGTAGTGGCACCACCTTGGCTCACTTCAACCTCTGCCTCCCGGGTTCAAGTGATTCTCCTGCCTCAGCCTCCTGAGTAGCTGGGATAACAGACAGGTGCCACCAAGCCTGGCTAATTTTTTATATTTTTAGTAGAGACCGGGTTTCACTGTGTTAGCCAGGAGGGTCTCGATCTCCTGACCTCGTGATCTGCCCGCCTCAGCCTCCCAAAGTGCTGAGATTACAGGCATGAGCCACCGTGCCCAGCCAGTGCATATGTGTTTCTAGTTATTATATCTTCCTTATGGATCACCCTCTTATCATTATAACACATCCTTCTTTGTCTCTAACAATAATTTTTGTCTTAATATCTATATTTTCTAATATTAGTAGAGGAACTCCACCTCTCTTTGAGTTGCTGTTTGAATGTTATATCTTTTCCTGTCATTTTACTTTGTTTTTTGGACGGAGTCTCGCTCTGTCGCCCGGGCTGGAGTGCAGTGGTGCAATCTTGGCTCCCTGCAAGCTCTGCCTCCCAGGTTCACGCCATTCTCCTGCCTCAGCCTCCCGAGTAGCTGGGACTACAGGTGCCCGCCACCACGCCCAGCTAATTTTTGTATTTTTAGTAGAGACGGGGTTTCACCGTGTTAGCCAGGATAGTCTCGATCTCCTGACCTCATGATCCGCCCGCCTCGGCCTCCCAAATTGCTGGTATTACAGGCATGAGCCACCGCGCCCGGCCTCCTGTCATTTTACTTTTAAGATATTGTGTCTGAATCTAAACTGTGTCTCTAGTAGCCATCATGTTTTATACCTAGCAGATATAGTTGGATTATGTTTTTTAAATCTATTCTGCCAATCTTTTTCTTTTAATTAGTGTTTAATATATTAATATTTACTATAATTACCAGTGGTGGGATTGAGGTCTGCCATTGTGCTATTTGTTTTCTCTCTGTCTTGCCTGTTTTGTTCCTCCTCTATTCCTCCATATTGCTTCTTTTGTGTTAAATATATATTCTCTAATGTGCCATTTAATTCTTTTTTTTTTTTTTTTTTTGAGACAGAGTCTCGCTCTGTTGCCCAGGCTGGAGTGCAGTGACACAATCTTGGCTCACTGCAAGCTCCACCTCCCAGGTTCATGCAATTCTTCTGCTTCAGCCTCCCGAGTAGCTGGGACTACAGGTGGGTGCCACCACCCCTGGCTAATTTTTTTTTGTATTTTTAGTAGAGACGGGTTTTCTCCATATTGGTTAGGCTGGTCTCGAACTCCTGACCTCGTGATCCACCTGCCTTGGCCTCCCAAAGTGCTGGGATTACAGGCGTGAGCCACCACGGCCAGCCTCCATTTAATTCTTTTGTCATTTCTTTTGCTATATATATTTTCAAATTTATGTTTTATTGAGGTAAAATTTACATAACATAAATTTTGCCCAGGCGTGGTGGGTCACGCCTGTAATCCCAGCACTTTGGGAGGCCAAGGTGGGCTGATCACCTGAGGTCAGGAGTTCAAGACCAGCCTGGCCAACATGGTGAAACCCCGTCCCTCCTAAAAAATACAAAAAAAATTAGCCAGGCGTGGTGGCGAGCGCCTGTAACCCCAGCTACTTGGGAGATTGAGGCAGGGGGAATTGCTTAAACCCAGGAGGTGGAGGCTGTAGTGAGCTGAGATTGTGCCACTGCACCGTGGCCTGGGCGACAGAGCGAGACTCCATCTCAAAACCAAACAAACAAACAAAAATTTACCACTATAACCGTTTTAAGTGTACAATTTAGTGGCATTAAGTACATCCACAATGTTATGTAATCATCACCACTATTTCCAGAACTTTTTTGTCATCCCAAATTCTGTGCCCATTAAGCAATAAGTCCCTCTCCCTCCCTTCCCTCTAGGCCTGGTAACCTCTATTCTAGTTTCTGTCTCTATAAACTTGCCTATTCCAGATGTGTCATATAAGTGGAATCATATAATATTGGAACTTTAATGTCTGGCTTATTTCACTTAGTAGAATGTTTTCAAATTCTCCCATATTGTAGCATGCCTCAGAACTTCATTCCTTCTTATGGCTGAAGCATATTCCATTTATGTGTTTAGACCACATTTTGTTTATTCTTTTATCTGTTGATGGATACTTGGCTTGTTTCCACATTTGGCTATTGTAAATAATGCGTTATGAACATCGGTGAGCAAGTATCTGTGTGATTCCTCCTTTTCAGTTCTTTTTTTGTTTCTTTGTTTTTTGAGACGGAGTCTTGCTCTGTAGCCCAGGCTGGAGTGCAGTGGCCCCATCTCGGCTCACTGCAAGCTCCGCCTCCCAGGTTCACGCCATTCTCCTGCCTCAGCCTCCCATGTAGCTGGGACTACAGGTGCCCGCCACCACGTCCGGCTAATTTTTTGTATTTTTTAGTAGAGACGGGGTTTCACGTGTTAGCCAGGATGGTCTCGATCTCCTGACCTCGTGATCCGCTCGCCTCGCAAAGTGCTGGGATTACAGGCATGAGCCACTGTGCCCGGCCAAGGGTTTTAATTTCTTACTACCCTTACCAGCATTTGTTATTTTGCTTCTTTTGAAAAAATTATAGCCATCCCAATGGGTGTGACATGGTATTTCATTGTGGTTTTATTTTGCATCTCCCTAGTGACTGATGATGTTGAACATTTTTTGTGTGTGCTTGTTGACCATTTATCTGTCTTCTTTGGGGAAAGGTCCATTCAAGTACTTTGTTTATTTGTAAATTAGGTTGTTTAGGGAGTTTTTGTTTCGGAGTTACAGCAATTCTAATATGCTGCATATTAATATCCTATCAGATATAGGATTTGCAAATATCTCATTTTGTGAGTTGCCATTCTACTCTTTTTTTTTTTTTCAGGCTTAATTCACTTTACTTCTCTTGTATAAAAACCCTATGTTGTAGCCACAGCAGGAGCCTGGGTCCACTGCACGGAGACTCTGGTGTGGGTCTTGACGAGGTGGTCAGTGAATTCCTGATAGGGAGACTTGGTGAATACAGTCTCCTTCCAGAGGTTGGGGGTCAGGTAGCTGTAGGTCTTAGAGATGGCATCAAAGGTGGCCTTGGCGAAGTTGCCCAGGGTGGCAGTGCAGCCCCGGGCTGAGGTGTAGCAGTCATCGATACCAGCCATCATGAGCAGCTTCTTGGGCACAGGTGCGGAGACGATGCCAGTGCCCCCGTGTGCAGGGATGAGGCGCGCCGGCACAGAGCCGCAGCGGCCTGTCACCTTGCAAGGGACGGTGTGGGGCTTGCCGATCTTGTTCCCCCAGTAGCCTCTGTGCACAGGGACAATGGAGAGCTTGGCCAGGATGATGGCCCCACGGATGGCGGTGGCCACCTCCTTGGAGCACTTAACACCCAGACCGACGTGGCCATTGTAGTCTCCGATAGCAAAGAACGCCTTGAACCTGGTGCGCTGGCCGGCACGGGTCTGCTTCTGCACCAGCATAATCTTCAAAACCTCATCCTTGAGAGAGGCCCCCAGGAAAACGTCAATGATCTCAGATTCCTTAATGGGCAGGGAAAAGAGATAGATCTCCTCCAGGGACTTGATCTTCATCTCCTTGACCAAGCGGCCCAGCTTGGTGACAGGCATCCACTCCTTATCCTCAGCCTTGCCTCCGCGAGCTCCGCAGCCTTGGCCCTGGCCCCGTCCACGGCCGCGACCCCGGCCCCGGATGCCACTGCCGAAACCTCCGCGGAAGGCACCACGGTTCCCCATCCCAGGGCCACCAGGGCCTCCGGCACCCCCCCCCCCCCCCCCTGCACCGGCGTCATCCGCCATTTGGTGTTTTCTCAGACAAGAAGCGCCATTCTACTCTTTTTAAAAATTCTTTTTATTGTTTTTTAAATTTTTTTATTATACTTTAAGTTCCAGGGTACATGTGCACAACGTGCAGGTTTGATACATAGGTATACATGTGCCATGTTGGTGTGCTGCACCCATCAACTCGTCATTTACATTAGGTATTTCTCCTAATGCTATCTATCCCCCTCCAGCCCCCCAACCCCCAACAGGCCCCAGTGTGTGATGTTCCTCGCCTTGTGTTCAAGTGATCTCATTGTTCAATTCCCACCTATGAGTGAGAACATGTGGTGTTTGGTTTTCTGTCCTTGTGATAGTTTGCTGAGAATGATGGTTTCCAGCTTCATTCATGTCCCTGTAAAGGAAATGAACTCATCCTCTTTTATGGCTGCATAGTATTCCATGGTGTATATGTGCCACATTTTCTTAATCCAGTCTATCATTGATGGATATTTGGGTTGGTTCCAAGTCTTTGCTATTGTGAATAGTACCACAATAAACATACGTGTGCATGTGTCTTTATAGTAACATGATTTATAATCCTTTGGGTATATACCCAGTAATGGGATCACTGGGTCAAATGGTATTTCTAGTTCTAGATCCTTGAGGAATCACCACACTGTCTTCCACAATGGTTGAACTAGTTTACACTCCCACCAACAGTGTAAAAGTGTTTCTATTTCTCCACATCCTCTCCAGCACCTGTTGTGTCCTGACTTTTTAATGATCACCATTCTAACTGGTGTGAGATGGTATCTCATTGTGGTTTTGATTTGCATTTCTCTGATGGCCAGTGATGGTGAGCATTTTTTCATGTGTCTGTTGGCTGCATAAATGTCTTCTTTTGAGAAGTGTCTGTTGATATCCTTTGCCCACTTTTTAATGGGGTTATTTGTTTTTTTCTTGTAAATTTGTTTGAGTTCTTTGTAGATTCTGGATATTAGCCCTTTGTCATATGGGTAGATTGCAAAAATTTTCTCCCATTCTGTAGGTTGCCTGTTCACACTGATGGTAGTTTCTTTTGCCATGCAGAAGCTCTTTAGTTTAATTAGATCCCATCTGTCTAGTTTGGCTTTTGTTGCCATTGCTTTTGGTGTTTTAGTCATGAAGTCCTTGCCCATGCCTATGTCCTGAATGGTACTGCCTAGGTGTTCTTCTAGGGTTTTTATGGTTTTAGGTCTAACATTTAAGTCTTTAATCCATCTTGAATTAATTTTTGTGTAAGGTGTAAGGAACGGATCCAGTTTCAGCTTTCTACATATGGCTAGCCAGTTTTCCCAGCACCATTTATTAAATAGGGAATCCTTTCCCCAATGCTTGTTTTTCTCAGGTTTGTCAAAGATCAGATAGTTGTAGATATGCGGCGTTATTTCTGAGGGCTCTGTTCTGTTCCATTGGTCTATATATCTGTTTTGGTACCAGTACCATGCTGTTTTGGTTACTGTAGCCTTGTAGTATAGTTTGAAGTCAGGTAGCGTGATGCCTCCAGCTTTGTTCTTTTTAATTAGGATTGTCTTGGCAATGCAGGCTCTTTTCTGGTTCCATATGAACTTTAAAGTAGTTTTTTCCAATTCTGTAAAGAAAGTCATTGGTAGCTTGATGGGGATGGCATTGAATCTATAAATTACTTTGGGCAATATGGCCATTTTCATGATATTGATTCTTCCTATCCATGAGCATGGAATATTCTTCCATTTGTTTGTGTCCTCTTTTATTTCGTTGAGCAGTGGTTTGTAGTTCTCCTTGAAGAGGTCCTTCACATCCCTTGTAAGTTGGATTCCTAGGTATTTTATTCTCTTTGTAGCAGTTGTGAATGGGAGTTCACTTATGATTTGACTCTCTGTTTGTCTGTTAATGATGTATAGGAATGCTTGTGATTTTTGCACATCGATTTGGTATCCAGAGACTTTGCTGAAGTTGCTTATCAGCTTAAGGAGATTTTGGGCTGAGATGATGGGGTTTTCTAAATATACAATCATGTCATCTGCAAACAGGGACAATTTGACTTCCTCATTTCCTAATTGAATACCCTTTATTTCTTTCTCTTGCCTGATTGCCCTGGCCAGAACTTCCAACACTATGTTGAATAGGAGTGGTAAGACAGGGCATCCTTGTCTTGTGCCGGTTTTCAAAGGGAATGCTTCCAGTTTTTGCCCATTCAGTATGATATTGGTTGTGGGTTTGTCATAAATAGCTGTTACTATTTTGAGATACATTCCATCAATACCTAGTTTATTGAGAGTTTTTAGCATGAAGGGCTGTTGAATTTTGTTGAAGGTCTTTTCTGCATCTATTGAGTTAATCATGTGGTTTTTGTCATTGGTTCTATTTATCTGATGGATTACGTTTATTGATTTGCGTATGTTGAACCAGCCTTGCATCCCAGGGATGAAGCTATCCTGATTGTGGTGGATAAGCTTTTTGATGTGCTGCTGGATTCGGGTATTTTATTGACGATTTTCGCATCGATGTTCATCAGGGATATTGGTCTAAAATTCTATTTTTTTGTTGTTGTGTCTCTGCCAGGCTTTGGTATCAGGATGATGTTGGCCTCATAAAATGAGTTAGGGAGGATTCCCTCTTTTTCTATTGATTGGAATAGTTTCAGAAAGAATGGTACCAGCTCCTCTTTGTACCTCTGGTAGAATTCGGCTGTGAATCTGTCTGGTCCTGGACTTTTTTCGGTTAATAGACTATTAATTATTGCCTCAATTTCAGAGCCTGTTATTGGTCTATTCAGAGATTCAACTTCTTCCTGGTTTAGTCTTGGGAGGGTTTATGTGTCCAGACGGAGTCTCCCTTGTTGCCCAGGCTGGAGTGTAGTGGCATGATCTCGGCTCACTGCAACCTCTGCCTCCCGGGTTCAAGCAATTCTCCTGCCTCAGCTTCCCGTGTAGCTGGGATTACAAGGCATGTGCCACCACACCCAGCTAATTTTTGTATTTTTAGTAGAGACAGGGTTTCACCATGTTGGTCAGGCTGGTCTCAAACTCCTGACCTCGTGATCCACCCGCCTCGGCCTCCCAAAGTGCTAGGATTACAGGCGTGAGCCACTGCACCAGGCCTTATTCTACTCTTTAAAAAAAAATCTTTTTAGAGACAGGGTCTCATTCTGTTGCCCAGGGTGGAGTGCAGTGGTGCAATCTTGGCTCACTGCAACCTCTGCCTCCCAGTTTCAAGCCAATTCTCCTGCCTCAGCCTCCTGAGTAGCTGGAATTACAGGCGCGTTGCCACCACACCTGGCTAATTTTTGTATTTTTGGTAGAGACAGGGTTTCACCATGTTGGCCAGGCTGGTCTCGGACTCCTGACCTCAGGCGATCCACCCACCTCAGCCTCCCAAAGTGCTGGGATTACAGGCGTGAGCCACTGTGCCTGGCCAAGTTTCGTAGTTTTAGCTCTTACGTTTAGGTTTTTTGATCCATTTTTGAGTACATTTTTGTATATAGCATAAGGTTAGGATCCAACATCATTCTTTTGTGTATGGATATCCAGTTTTCCTAGCACCATTTGTTGAACAGACTGTCCTACCCCCCATTAAATGGTCTTGGCAACTTTGCCAAAAATCATTTAACCAAATATGCGAGGGCTTATTTCTAGATTCTCTAGTCTACTCCATTGGTCTATATGTCACTCCTTATGCCAATACCACATTGTTTTAATTACTGTAGCTTTGTAGTAAGTTTTGAAGTGAAGACATGTGAGTCCTGCAACTTTATCTTTCTTTTTTACAAACGATTTTGACTATTTGTGGTCTCTTGCAATTCCATATGAGTTTGAGGATCAGCTTTTCTATTTCTGAAAAAGTAAAAATGGCTGTTGGAATTATTTTTTATTTTTTTGGAGATGGAGTTTTGCTCTTGTCCCCCAGGCTGGAGTGCAGTGGCGCGATCTCAGCTCACTGTAACCTCTGCCTCCTGGGTTCAAGCAATTCTCCCGCCTCAGCCTCCTGAGTAGCTGGAATTACAGGTGCCTGCCACCATGCCCAGCTAATTTTTGTATTTTTAGTAGAGATGGGGTTGCGCCATGTTGGCCAGGCTGGTCTCCAACTCCTGACCTCAGGTGATCTGCCTGCCTCGGCCTCCTAAAGTACTAGGATCACAGGCATGAGCCACCACATCCGGCCCAGGCTATTGGAATTTTTACAGAGACTGAGGTGAATCTGTAGATCATTTTGGGTAGTAGTGACATCTTAACAATGTTTCGTCCCCCATCCATGAATATGAAGTATCTTTCCATTTATTTCTCTCTTTAATTGTTTTCCGCAATGCTTTGTAGTTTTCAGCATCTAAGTCTTTCACCTCCTTGGTTAGATTTATTCCTAAGTACTTAATTATCTTAGATGCTATCGCATGCAGATGGAGTTGTTTTCTTAATTTTCTTTTCTTTCCTGGATTATTTTTTATCTTAGTACCTGCCACTACCTAACATTTTAAATATATTTATTTGTCTCTTTCTGTCTCATTTACTGAATAAATCTTCCATAAGGTCTAAAGATTTTTATTTGCTTATTGCCTTAGTCTAGGATCTGAAAACAGTGTCAGGCACATGGTCTAGTATGTATTTGTTGAGTGCACTAATGATGAAGGAACAATTTACTAATTTAGCATTCTCTTTATTTATGATTTTTTTCTTTTGCCATTATAAAAAAATGCGTCAGGGATTGCTGGGTCAATGTCCATTTGCCTTCTTAATTGTGTTTGCAGTTGAGAGGCTGCTTCCCAAGGTGATTGTTGTAATGATTTTCATTTCCGCCATCAGCAAATGAGGGTCCCTGGGGCCCTCACACCTCTGGGAGCACTAGGTGCTAGGTTGTCTTCTGTGTCTGACACCTGGGGGTAGATCCCTGTGTGAGCAGTGCTTTAGCTGACACTTCCCTGATGGCTAGTGAATTAGAACTTCTTCAAATGTTTGTTAACCATTTCATATTGCTCTTCTATGAATTGCTTATTTATAACCTTTGCTCATTTTTCTATTTCATTCCCTTCTTTCCTTCCTTCCTTCCTTTCTTCCTTCCTTCCTCCTTCCCTTCCTCCCTCCCTCCTTCCTCCCCTTCCTCCCTCCCTCCCTCCTTCCCTCCTTCCTCCCCTTCCTCCCTCCCTCCCTTACTCCCTTCTTTCCTTCCTTCCTTCTCCTCTCTTTCTTTCTTTTTGACAGGGTCTTGTTCTGTCACCCAGGCTGGAGTGCAGTGGCACGATCATGGCTCACTGCACCTCAACCACCCAGGCTCTAGCAATCCTCCCATCTCAGACCCCCAAATAGCTGGGGACTAAGGGTATGTGCCATCGCGCCTGGCTAATTTTTGTATTTTTTGTAGAGACAGAGTTTCGCCATGTTGTCTAGGCTAGAACTAGTCTCAAACTCCTGGACTCAAGCGATCTGCCCACCTCAGCCTTCCAGAGTGCTAGGATTACAGGCGTGAGCCATTGCGCCTGGCCACACTTTTCTTTTTTGTTCTTTTCTTGGCTGTTCTTCAGCATTTATTCTTCCATATACACTTTAAGATAGTTTTAGTCATTGAAAAGATCTGGGGTTCTACCTGGTATTGCTTTCTTTTGTCCAGATATTGCTCCATATCATTCCATGTTTTCTTCCTATAGGTTCTGTGCCTTCCTTAGTGATTTTCTTAAGCTTTTTATATTTCTTTGTCGCTCTTCTGGATGGGATAGATTTCCCATTGCCTTTGCCAGAAGCTCATTATTGGAATGGAAAGAAAGATTGATCATTGAGCATACTTCTTCTCTTCTCAATTTACCAGATTATTTTATTAAGGCCAGCAGTTTTTACTTGAGTCTCTTAGATCGTTCAGGTGTTCAAGCATATCATCATCAAGAAGAAGAGCTTGGCCAGGTGCCGTGGCTCACACATATAATCCCAGCAGTTTGGGCAGCGGATACAGGAGGATCACTTGAGCCTAGGAGTTTGAGACCAATCTGGGCAACATAGTAAGACCCTCATCTCTATAAAAAAATGTAAAAATAAAAAAAGAAGGGGAAGCTCTGTAATCCTTTTTTACCAATGTTTACGCCAATTATTTCACTTTTATTATGTGCACAAGTGGGTGGCTACCTTCTCCTCTGTACCATCTGTTATTGGGGGCTGGGGGCTCCCGCCTTTCCCTGTGCTGTGGAATAAGTGCATTGGGTCAGACCTGTCTGTTCTCTGCAGGTAAGCAGAGCCCTGCTCTCCTCCTCCTCCCCACTGCCTTTGCTCATGGCCTCGGCCGGGCCCTGCTGGAAACACCAGGTGCTCGCTCCCAGCAGAGGTTTGAACCTCTGTCCCTGCAAGCTTGGGGGTTGGGGTCCTGGCAGATGAGGTACCAGGAGGCCCTTTGGGGGAGGCCCAGGCTCTTTGACTGATGGTCTGCGGGTGTGAGCCCCCAAGTTCTAGGCCTGGGGGCCGAAAGGAAGAAGCTTCGAGGAAGAGTCAAGCAGGCCACCTTGGGCATACGTGCTGTCACCCCGGGATGCCCGCCCAGCGCGCCAAGCCCCCCACGCTCACCTGTAAGTGCAGGTGGTGCTGGAGGCCAGGCCGGGGCCCTGCAGGGGCAGGCACACAGTGGGGCTCCGTCGCCGCAGCGCCCCGGCGGCCTCCTCCTGGCCGCTGGCCCTCCCCTAAGGCTTCCTCATCCTAAACAGCAAGTGAAGCCAAACGAAAACCCTGTCTCTCCCGCCGTTCCCTCCCTCCTGGCCTCCGTCCCCCGGGCTCGCCTGCCCCGCCGCCCGGCGGACCGGTCCCTTCCTGCTTTCCCTGGCGGGTGCTTTCCGCTGCTCTGTTACCCGGAGCCAGGACGCGCATATATTCCCAGAATCCGCGCTCAGTGCGTTCGGTCCCCCGGGACACCTGTTCTCTGCACAGGCGCGTCTGGGCGCAGCGGGGGCAGACACGCGTTCCCGGGCAGCGACTCCGGAAGGCCCGAGGGAGTAAATCTGGCCCTCCCGGTTCAGCACAAAGCTCCCCTGGCCGCCTTTCAAAACCGACCGCCTCCCAACTCTCCGCGGACACGAGTGGCGGCTGCCTCCCCTCCCCTCCCCTAGGGCCGCGCACGCCTCCCGCAGGGTCTCAGTGCCTCCTGGGCGGGGGATAATTCCTGTCCCCACCGGTGTCCTGTACTCGCGGGGTCCCGGGTGTAAGTTCTGGGTCCCGGGCTGGCTCCCTGGTGAGCAAAGCCGCATCGCTCGAATTCCAGAAACCCTTCTCGCCGAGCGCCTGCCTGGCTGCTGAAAGCCTGGAGACTGCGCTCTCGGAGGTGGATTTCGGAACTCAGGAGAGAAGAATGAGACGCTCCCTAGTACCCCTAGTCCCCCAGGGGTGGGAGGGGACTGTATCTCAAAATAAGATTCTGCAACTCGACTTTTATAGGGGAAACCAGGCACGCATTTCAAAATCTTCTCATCCGTCCCCACCTCCTTGCGCCGCTTTTCCGCGCCTCCTGTGCCACGGAAGCTGCCCTCTGCTCCTGCTGTTTCCAGCCCGGCAGCCCCCAGACAGGATCTAGCTTGGCCCAGCCGGGCCCTGCTTCCTCTGCCTGGGGTCCTCAGGCCATGCAAGTGAGGAAACCCAGGCTCAGAGGGGCCACGTAACTCTTCCCAAATCACCAGCAAGCCTGGTGCAGCCACGGTGGCGCGCATTCGCCCACTCGGAGACCGAGAGGCAGGTTTTCTGCCTGCACAGCCTCCCGCCCAAGGCCAGACCTGCTGGAGGCCCAGGCCCTGGAGATGGCTGTCTTCAGGGAGACTCTTTATGTCACGCTCATTCACTCCCTAGCGCCTCTTTCTGGCAACGGATGTGTCCAGCGTTCAGGTCTCTTAACTTACGGTCTCCGTTTTTCCAAGTTTGGAAATCAGCTCAGAGCAGAGCGGGCAAAGAGGGGCTTTCACTGGTGCTCAGAGCTCACCTGCGAAGGAGGGACCACAGCCTCCGGGATGCAGCGCCCTGGCTGCCTACTGCTGGCTGGCTGGCCCCTCCCCTGCAGATTCCTCCTCACCCAGCCCCGCACAGGCTGAGGGCTTCACTAACCAGAACCATAGTGTGACAAATGCACACTGGGGGGTTACGGAGGAAGAGCAGAGTTGGGGTCAGAAGGCATTTACCCTGAGAAAAAAGGGCACATGGCACACAACCCATGAAGGGAAGGGAGAGGAACAGCATGTGCAAAAGCTCAGAGTTCAGAGTGGTGGCCTGGAGCTTAGCTGGAGTCAAAGGTGATGGTGGGAGGTGAGGGTCTGGTGCAGGTGGTTCTCCCAAGCTGGGCTGAGCTGTATGACTTGACCCTGAGGGGCATGCGGGCCAGGCTGTGTTTTGTGGGGAGGCAGGAGCCAGGACACAGATTGGGGGAAAGGGGTAAAGGAGCCTGGTCCCTGCGGCCGCCTGCTTACCTAGGACCTCAGGACTTGGGGAATAAGTGGCCATCCTTTGGAATGCTCTCAAGGGATCTCAGATAAGGGGAGGCAGAAGAGTGTTCTGGAGAAAGCAGGGCCCATCCTTCTCCACCCCACCACCCTCTCCCCATGTCCCTGGAGCTGGCTCCTCTCCCACAAGCCAGGCCTGGCCAGCCCCTGGTATCTCACCCTGCCAAAGAGCTATGTAGTGGCAGTTCCACACCCTGTGCCCCTCCCCCACCCCACCCACAGTGAGGACCCCCTGGTGTTGGGGACACTCCGGGTCTGTGGGATTTCTCCAGAAGCAGACTCAGACAGGGATTGGCACCCACACTGAAAAGTTAACATAGTCTAAATATGTGTGTCCCTCCCAAGTTCACATGTGATGGTGGTATTAGGGGGTAGGGCCTTTGGGAGGTGATTAGGTCATGAGAGCACAGCCCTTAGGAATGGCAATAGTACCTTTATAAAAATGGCCCAAGAGAGATCCCTCATCCCTCCCACCATGTGAGGACACAGTGAGAAGCCCCATCTATGGACCAGGAAGCAGCCCTCCCCAGACACTGCTGGGGCCTTGATCTTGGACTCCACAGCCTCCAGAACAATGAGAATAAATTTCTGTTGTTTGTAAGTTGTGCAGTCTGTGGTTTTTGTCATAGCAATGCCAGAAGGTGGTGGATGAGTAAGATGGGGATGGAGAGGTAGCTATGGTAGGCAACTGGAGTATAACCTCCAGGGGAATTTTGGGAAAAATGTAAAACATGCAGAGCTAGGAGGAAGAGAGCTGGGGTATTTATACACCAACTCCTTCCAGCCTGTGGTTGAGAACTCTCCGAGGTGTCAAATCCCCACCTCCAGTCCTGAGCAGAACCAGAGGGACCTTCCCTTCCCAGGATTTAGCCTCTAGGTGATGAGATGTCGCTGCTGGTGGGTGACAGGCAGGACAGCTGAGGGAAGGGCCCCAGGAATCTGGCCACCAGCCAAGTCTGCTGTAGTGCATTTGTGCTCTGAAGCCCAATGCAGTCAATAGATGACTAATAACAGCCAAATGAGAGATTTGCCCTTTTTGGCCCAAAAATGTGATTGAGCTCTTTATTTTTCAGCGTTTTCCAGAAAGACAGAACCAGCAGGATATAAGAAAGGGGGTTTATTAGGGGAGCTGGCTCACAGGCTCACAGAGGTGAGGTCCTCTGACAGGTGGTCTGCAAGCTGGAGACCAGAGCATGGCTCAGTCCAACTTCCAGAGCCTCAGAACTAGGGAAGCCAGCCAGGTTCAGGGAAGCCAGCTCAGGCCCAAGAGTTCCCAAAAGGCCGCTAGTGCGAGTCCCAGAGTTCAAAAGCAGAAGAGCCAATGTACAAAAGCAGGAGGAGAAAAAGCACTCCTCTCCAAAAGGTAGAGAGGAACAGCAGAGAGAGAGTGAATCCCCCTTCTTCTGCCCATTTGTTCCAGCTGGGCCCCCAGCCGATGGGATGGTGTTCTGCCCACACTAAGGACCGGTCTTCCTCTCTCAGGCCACTGACTCACAAGTCCTCCCAGACACACCGAGATACAATGCTTCACCAGCCATCTAGGCATCCCTCAATCCAGCTCAGTTGACCCCTAAAATTAACCATCATAAGCTCCCTAGAGGGACAGGTTGGGGGAGGAGGACACTTCAAGGTCTAGGTCTATGCAGAAGTTTCCCAGACCATTTGAGAACACAACAGTTGAAAACCAAACACGAAAATCAGGGCTCTACTCCAGCCTGAGAAACAGAGCGAGGCTCTGTCTCTTAAAAAAAAAAAAAGAAAGAAAGAAAGAAAGAGAGAGAGAGAGAGAAAAAGAAAAACCAGGGCCAGAAGCGGGGGCTCACACCTGTAATCTTAGCATTTTGGGAGGATCACTTGAGGTCAGGAGTTCAAGACCAGCCTGGCCAACATGGCAAAACCCCATCTCTAATAAAAATACAAAAATTAGCCAGGTGTGGTGGTGGGTGCCTGTAATTACAGCTACTCAGGAGGCTGAGGCACGAGAATCTCTTGAACTCAGGAGATGGAGGTTGCAGTGAGCTGAGATCTCACCCCACTGCACTCCAGCCTGGGTGACAGAACGAGACTCTGTTTCAAAAAAAAAGAGGGCCAGGCGCGGTGGCTCACGCCTGTAATCCCAGCCCTTTGGGAGGCCGAGGTGGGCAGATCACGAGATCAGGAGATCGAGACCATCCTGGCTAATGCGGTGAAACCCCGTCTCTACTAAAAATACAAAAAATTACCTGGACATGGTGGCGGGCGCCTGTAGTCCCAGCTACTGGGGAGGCTGAGGTAGGAGAATGGCGTGAACCCGGGAGGCGGAGCTTGCAGGGAGCCGAGATGGTGCCACTGCACTCCAGCCTGGGTGACAGAGCAAGACTCCGGCTCAAAAACAACAACAACAACAACAACAACTTGTGGTTTAAATATATTGTATCTCTACCGGTATTTTGTCCATTTAGTCTATCAGTTACCGAGAGAGATGTTTTAAAATTTCCCACAGTAGTTGTGGATTTGCTGCTACTTTTTTAGTTCTATCAGATTTTGTTTTCTATGTTTCAGCGCTGTGTTATTAGGTGTCTACAGATTTATGATTGTTAGATCTTCCTATTCAATTGACCCTTTTATAATTGTGAAATGGTTTTATCGTCACTGCAACCTCCGCCTCCCGGGTTCAAGTGATTCTCCTGCCTCAGCCGCCCGAGTAGCTGGGACTACAGGTGCCCGCCACCACACCCAGCTAATGTTTTGTATTTTTAGTAGAGACGGGGTTTCAACACGTTGGCCAGGATGGTCTCAATCTCTTGACCTCATGATCTGCCTGCCACGGCCTCCCAAAGTGTTGGGATTAGAGGCACAAGCCACCACGCCCGGCCAATATTACTAAATATCAAGTCAATGTTCACTTTTCCAATTGTTTTGTAAACGTTTGTTTGAATTGGAACCCAGTTTTGCCACTTTGTGACTGGTTGATAAGTCAGGTCTTCTTAATCCACACTTTTCTTATTCGTCCTTTCTTCCCCTCTAGCAAAGGAAACCAGGCTGTTCCCCTGTAGCTCACCAGCCTGGATTTTGCCAGCTGTGCCCCCTGCTACTGTTTAACATGCATCTGTGCCTCTGCATTCCCTGTAAGCTGGTAGTTTGTATTGAGGAGTTGGACTCCATTTCTTAACTTCTGGCTACTGACAGCTTCCTTTTTTTTTTTTTTTTTTTTTGAGACGGAGTCTCGCTCTGTCTGTCGCCCAGGCTGGAGTGCAGTGGCTCCATCTCGGCTCACTGCAAGCTCCGCCTCCCGGGTTCACGCCATTCTTCTGCCTCAGCCTCCTGAGTAGCTGGGACTACAAGCACCCACCACCACGCCTGGCTAATTTTTTTGTATTTTTAGTAGAGATGGGGTTTCACCGTGTTAGCCAAGATGGTCTTGATCTCCTCACCTTGTGATCCGCCCGCCTCGGCCTCCCAAAGTGCTGGGATTACAGGTGTGAGCCACCACACCCGGCCTAAAAATCCAAGTTTTAGGCACCAGCTACTAGTGCAGTAGCCACGTGTGGTTAGAGCCTCCAGTTCTTTACAGTCTCATTGTGTGGCCCAGGCTGGAGTGCAGTGGCACAGTCATACATAGTTCACTGCAGCCTTGAACTGCCTGGCTCAAGGGATCCCCCGACTCAGCCTCCAGAGTAGCTGGGACTACAGCTGCACACCACCACATCCCACTAATTTTATTATTTTCTGTAGAGATGAGGTCTCACAGCCAGGTATGGTGGCTCATGCCTGTAATCCTAGCACTTTGGGAGGCCAAGGCAGTTGGATCATTTGAGGTCAGGAGTTGATTGTGCCACTGCACTCCAGCCTGGGTGACAGAGTGAGATCCTGTCTCAAAAAAAAAAAAAAGAAAAAAAAAAGATTAAAAATGAGATGAGGTCTCGGGGTCTCACTATGTCTCCCAGGCTTGTCTCAAGCTCCTAGACTCAAGCGATCCTCCCACCTCGGCCTCCCTAAGTACTGAGATTACAGGCATGAGCCACTGTGCCTGGCCCGTGTGTGAGAAATTGAGTAGGGGTGGGAAGGTTTATTTGGTTTCTAGCTTGCTGGAGTGTCACATTCCAAGGACCTTACCTGAAAGGCTGAGTGTTTTTACAGGGTCCCTTCTCCTTGATGCCTGGACTCCAATTCCTTTCTCCATAACACCATCAGACAGCTAAAGCTTTAATTTCATGGGCTTTCAGCTGCCATTTTCTGCTTGACTTTGTAACCTCCTACCCAAAACAGCTTAGAGATTGGCAAATATCTTAATGGGAAAAGAGGCACAGAAGATTGAATGGTAGCTTCCAATGCCAATATTTGCCTCCCCAGGCCTGTGAGAATCCCAGAAGCTCTGAGCTGCCACTTTCTGCTTGGTCTCTAAGTACCTGCCAGGCTCATCTCAATGTGATTCCCTTTTCTCAGGTTCTCAGTCCCTCAAGTCCTGGCTGCCTTGGTTGCTCTCCAATGCCTTCAAACAGCTGTTATGTTGTTGCTGTTGTTTTGAGACAGAGTCTTGCTCTGTCGCCCAGGCTGGAATGCAATGGCTCGATCTCGGCTCAATGCAAGCTCCACCTCCTGGGTTCACACCGTTTTCCCGCCTCAGCCTCCCAAGTACCTGGGAGTACAGGCACCTGCCACCACGCCTGGCTAATTTTTTGTATTTTTAGTAGAGACGGGGTTCCACCATGTTGGTCATGCTGGTCTTGAACTCCTGACCTCGTGATCCACCCGCCTCAGCCTCCCAAAGTGCTGGGATTACAGGCGTGAGCCACCGTGCCCGGCCTGTTGTTGTTTTTAAACTAGTTTTTAGAGTTGCTTTTGGTGTCTGATACTTGTTATTTACCACAGCCACAAGTAGGTGTTTTTGCTTTGTGGGAAGCTTTATTTTTGAGAGCATAGAGGTTCCTGATTACTATAAAGAATTAAATGGGGCCGGGCGCGGTGGCTCACGCCTGTGCTCCGAGCACTTTGGGAGGCCGAGGCAGGCAGATCACCTGAGGTCAGGAGTTCGAGACCAGCCTGACCAACACGGAGAAACCCCGTCTCTACTAAAAATACAAAATTAGCCAGGTGTTGTGGTGCATGCCCGTAATCCCAGCTACTTGGGAAGCTGAGGCAGGAGAATCGCTTGGACCTGGGAGGTGGAGGTTACAGTGAGCCAAGATCACGCCATTGTACTCCAGCCTAGGCAACAAGAAAGAAACTCCGTTTCAAAAAAAAAAAAAAAAGAATTAAATGGCCTAATAAATGATAATGAGTACTTATAGATTTGCCTGGTAGACAGGAAGAATGATCTACTGGATGATTTGATTGATATAAGAAATTATTAAAATTAGGGCCAGGCATGGTGGCTCACACCTGTAATTTCAGCACTTTGTGGGCTAAGGCAGGAGGATCTATTGAGGTCAGGAGTTCAAGACCAGCCTGGGTAACATAGCAAGACCTCATCTCTACAAAAAAACTTTAAAATTAGCCAGGCACAGGCCAGGTGTGGTGGCTCACACCTGTAATCCCAGCACTTTGGGAGGCAGAGGCAGGTGGATCACCTGAGGTCAGGAGTTGGAGACCAGCCTGGCCAACTTGAAAACCCCATCTCTACTAAATATACAAAATTAGCCGGGCGTGGTGGTGCACGCCTGTAATCTCAGCTACTCGGGAGGCTGAGGCAGGAGAATCACTTGAACCTGGGAGGCGGAAGTTGCAGTGAACCAAGATCATGCCATTGCACTCCTGCCTGGACAACAAGAATGAAACTCCATCTCAAAAAAAAAAAAAAAAAAGTACAAAGACTGCATGTGCATGAGTGAAAAAACACAAGGGGAAATGTAGTGATATGAAAGGAATATAAAATCTGACACATGAAACAAATAGTTCTATCTGTGTTGTTTTGGATAAAATGAAAAGGCATTTCGCTTACTAAAAAGGTGATATTTCAATATTCTAAGAAGACTTTGATTAGGAATATAGCAGAAGACTTTTCTGCAACTATCCATCAAAAGATCAGATTCTGGCCAGGCGCGGTGGCTGGCACCTGTAATCCTAGCACTTTGGGAGGCTGAGGCGGGTGGATTGCCTGAGCTCAGGAGTTTGAGACCAGTCTGGGCAACACAGTGAAACCTTGTTTCTACTAAAGATGCAAAAAATTAGCCAGGCGTGGTGGTGGGCACCTGTAGTCCCAGGTACTCAGGAGGCTGAGGCAGGAGAATCGCTTGAACCTGGGAGGCGAAGGTTGCAGTGAGCCAAGATCACGCCACTGCACTCCAGCCTGGGTGACAGAGCAAGACTCTGTCTCAAAAAAAAAAAAAAAAAAAAAAAGATCAGATTTCATCTCCCTGAATATAGAAGGGATGTTATCTTACCAGCCCTGGCAGGCCACTACGCATATGTGCATACGTTACCATGTCTGTGAGGCATTGCAAGGAATACATTTTTTTAGCCACTCAACACCTGTAGATGTCACCGTCTCGGCAGCCAACAGGAAGACCCCATCTCCAGCCGCTGTTTTCCACTATGACCCTCAGCGAGTGTTTTCCACATTTAACCACGTGGGACCCACGGCTCTGGGGATGGCTTTGTGCCATCTTGTGTTTCTTCAGACCCTGCCTGAGTTTCAGGAGAATTTGCGTGACCATGGGAAAGGCTACTGGGCTGTCCAAATGCTACCGTCTCTCAGGCACCTGACCTCGGGCATCTGCTCCCTTCTGCCGCTTCCTGAGGGAACTCTCGGAAACCCCGCAGCAGGCCTCACTCAGGAGAGGCTGAGGGAAGAGATGGGCAGTGCCACCAGAGGCCCCTCTGAGAGGCGTTTCAACAGCTTCACCTGTGCTGACAAAGCAGCCGTGGTCAGCACCGCCGTTAAGGCGGCCATCAGTGGCGGCTGGCATGCAGCGTGTACACGAATTAACACATCAAACAGAAAAACTGCCAAAAGCAGTAAAGCGAATAAGGATGGCTGGGTGCTCCTCACTCCTCCAATGCCAGTGCCCCATCCCCTCTCAGTGCCTTCGTTCACCTCTGACTCCTGTGTCCACAGTGACGTTCCAAAGAAGAGCCCCACAGAGTGGACACACAGAAAGTCCTACTCACGTCGAATGTGTCATCCTCTGCCCTTCCTTCCTAGGCTCACCCTGGCCATGAGATGTGCATGGCTGCTGGAATGGGCATTGCACAACGATTCTCGAGAGCTCAGGGCCGCCGTGAGTGTTCTCTGGGTTTCTGGCACATGGTGGAGGAGGTTTAAAGGAGCCTTCTCTAACTTCACCATCCTTAGAGAAAAGACACCTCATTGGGTGGCTCCTGGCTCCATGGTCAGTGGCTTTGACTGCAGGGGTGGAGGTGTGGGGGGGGTGGACCAACACATTTTTATTTAAAAAAAAATATATGTATATCTCACAAAATAGACTTTTTTCCATAGAAAAAAAAATTTTTTTTTTGAGATGGAGTTTCACTCTTGTTGTCCAGGCTGGAGTGCAGTGGTGCGATCTCAGCTCACCGCAACCTCTGCCTCCCGGGTTCAAGCAATTCTCCTGCCTCAGCCTCCCGAGTAGCTGGGACTACAGGCATGCGCCACCACGCGCAGCTAATTTTGTATCTTTAGTAGAGATGGGGTTTATCCATGTTGGTCAGGCTGGTCTTGCACTCCTGACCTTAGATGATCCGCCCGCCTCAGCCTCCCAAAATGCTGGGATTACAGGAGTGAGCCACCGTGCCCAGCTCATAGAAATATTTATTACCAGTATTCCAAAGAACAGTACTTGGAGAAAGCATATCTAAGCACGTGTGCAGGGCGAGGTACAGTGGTTCACACCTGTAATCCCAGCACTTTGGGAGACTGAAGCAGGAGGATCGTTTGAGGCCGGGAATTCAATAACAGCCTGGGCAACATACTGAGGCCCCATATTTACAAAAATTTAAAAAATTAGCTGGCGTGGCAGAGTGCACCTGTAGTCCCAGGTACTTGGGAGGGTGAGGTGGGAGGATCACTTGCAGCCAGGATTTTGAGGCTGCAGTGAGCTATGATTGCACCTGCACTTCAGCCGGGGTGACAGAGCAACAGCTTGTCTCTAAAATAAATAAAAACATCCTCTGCTACATGGGTGATTCAGCTGTAACTAACAGAACATCCAACCCAAAGTAGCTTAAACAACATCGTTTAAGTTTGTTAGCTTGATCCACTTCGTAAGATTAAGAAGTCTATGGCTCTGGGTCCAGTTCAGCTGTGGCAGGGATCTTGGTCAGCTTGTCTGCTCTGCTCCTGGTCTTCTCTTAGTCTCAAGATGGCTCTGCAGTCCCAAGAATCATGTCCTCACCCAGCAGAGGCGGTGAGTAGAGACAGAGAATGTCTTACCTCACATCAACTCTTTAACAGGAGGACGGCATTCCTAGAAGCGCCCTTCCCCACACACTGTCCCCTGCAACAGCACACTTCCCCTCATATCTCCTTGGCCCCAAATTAGTTATGTGCCCTTGCTCAGTCCTGGACCTGGCCCCTTCCCCGAGATCAAGAGATCACCACAGATGGCTGAAAGCCCCTGGTTCTGTTGGAAAGAACAAGGAGGAAAGGCTTTGAGGCAGGTGGTCCGCAGGGCCCGTCATGCTGGAGAGCTGATCTGTAGGTGAGCAAAAAAAATTCCATTTTCCCTGATGAACCGCAGAGAAAGGATTCCCGCTGAAGTAGAAAGGAGATGACCACCTCAGTCCTCTTCCTCATCTTGTTCACCATGGGTCCTGCAGAGCTTAGGGGGTGTGTGGGTGCTGGGTGGTAAAGATCCAGGACCTGGGCAGAGATGGGATCCGCCCTCAGCGCAGGGTTATGACAGTACTCTCCGAAACTCCACTCGATTGCTCTTCTGCCTCCTCATCATTGTCCTACTCTGCACCATGGGACACAGAGCACTGCCCCAGAGCCGGCAGTCAGGAGCAGTGGAGGGAGGAATGGAGGGGGCAGTGGAGGGATGAATGGAGTGAGGGAGTGGAGGGATGAATGGAGGGGATAGGGGAGGGATGAATGTAGGGGGCAGTGGAGGGATGAACGGAGGGGGCAGTGGAGGGATGAACGGAGGGGGCAGTGGAGGGAGGAATGGAGGGGGCAGTGGAGGGAGGAATGGAGGGGGCAGTGGAGGGATAAATGGAGGGGGCAGTGGAGGGATGAATGGAGGGAGTGGAGGGATGAATGGAGGGGATAGGGGAGGGATGAACGGAGGGGGCAGTGGAGGGATGAACGGAGGGGGCAGTGGAGGGAGGAATGGAGGGGGCAGTGGAGGGATGGAGGGGGCAGTGGAGGGATGAATGGAGGGGGCCATGGAAGGATGAATGGAGTGAGGGAGTGGAGGGATGAATGGAGGGGATAGGGGAGGGATGAATGTAGGGGGCAGTGGAGGGATGAACGGAGGGGGCAGTGGAGGGAGGAATGGAGGGGGCAGTGGAGGAATGGAGGGGGCAGTGGAGGAATGAATGGAGGGGGAAGTGGAGGTATGAATGGAGTGAGGGAGTGGAAGGATGAATGTAAGGAGTAGGGGAGGGATGAATGTAGGGGCGAGTGGAGGGATGAATGTAGGGGGGAGTGGAGGGATGAATGGAGGGGGGAATGGAGGGATGGAGTGGGGAGTGGAGGGGTGAATGGGGGGAGTGGAGAGGTGAATGGAGAGGGGACTGGAGGTTGAAGGGAGGGGGGAGTGGAGGGTGAATGGAGGGGGGAGTGGAGGGGTGAATGGAGGGGGGAGTGGAGGGGTGAATGGAGGGGGGAGTGGAGGGGTGAATGGAGGTGGGAGTGGAGGGGTGAATGGAGGGGGGAGTGGAGGGGTGAATGTAGGGGGGAGTGGAGGGGTGAATGGAGGGGGGAGTGGAGGGATGAATGGAGGGGGGTTTGGAGGGGTGAATGGAGGGAGAGTGGAGGTGAATGGAGCGGGGAGTGGAGGGATGAACGCAGGGTTCTGTGGAAGGATGAATTTAGGGGGTAGTGGAAGGATGAATGGAGGGGGGAGTGGAAGGGTGAATGGGGGGGAGTGGAGGGGTGAAAGGAGCAGGGAGTGGAGGGTGAAGGGAGGGGAGAGTGGAGGGGTGAATGGAGGGGGGTTTGGAGGGGTGAATGGAGGGAGAGTGGAGGTGAATGGAGCGGGGAGTGGAGGGATGAACGCAGGGTTCTGTGGAAGGATGAATTTAGGGGGTAGTGGAAGGATGAATGGAGGGGGGAGTGGAAGGGTGAATGGAGGGGGGAGTGGAGGGGTGAATGGAGCAGGGAGTGGAGGGATGAATGGAGCGGGGAGTGGAGGGATGAACGCAGAGTTCCACTGAAAGATGAATTTAGGGGGTAGAGGAGGGATGAATGCGGCGGGACAGTGGTGGCTTAAATGCAGTGGGTGGGGGTGCTGGTGTGTGTCTGGGAAGGGTACTGTGCTCTCTGCTCTTTGTAGCCACGTGTCAGGGTGCTTTCTAAGAAGGGTGCAGGCAGACACTGTTTTCTTCAGGAGAGAAGCTCCGAATGGGACGTAGGGAACACAGCCCCGGAGCCAGGAAGCACTGAGCTGCTCCCAGCCAGGCCCTGGAGGGTTGGCATCATTCGAGAGCTGAGGAGTGTCCCCCACCCCTCAGCTGCACTTGGGTCTCAGCTGGGATGAACTGGATGTGGACACAGTGCTGGGCAGGCGATTATCTTCATGGGCCTGGGCGCTCCTGCTGTTGTGGATAATTATCTTGGCAGTAAGGCTGGGTCCAGTAGTCGGGGTCTCAGAAGGGAAAGCAGGGAAGCCTGGGAGAGCAGCCAGGGAGAGGGGAGGCCTGAGGGGAGGGCCTGCCTGGGCCACTTTCCCTCTTTGAGTCCTGTTTCAGCCCCAGGTGCACAGGCTGAGAAAGACCAGTCCCACCAGGGCCTCTCGCTGGGGGCCACAGGGGCCCAGGCTACAGATGACTTCTGTCCTCTCCTGGGCTGGACAGGCCCGCACAGACCTGGGCCGCCACACAGAGGACACTTGTAGAACGGGGGAGCCGCTCTGCTCCAGCACCTGCTCCTGGAGGAAGCAGAGCTTGTCCTCACCTCCAGGAAGGCCCTGTTCCTGGCCGCAGGTGATCTCAGCTAACCCGTGGCTCCCGCTCACTTGCCCAGCTGTGCAAGCCTAGGCAGAAGAAGGCAGGAAGAGTGGGTGTCAGGGCCTGACTGTGGGGACCTGCATGTCTTTTGTGGTCTGTCATGGTGGGTCGCCAGTGGGAAGCCTCCTTTTCCCACTAGAGCCAATGCCCCAGTTCCAGGGCTCTGCGGGTGGCTTGAAGCTTTCACTGCCTGAGACTAGCAGCTAAGTACAGAAGCGCAAATGCAAAGGGGCATCAGGGTTCCCACGGTCTTTGCTCGCTGTGGAAAGCGGGGACGGGCGCTGACGCAGGCCAACTCCTACATCTTCACCAGAGCCCTGGACCAAATCCTGCAGAACGTAGGTTCAGCAGACAGCAGACCTGAACCCGTGTCCCTGAGGGTGGTCACAATCTCAGCCCCAGGTGGAGGCTGCTGAATGCCGTGGCTGCAAAGCAGGGCGCTGGGGCTGGGGGGTCAGCTGTTGGGGGGAGGGAGCCCTCTGACCCGCCCTGCACCCCTTTTTCCCTCCCTCCTCTCACCCCCTTGTTCCCAGAAGGGGGCACCTACACCTTCTACCTCTAGCTCCAGGCACCCACTCCGGCCTGCCAGGCCCCAAAACCTTGGCATCCTTGTCCTTAAGCCCAAGGGACCCGCTAGGCATTCCCTTGGCGCCACCACATTGCGTAGGGGGCCCCATGCCCTCCCCCCCGACCCTCTCTCCCCTACACAGTACTGCGAATTTTGTAATTGTTAGTACAGCTAGTGTCCTCATTTAAAACCTTCTAGCAGTACCAGGCTATAGTGGAAACAAAATCCCCTCCCCCGACACCCCAAATTCACACTCCTGCTGGGAGTTGTGGGAAGTGCCTGTCTCCCCGCTCCTCCCATCCCAGTCTCTCATGAAAACGTCTGACAGGTGAAAATACCATCTTCCGGTAGGGCCAATTTGCTCATCCCTGATTACGGCGGAGGTTCAGCATCTTGCAGTCAGCAGCCATTGGGGCTTCCTTTGTGCAGCGTGTCCGGCGGCCTGGCCCTTTCCTCGTTGACTGATAGTAGCCCTTTGTTGGGAGAATCGGCCCTTTGTTAACCACTGAGTTATCATGGGTTCTCCCCAGTTTGTTGCACATCCTTTGATTTTAAATATGTGGTCTAGGCAAAATGTTGCCATTTGTAATTTAATTAAATTTTTCAACAATGTTCCCTGTGGCTTCTGCTTTTTTGTTGTGCTCAGAAAAGCCTTCCGGATCCTGAGATCATTAAATAGTCTCCTGTGTTTTTTCCAAATTATGTTTGTGGTTTTGGGTTTTTGCATTTCTATTTCCGCTCCATAAGGAATTTATTTCCGTGTGAAGAGTGGGATCAGGATCCAACGTCATGTTTTTCCAGACACCAAGGCCGCCCAGTTGCTCCACCACCCTTTATTATTATTTTATTATTATTTTTATTTTTTTTGAGATGGAGTTTCGCTCGTTGCCCAGACTGAAGTACAATGGCGTAATCTAGGCTCACTGCAATCTCTGCCTCCCAGGTTCAAGCGATTCTCCTGCCTCAGCCTCCCAAGTAGCTGGGATTACAGGCATGCGCCACCACATCCAGCTAATTTTGTCCTTTTTTTTTAGTAGAGACAGAGTTTCACCATGCTGGCCAGGCCAGTCTCAAACTCCTGACCTCAGGTGATCCACCTGCCTCGGCCTCCAAAGTGCTGGTTATAGGCATGAGCCACCGTGCCTGGCCACACCCTTTTTTAAATGACATCCTTTCCCTCATGGATTTATTTATTTATTAATTAATTTATTTTTTGAGACAGAGTCTCGCTTTGTTGCTCAGGCTGGAGAGAAGTGGCACGATCTTGGCTCACTGCAACCTCCGCTTCCAGGTTCAAGTGATTCTCCCACCTCAGCCACCTCAGTAGCTGGGATTACAGCCACCCACCACCATGCCCAGCTATTTTTTGTATTTTTAGTAGAGACAGGGTTTCCCCATGTTAGTTAGGCTGGTCTCGAACTGCTGACCTCAGGTGATCCACCCGCCTCGGCCTCCCAAAGTGCTGGGATTACGGGCGTGAGCCACTGCGCCCGGCCCCTCGTGGATTTTAAATGCCCCATTAATCATATGCTAAATGATCACACAGACCTGCTCTGATGTGTGTGTCCAGTCAACTGCCCATAGCAAGATGTTCTATGATGGATTCTACTCTCTGGCAGGGCTAAAGCCCCCTTTTTTATTTTTCAGAATTTTATAGGCTTTTCATTCTTTTTTTATTGTAGTAAAATATATGTAACATAAAAACTACTATGTTTGCCATTTTTAAGTGAACAGTTGAGTGACATCAAGTGCATTCACATTGTTGTACAACCATCACCATCCTCCATTTCCACCGTCCATCTCTACTGTCCATTACCACCATTTATCCCCACCCTCCATCACCACCCACCATCTCCACCCTCCATCTCCACCGTCTATCACCACCCTCCATCACCACCTTCCATCTCCACCCTTCGTCCACCCTCCATCTCCATCTCCACCATCCATCACCACTCTCCATCACCACCCTCCATCACCACCCTCCATCTCCACCCTCCATCACCACCCACCATTTCCACGCTCCATCTCCACCATCCATCACCACCGTCCATCACCACCCTCCATTTCCACTGTCCATTACCACCATTTATCTCCACCCTGTATCACCACTCACCATCTCCACCCTCCATCCACCCTCCATCTCCATCTTCCATTTCCACCGTCCATCGCCACCATTCATCTCCACCTTCTATCACCACTCACCATCTCCACCCTCCATCACCCACCATTTCCACCCTCCATCTCCACCATCCATCACAACCATTCATCTCTGCTGTCCATCACCACCCTCCATTTCCACCCTGCATCTCCACCCTCCATTTCCACCCTGCATCTCCACCCTCCATCACCACCCTCCATCTCCACCCTCCATCACCACCCTCCATCGCCACCCTCCATCACCAACCTCCATCGCCACCCTCCATCACCACCCTGCATCTCCACCCTCCATCACCACCCTCCATCTCCACCCTCCATCACCACCTTCCATCTCCACCCTTCGTCCACCCTCCATCTCCACCGTCCATCACCACCATTCATCTCCACCCTTCATCCACCCTCCATCTCCATCCTCCATCACCACCCACCATTTCCACCCTCCATCTCCACCATCCATCACAACCATTCATCTCTGCTATCCATCACCACCCTCCATTTCCACCCTGCATCTCCACCCTCCATCACCACCTTCCATCTCCATCCTCCATCTCCACCGTCCATCGCCACCATTCATCTCCACCATCCATCACCACCCTCCATCACCACCTTCCATCTCCACCCTTCATCCACCCTCCATCTCCATCCTCCATCTCCACCATCCATCACCACCATTCATCTCCACCCTCCATCACCACCCTCCATCTCCACCCTCCATCTCCATCCTCCATCACCACCCACCATTTCCACGCTCCATCTCCACCATCCATCACCACCATTCATCTCCGCTGTCCATCTCCACCATCCATCACTACCATCCATCACCACTCTCCATTTCGACTGTCCATCTCCACTGTCCATTACCACCATTTATCTCCACCCTCCATCACCACTCACCATCTCCACCCTCCATCCACCCTCCATCTCCATCCTCCATCACCACCATCCATCACCACCCTCCATCACTATCTTCCATCTCCACCCTTCATCCACCCTCCATCTCCATCCTCCATCTCCATCGTCCATCACCACCATTCATCTCCACCATCCATCACCACTCTCCATCACCACCCTCCATCTCCATCCTCCATCACCACCCACCATTTCCATGCTCCATCTCCACCATCCATCACTACCATTCATCTCCGCTGTCCATCACCACCCTCCATTTCCACCCTGCATCTCCACCCTCCATTTCCGCTGTCCATCTCCACTGTCCATTACCACCATTTATCTCCACCCTCTATCACCACTCACCATCTCCACCCTCCATCCACCCTCCATCTCCATCCTCCATCACCACCCACCATTTCCACCCTCCATCTCCACCATCCATCACAACCATTCATCTCTACTGTCCATCACCACCCTCCATTTCCACCCTGCATCTCCACCCTCCATCTCCACCCTTCATCACCACCATTTATCTCCACCATCCATCACCACCCTCCATCATCACCCACCATCTCCACCCTCCATCACCACCCTCTATCACCACCATCTATCTCCACCCTCCATCCACCCTCCATCTCCATCCTCCATCACCACCAACTATTTTTACCCTCCATCTCCACCATCCATCACCACCCTCCATCTCCACCCCCCATCACCACCCTCCATCACCAACCTCCTTCACCACCCACCATCTCCACCCTCCATCTCCACTGTCCATCACTACCCTCCACCCTCCATCACCACCCTCCATCTCCACCCTCCATCACCGCCATCCATCACCACCCTCCATCTCCACCCTTCAACTCCACTATCCATGTCCACCATCCATCACCACCCTCTATCTCCACTGTCCATGTCCACCATCCATCACCACCCTCTATCTCCACTGTCCATCACCACCCTCTATCTCCAGCGTCCATGTCCACTGTCCATCACCACCTTCTATCTCCACTGTCCATCACCACCTTCTATCTCCACTGTCCATCACCACTCTCTATCTCCACTGTCCATGTCCACTGTACATCACTACCCTCCATCTCCACTGTCCACGTCCACCGTCCATCACTACCCTCCACCTCCACTGCCCATGTCCACCATCCATCACTACCCTCTGTCTCCACTGTCCATGTCCACCGTCCGTCACTACCCTCTGTCTCCACTGTCCATGTCCACCATCCATCACTACCCTCCGTCTCCACTGTCCATGTCCACCGTCCATCACTACCCTCTATCTCCACCGTCCATCACCACCCTCTGTCTCCACTGTCCATGTCCACCATCCATCACCACCCTCTATCTCCACTGTCCATGTCCACCGTCCATCACCACCCTCTATCTCCACTGTCCATGTCCACCGTCCATCACCACCCTCTATCTCCACTATCCATGTCCACCGTCTATCACTACCCTCTATCTCCACTGTCCATGTCCACTGTCCATCACCACCCTCTATCTCCACTGTCCATGTCCACCGCCCATCACCACCCTCTATCTCCACTGTCCATCACCACCCTCTATCTCCAGGGTCCATCACCACCCTCTGTCTCCACTGTCCATGTCCACTGTTCATCACCCCCGGTCTCCACTGTCCATGTCCACCGTCCATCACCACCCTGTATCTCCACTGTCCATGTCCATTGTCCATCACCCCCTCTGTCTCCACTGTCCATGTCCACTGTCCATCACCACCCTCTATCTCCACCGTCCATCACCACCCTCTATCTCCACTGACCATCACCACCCTCTATCTCCACTGTCCATCACCACCCTCTATCTCCACTGTCCGTGTCCACCGTCCATCACCACCCTCTATCTCCACCGTCTGTGTCCACCGTCCATCACCACCCTCTGTCCCCACCGTCCATGTCCACTGTCCATGTCCACCGTCTATCACCACCCTCTATCTCCACTGTCCATGTCCACCATCCATCACCACCCTCTATCTCCACTGTCCATGTCCACTGTCCATCACTACCCTCTATCTCCACTGTTCATCACCACCCTCTATCTCCACTGTCCATCACCACCCTCTATCTCCACTGTCCATCACCACCCTCTATCTCCACTGTCCATCACCACCCTTTATCTCCACTGTCCATGTCCACTGTCCATCACCACCCTCTATCTCCACTGTCCATCACTACCCTCTGTCTCCACTATCCATGTCCACTGTCCATCACCACCCTCTATCTCCACTGTCCATCACCACCCTCTATCTCCACTGTCCATGTCCACTGTCCATCACCACCCTCTATCTCCACTGTCCATCACCACCCTCTATCTCCACTGTCCATCACCGCCCTCTATCTCCACCATCCATCACTACTCTCTATCTTCACTGTCCATGTCCACCAGCCATCACCACCCTCTATCTCCACTGTCCACGTCCGCTGTCCACATCCAATATCCATTTATACCATCCATCACCACCATCCATGTCCATTGCCCATCTCCAATGTCCATCATCACCACCCATCACCACCATCCATCTCCAGAACTTTTACCTCTTCCCAAATTTCAAGTCTGTATTCATTAAACAGTCACTCCCCATGCTCCTCCTGTCAGCTACTATCTCTATGAAAGTGACTACTCTAGGGACCTCACATAAGTGGGATTGTATGGTACGTGTTCTTCTGTGACTGGCTTATTTAACTCAGCATAGGATCCTCAGGGTCCATCCAAGTTGCAGCCAGTACTGGAATTTCTTTCCTTTTTAAGACTGAATACTATTCCATTTTGTGTGTGTGTATCTCAGTGCAGCAGGGCTCTGATACCCCCGCTCCTCACCAAGACTGGTTTGCCAGGACTGCATCTGCCCAGTCCCAGCGGGTGGGAGGTGGGATCTCACTGTGGTTTTGCTTTGCATTTCCTGGAGGATGCTGGACATTTCCCATGTACTTGTTGACCAGTGTGTGTCTTCTATGGAGACGTGTCTATTCATTCTCCTGGCACCTTTAGTTTCCTAAGGGCTTTGGAATCATCATGGAGCTACTTTTACTGGGGATCATTCAATATATGGATCAATTTGGGGGCATTGGGGACTCACTCCTTCTTGGTTTTCCTTTCCTGGTCTCCTCTGTGGGTTCCTGGCTTGGTTTGAGTTGTCCTCTCTACCCCTCCAATTCCCTACCCCCACTCTGTGGCTCCAAGCATTGCCCACACTTGCCCCCCGGCTCGGTCCTGGGCTCCCAAATGCCACGGGACGACTGGCCCAAGTGTGCTCAGGTCTCTCCACCTCTCAACTGCCGACCTCCACAGCTGCAGCTGCTCTCCTGGCCTAGCTTCCCAGCCAAGTGACAGCCACGCGCACTGACCAGTGCAGGCAGAGCACTGGGCACCAGGCTTGCCTCCCCCTCCCTGTCGAGAAAGTCAAGCGTCCTGGCAAAAGAAAGAAAAGCACAAATAGAGAAAATGACTTTTGTGAAGGGTCATTTACCAAGGTGTGAACAAGGAGCAGGCCAAGCCAAGAAGGTAGAGAAGCCCTGGGTAGGGCAGGAAAGGATGGGCAGGGCTGGGGCCTCTGAGGGACACGTCTGGCTCCAGCTGGGAGGAAGCCTGGGAAATTCCTAAGCTCACCTGGAAGCAGGTGTGGTGGGGCCGGAGGGGCAGACCCAGAACAACCAGTCCCTCCCTGCCACCTACCCACCCACACAATTGGGCAGCCAGTTCGTGCCCACTCTTCCTCCCAAATTTCCTTCTCTCTCCTTCCTCTGCTTCCACCCCCCCCCCCCCCCGCCCTCCAGCCCAGGGCCTGTGGTTGGATGCCTGGTTGCTCCCTCCAGGCATGTTTTGCCATCCACTGACTTTGACACCCGGAGCTCTCTCTTTCAAACCCTCATCGGAGCAGATCTCAGCCAGCATCAACTCACATTATCCTTGGGAAGAAATACAGGCACCCGGATCACCTGGCTGCAGGTCCCTCCCCTGGCCTCCCTCCTCCCCAACCTTGCAATCCAAGCTCCTGCCGGAGGGTCTTTCCTGGGAGCCAGCCCGGAGTGCTCACTGCCCTGCTCTCTCCCTAGGCAAGTGAGTTCCCACCAGGTGCTTGGGGTGGGGCTCCCGCCATACTCAAGGGCGCCTCTTGACTCCCTCTGAACTCGCAATCCCGCCCCAGGGTCCGGCACAAGGGCTCTGCTGGGGCTGAGATCCGTGAAGGCAGATGCGGAGAGGCGCCGCTGGATTGCGAGCAGGCCCAGGTGCGGGGCCAGGTGGGCGTTGTCGCAGCCGGGAACGCCCAGCCGCTCCAGCTGCCCACAGGACAAAGCCCAGGGTTCCCCGGCCGGGCGCACGCCTTCCACATTCTCCCTCACCTCCACGCCTTCGCTCACTGCGTTCCCCAACACCTGGAATGCAGCAATGCCCTTCGGGCACGCTGCCCCGCCCCCACGTTGATCCCGTCCCCTAGCTTGGCTCCAGGGACACCGGATACGCCTATTGTAGCACCCGGCAAGGAGCGAGCAGTCCGCGGGAACTTACCCAGGAACCCCGAGCGCCTCCGTAGTTCCCAACCCCACCCCCACCCCTCGGCCAGGTCAGGTCCACTGTGGGCGTCCAGGTAAGACGGCGTCGATGCCCACCACCATCGCCCCCAGCTCAGCCCAGAGCGCCCGGGGTCAGAGGTGGAGATGTCGGACATACGCCCAGTCTGGCCAGGCTCGGGAGGGAAAATCTGGGAGCGGCCTCTGGAACTCACCCTGACTCCTTCACCGTCCGCTCCTCTTTTTGGCTTCCGGGGCCAAAGGTTGGGGACTCGAGGCGCGGCTGGAGCCTACAGCTCCTGGAGCGTAGTTAAGCGTTAACCCGCTGGCCCTGGGCCAGGGCGCGGGGCTGCTGTGCGCACCCGGTTCCGCCCGTCGAGCTGGGGCCGGACCGGGAGGCGAAGCGGGGGGCGCTGCCGAGACGGGAGGGCATGGGGTCTGCGCCGGGTGCGAGATGAGCCGGGGAGGCCAGCGGGGCCTGGGCGGTGGGGGAAGGTGGGCCTGGGGCAGGGGCGGGATGGCGGCTCGCCAAGCCTCTGCCGACCGGACCACGCGCGGGGCTACCGGGGCGGGCTCACCTGGCGGCCGCGGACCCGCCCTAACCTGGTTTCCGGCGGGGCGGCGCGGGGTGCGGCGCGGCCGGGCGGGGGCGGGGCGGGCGGGGGCGTGCCCGGGGCGGGGCGTTCCGGGGGCGGGGCTGAGCCTCCCGCAGACGTCAGGGACCCGCGCGCGAGGCCGCCGGCGGCCGCTCTGCCGTGGGCTCGGCCCGGGCTGCCACGAGCGTGCGGGCCTCGCCGGGCATGTCCTAGGCGGCGGCCCCGCCCAGCGCTCGGCCGGGCGGGCGGGCGGGCGCGAGGGCAGGGACCGAGCCGGGCCGAGCTGGGGAACAAGCCGGGGACCAAGCCGGGGACCAAGCCGGGGACTAAGGCGAGCCGGAGACCGAGCCCGAACAGCAGGTAGGACGCGCCGGCCCAGCGCTGGCCGCGGCCCGGGCCTCCCATCGCCCGCACCTGCACGGCTGTGGGGTCTCACGGGGCGCGGGGTCCCGGCCGAGGCCGGACAAAGGCGCGGGGGTTGGGGGCCGCCCGGCGCACCTGGTCAGGCGGGTCCCCGCCGCCGCGGAGGCGGCCCTGGTCTGCGCCAGGCCGGGAGGAGCCGCCCCGTTTCTACGCGGCCTGCGGAGGGGGCGGCAAGCCTGGGCACCCGGGTCCCCGCCCCGGCACCGGCTCGGCCATGGCCGCCCCCGGAGAGCGCTGATTCAGAAGGCGCCGCTCCCTCCCCCGCCGGGCCCGGCCGCCTCCCTCCTGGCCTGGTCTCTCCTCCCGCGGTCCCTCCCTCCGTCTTCCTCCTCCTCCCCTCTCTCCTCATTTCCCTTCGCCGCCGTCTCCCCGCTGTCCCTGCCTCTCCCGGCCTGTGCGCTCCTTCCACCGCCGGCCTGCCCCGCCCGGCTCGCTGCCCTTCCCTGCCCTGGGCCTAGCCACCTTTCCCCGCCTCACCTCTGACTGTGGCCCTTCCGGCCGGGGCGGCTGAGGGGACAAGTTTGGGGCGTTTATTATTCTTCCTCCTAGCAACGATGGCCAGCCCAGCCCCGAGGCAGCCGAAGGCCGTTTTGGAGCGTCGCGGGCTCCCAGGCCTTTTCAGGGTGGGCGGCCGGGGCAGTGGGTGGCCTGGCTCTGGCACAGCGGCACCACCAGGCTCTGGGGCTCGGCTTCATTTCGCCTTAAACAGGGACCGTGGACTCCTCAGGGCGGGCCGCGGCAGGTGATGGCAGAGGGTGAGGCCTAGGAGGGCTGGCTGGGGGCCGGAGGTGCAATGGTGGGGTAGGCCCTGCCCGATAGAGCACCCTGTGGTCTCCCCCAGCAGCCCTAGGGAGGGTGGGGCTGTAGAGGCCTCCTGGAGGCTTTGCTGTCTGGGGCTGCAGGGTCATCGAAGTGCCAGCCCCTTGGCCTCCAGTGCCTGCCTGTCTGGCTGGAGCTGGGTGCGTGGCTTAGGAAGGGCAGGGCCCCCAGAGTGAGAGGGTCCTGGCTGCCTGGAGCTGCCTTCTCCTGGTGAGGATTTTTCTACATCTTCCCACCTCCCTGCCCAAGGTGAGGGTTTACCATGGGGCACGTGGTCACTTGGGCATTCATGCTAGCTGGAGCTGGGTGTTGGTTTTCCCTGCTGCTCACCGAAGGGAGCTGAGATCTGGTGAAGAGCCTCAAAGCTGAAGACCTTGGGCGTGGGCACTGGGCAAAGTAGGGACAAGGAGCCACTCACTCCTCTGCCTGGCACCCTCATGTGGTGTGGCCCTGCCCTCAGGATGCACTCAGCCCGGCAGCCTCCCCTTCTCCTCTGCTCCACTGGGCCTCAGCTGCTGTCATCCCTGTCCTGGGTTATTGTCCTCACTTCTTGACTGGCCTCCTGAGTCACAGCCCCATGTCCACTCAGGAGCTCTGGGGCCGGCCTCACAGGTATGTGACTTGGAGACCCCCACAGAGCCCTTGCTTGGACCCCGCATGTGGCATCTTGCTCAGCTCTCCTTCTCAGTTTTTGAATAAGGGTACCGCGTTTTCTTTTTGTGCTGGGCCCTGCAGTGATGGAGCCAGTGCTGGGCCCTTTAGGGACTTCATCCCCTTCCAGGACTAGCCACAGGACTCCCAGGGGTATGTGAGGCCCTCCATCCCTCTGCCCTGTCCCTCTGCCCTGGTGGCACCAGCTGTTCCCTCTGCCTGGAATGCAGTCCCACAAGCGTTCATGGGCTCACTTCCACCCCTGTCCTGCTGAGCCTGGAGGCTGCCTCCCAGTGAGCCCCCATCCCCGCCCTGCCTCTGTGTTCCCTGTATCCCTCTTTGCACCTTCTCATAAGCCGTTTCTGTTCTCTGTGCCTGCCCCCTGCTGAAGGGAGCCCCAGGATTCTGAGACTCTGTGTCTTGGTCACAGCTGGCTTAGCCCAGGCCGCCTAGCCCATAGCAGCACTCAGGATGTGCTGGGCAGTGGGGTGGAGTGCCCAGGACATGTGTGCTGGCATGCTCCGGGCTTGCAGGGTGCATGCTGGCTGGGTATAGGGCTGCCCAGGGTTGGGTCTTGGGGTGACATCAGCCCTGGCCATTACTCAGGCTGTCCCCGTTACCTCCCAGGCTGCCACGGGGCTCCCTGCCTGTCTACACCAGCCCCTCAGACCACCCCCTCTTTGTTGATGTCACTGGGACTATGGGCACCAAAGCCTCACTTCCCTCTTGGGCACTGAAGGGGCTGCCTGATGCTGTCCTTGCACCATGCCCACCAAAGGACATTTGGCCTCCTCTCGGTGGTGGACATATTGCTGACTCAGGGCCCCTGTCTCCAGCTCTGTCCCTGCTGCCCCTCACCCCAGGCCCTGCCTGGGGCTCAGTCTCAGAGTGTCCTGCTGGGGGGAGTGGGTCCTCTTGTTCAGTGTATGTCTTGGGGTGGGTCTGGTGCTGTGGACCTGGCATCATGGGGACCCTGATGGGCTATGCTGGGTCCTACCCATGAGCTGCTCCTGATGGGTCACGTGGATGTGGGGTCACTTACAGGCAGTGCAGCCAGTGTCCCCATGAACTTCAACCCCTGACACCTGGAAGATAGAGGAGATGAGGTGTGCTGGGGCCTGGAGGATAAGGGAGAACCAGGCAGCCTTTGCCAGGGATGGACGTGATGGGAAAGGCCGGTCACGAGGGCAAAGGCCTGGCAGTGGGACTCGGGACCATACCCAGGGAGGGCGGGTGGCCTGATGAGGCTGGAGCCCAGCTTCTCCGGAAGCTGCCAGCTTCCCTTAGAGGGTCAGGATCTGGGCTGGGCCTTGGATGTGTCCAGGGGGCTAAGAACCAGGCCAGGGAGCCCCACTCTAACAATCCCCTCTTCCCCAGGGCCAGACGGGCCCAGCCAGCACCAAGATGAGTGCCACGTCCTGGTTCCTGGTGAGCAGCAGCGGCGCCCGCCACCGGCTCCCTCGGGAGCTCATCTTCGTGGGGCGTGAGGAGTGTGAGCTCATGCTACAGGTTTGCAGGGAGCGCTTGGGGCCAGGAGGGTAGGGGGTAGACAGTCTGTCCCTGTGGAGGCCAGGAAGGTGCCCACCCCACTTGCTGCAGGCCACCCTGGCGAGGAGGCCGCCATGCAGCCCAGGCTGGGCCTCTTAACTTGGGTCCCGGATGCACCGAGGGCTCTGGGGCTCCCGTGGGTGCGTGCAGGGGTGTGTGTGTGCTCACAGGCTCGGGTCCCTGCCCCGTACGTATCCCTGTCTCTGACAGGAGGGGGCTTAGGCTTTTGTCAGGTTCTCAAAGTTGTTGGGGTCCCTAGAAGCGTGAGTTGGCGTCCTTTTGCAGAGAGGGAGCTGAGGCTGGGCTTTGGAAGGTCCTGGAAAGCCGGTCTGTCCATATTCTTGTTGTCTGGGGGCCCCGTCTATGCTGTGAGTGCTGCCTGAGCGGGGGTCCCAGTATCTTGGTCCCAGCTGCACCCTGGTGAAGGCTAGTGCCTTTTGGCGGCCTCCAGGCATGAGGGGTTCTTCTCAGGGCATGAGAGCCTGCCGAGCACCGGCACTGACAATCGGAAGTTTCTCTGGCCCTGGTTTGAGGTCTGAGTTTGGCTTTGTGGGGCTTGCGATCTGGCTGTTTGAGAACAAAGAGCAGGGGTGGTGAGCTAACCCCATAGGCCCATCCTGGCCTGATGTCCTTCCTCTACCCCGTGTGCCTGTGAACGAGTTGGGCTCCCTGTCCTGGCTCATCCCCCAGCGTGGCACGTGGGCCCCTGACCCAGGTGGATGGCACTGTCCAGTCTAGCCGAGGGGCCTGCAGGTGCAGGGAGCTGCCCTGCCCACTCAGACGTTGCCTCCTGGATGCAACGTGCTACTGCCGCACATGCCCGGGCCATGCCAGGCTCTGACGAGGTGGGCAGGCCTCAGGCTGTGGTGAGGGGTCCTGGCCATGTGCACATTCCCTGGGGCAGACAGTGTTTGTCTGCCTCTACCCAGGGCAGCCCCACCCGATATTGCTGCATGTGTCCTGCTGTGGCGGGAAGGTTTGTGTCCCCTGCAATTCGGAGGTTGAAGCTTCATTTCCAGCGTGGTAGCTTCAAGAGATGGGGCCTTTGGGAGGTGAGCAGGGCGTGAGGCTTTGCCCTTGGGAATGGGATCAGGGACCTTAAAAAGAGGCCAGAGGAAGCTGGCTCACCCCTTCTGCCCAGTGGGGACGCAGCATTCAAGATACCATCCTTGAAGCAGAGACAGGGCCCTCTCCAGACACCAAATTGGCCGGCGCCTAGATCTCGGGCTTCCAGCCTCCAGAACCGTGAGCAATACATTTGTGCCATTTCCACATTACTCAGGAATTTTGTTACAGCAGCTGGGATGGACTAAGTCCAGACATCCCAGCTTCTCCCCAGGCGTCCTCTGATCCTCTTGAGTCTGGACCCAGCAGGTCTCTCACCTTGTGGTTGGTTGTTCCGGCTCTGAAGTTCTTTAATCTGGAACATTCTCTCCCTTTTTTCTCTTTTCTTTATGCCTTTGGTAGCGGGAGAGAGTCGGTGGCTGGGGGCAGGAGTCGGCAAATGTTTTCTACAAGGGCCTGGTAAAGATTTTAGGTTTTATGGACCACAAAGTATCCACTGCAGCCCAGGCCTGTGGCCGTGGTGAGGGGCAGCCAGGGAGCGAGCGTGGGCGACCGAGGTGGGCGCGGCAGCACCTGCACTTCATTTATGGATGTTGAAGTATCAATTTCCCATAATTTTCATGTGTCATGAAATAGCCTTTTGATGATTTTCAATCATTTAAAAGTGTAAAGATCATTCTTAGTTCTCAAGCCATCTAAAGACAGGCGGCAGGCCATAGGCCACGCCCCACATACCCCACTGCCTCATGGGGCCGCAGCTGTATTTGGCGGGTTGCTCCCATGGTCTGCGTACAGGGGTGGCATCAGTGATGGCCGCGCTGCTCTACCTAGGGTGGCTAGGAGGGCTTCTTGGAGGCGGCGGCACTTTGGAGCCTCTGGAAGAAGCCAGAGTCAGCCTGCAGGCAGGGGACTGGTGTGGGTGCTCTTCCTGCCCCACCCCTGCACCAGGCCTGCTCTGCCTGCTTCTCCCTGGGGTAGGGGAAAAGTGCTGGGGGCAGGGTGCTCAGGGTGAGTTTGGGGTCCGATTCCGAGTTTCTGCACCTGTCAGTGGAGCCCTGAGCAGGTCGGGAGTGTTGGGGGCTTCCCAGCTCTCCTCAGTGGCCGCCCCTGGCCTGGGTGGGCCTGCATTTCTACCCCTCGCTGTTGTGGGTGGTGTCACCATTGTAAGATGTATCTCCATGGGGAAACTGAGGCTCAGGGAGGCCTTGCAGGTGTGGCGAGTGTGGGAAGGCTGTCTGCCTCCCGGTGCCCCTGCAGCGGCCTCCTACCTGCCCACCGCTGCCCCCTGCCGGCCTCTGTCACCCCTCACTCCCTGTGCACCTGCCCTAGAGGCTTCTCACCCCCACCCTACAGCCCCATGTCCAGCCCCTTGGCCCCTCTGTTGCCCCCACCTGAGGATGTTTGCACCTGCCGCCCCTCCCTGCAGCAACTTCCTTGGCACCTGCGCCAGGACCCCCGCCCTCTCAGCTCATGCTCAGGGGCCTCAGTGGCCCTTTCCGAACGCTGCTGCTTCCCCGAGGCCCTATCCACCTCTGCTCAGATGATCCACATGCTGCCTGGAGCCTGCTCTGTCCTCGGCTTCCAGCCTCCTACTGGATATGGCTGCTGCACTGGGGCCTCTCAGAGGCATCCCAAGCTCGGTGGCTGAACCAAACCTGTCACCCTCCGTCCCTTCCACCCGGGGTCCCCGCCAGGGTCCCCTTCCCTCTGCTCAGTGCCACCCCCACCCCCACCCCACGCACAGACAGGAATGCAGGCCTCCACTGGACCCAGCCTCTCCCCACACCTGCCCTGGCTCTCCGGACCCGGCTCACACCGACCTTCCTGCCCTGGAACCTCCACACCCTGTCCCAGCGCCCCCTCCACAGTCCTTGCTTTCGGCGCCACATCTTTCCACTGGGCAGGGTGTCAAGCAGAGACCCTGCCCTCCCTTGGCATCCACTGCAGAGAGGGGCCAGCAAGGTGTCCAGGGTCCAGTCCTGTGTAAAGAAGGTGGTACTGGGGACTGGGCGGTCAGCAGACACCTGCCTATGTTGTGCTGAGGCCCAAGGAGCCGCAGCAGCAGGAGTTGGGGCCGGTGAGGAGGGGGAGGCTGTGGGAGGACAGAGCTGAGCTGGGGCTACGGGGATGGGACATGGAGGGGAGACAAGCAGAGTGGGCGGCCCGAGGCCTGGGCTTTCACTAGGCAAGAGGGGCGGTAGCTTGGACCACAGCAGGTAGACGGGTAGGGGAGTTGTGTTCCAGGCAGAGCTGCCACCCACGTGCTGTCCCACGGACCACGCTGTCCAGGGCCCTGCCTCTGCTCCCCACAGTGTCCTTGTGCCCAGTGCAAGCCTGGCACAGAGCTGGTGCCCAGCGAACAGGCGTTAAATGACGCAGGAACGTGGACCCAGGCAGGACTTCCTGCTGTGGCTGTCACTCCTGTGGTGGCCCAGGCTGTGGTCCAGGGTGTGCGTGTGTGCGTCGTGTGTGTGCGTGTGTGTGCCGTGTGTGTGCGTGTGTGCCGCGTGTGTGTGCGTGTGTGTGCTGTGTGTGTGCCGTGGGTGTGCGTGTGTGTACCATGGGTGTGCCGTGCGTGTGTGCGTGTGTGTGCCATGTGTGTGCGTGTGGGTGTGCCGTGTGTGTGCCGCGTGTGTGTGCCATGGGTGTGCGTGTGTGCCGTGGGTGTGCGTGGGTGTGCGTGTGTGTGCGTGTGTGTGCCGCGTGTGTGTGCCATGGGTGTGCATGTGTGCCGTGGGTGTGCGTGGGTGTGCCGTGGGTGTGCCGTGCGTGTGTGCGTGTGTGTGCCATGTGTGTGCGTGTGGGTGTGCCGTGTGTGTGCGTGTGTGCCGTGTGTGTGTGCGTGTGTAAGTGTGCATGTGCATACATGTGCATGTCTGTAGGTGCACACATCTGTGTGTGTTGTGTGCATGTGTGTGCTGCATGTCTGTGGGGAGGTGTCCTCCGTGAGAGCGTGTGACAGCTGGGATTTGCACTCTTGCGTGCTGCCCCAGAGACCACAGCCTGGGCAGGCCCTGACCTTCTGTGCCCCGTGCATCGAGCCGGTCTGCTGCGGGTGCCTGTGGCCGCCAATGGGGAACTCGGGTGAGCTGGCAGGAGGGTGTGCCCAGAGCCCTGGCTGCTGCTACTGCCACTCAGCACAGCTGGGCCAGGCTGTTGCCCCAGAGGGCGTCAGACGTGAACTTTGGGAACATCTTTATTCTGTTTTAAAGTGAGCACAAATTATTAGACACTTTCCCCAAAATCCATGTGTTTGGGGCGTCTTCCGGCCATGCCACACATCTGTGTTTGCCTGGCTGTTTCTGCACCGAGTTCCGTCCACAGCCCGGGTTTCTGTTGTTTTAAGTCTTGAGCCCTGGGCCGGGGGCCACTTCTCATTGGTGGCTGGAGGCTCGGCCAAGTGAGGGGCTGCTTCTGGTTGGAGAGGGGAGTTTCTGGAAGGGGGTTCCCCATGTGTCTCCAGCGCTTCCTGCAGTCTGGGGAGGGGCTTGGCAGGAGCAGGTCTGGTGAGAAAGCCCTGGCCGGGGGTGGAGGCTCAGTCCTGGGAGTGGGCGGGGCAGCTGGGCTCGGGGTGTTAACAGGGTCCTGCGGGGGGACTCTGTGCTGAGTCAAAGGAGCCGGAAGCTGGTGTGGGCCGGGTGGGGTGGGGAAGGTGGGTGCAGGCAGGGGAGGGGGCTTGGACTGAAGGTGAGACCCAGGCCTGGGCAAGGATGCGGTGTGCCCAGAGCTGGCAGAGTCATCTGCCTGAAGCCTGACTGTGGCCTGGGTGGGGTAAGGAAGGTTTGGAGAGGCTTTGGGGCCTGCGGGAAAGGGGGCTGTGGAGAGAGAGGCTGACCGAGGGCTGCCGAGAGGAAGACCAGTGTTGCTGGAGCCTGTGGTGGAGAGGGGCTTGGTGGGTGAACCCTCCAGGGAAGGCCTGGGGCAGGGCTCAGAGGACCTGGAAGGTGTGCAGAGTTGTGTCCAGCAGGAGCTCTCGAGGCCCAGCGGGTCTGAGGCTAGGGGAGCAGCAGGGAGGCGTCCAGGCTGGAAACCCCTCCAGGGTTTCCACTCCTCAGCAGAGATGACATCCAAGTCACCCGCCCTCAGCCACCTCAGCCCTTTCCAGAGGGGACAGGGGCAGTAGCTCCTTCCTTCATGCCCCTGCTGGACCCCATCCCCTGGGGAGGTCTCATGCTGGCAGGGAGGGCCCGAGCCCGGCCCCAGGCCTCAGTGCTTCCTTTCTCTGAGACAGCAGCAGGTCCCCCTGGCCCCGTGGAGCCCATGTGTCGGGCGGGCTGAGGTGGGGATGCTGCCCTGTGCACAGGACAGGGTGCGGGAGTAGGTGAGCCCCAACCCCCTGAGGGAGATCCAGGCCTCCCAGCTTCCAGGCTGCACTCTCAGGCAGGGATCCTGGGGCCTGGCCCTCAGGGCTGCCCACGGGGCAGTTAGTGGCCTGAGGTGTCTCCAGCAGCCATCCTAGAGTTGGGGAGGGGGTCTCAGGACGGGCTTCTTGGAGGAGGTGAGTGCTGGGGGTCGCCTGTGTCTGGAGGCCTTCAGGGACAGGTAGGAAGTCCAATGGAGGAGGTGATGTCTGGCATCACCCACCCTGGCCAGGATCCTCCCCCAACCCCTCCGGCAGAGACTGCCACTGGGGTGGCCAGGAGCCACGTAGCTGTGGGTGCCAGCTTCGGAGAAGGAATTTGAACAGGGTGGACCTGGAGGTGGGTGGTGGCTATCAAGGTCAGACCCACTCTCAGAGACCTGTGGCTTTGGCTGGCAGGGGAGCTGGCACCAGGAGCCCCACCAGGATCCGCCTTCCCAGGGAGGGCATGTGGGGCAGGAGGAGCCGCTCACCTGGTTTCTGGGAAACCACGGGCTGTGTCTGGGCAGGCAGCTCAGGGATGGCTGCACCCAGGACCCTACTCTCCCCTTTAAACCTCCCTGGCACCCCTGCCCACTTCCTGGGGGGACCCAGGGTCCTGACAGGAGGGGTGGGCTCCTCGCCACCCTCCACTGTAGTCCCTGCCCCCGGTCCTCCACTGCAGTCCTCCCCTCAGTCCTCCACTGCAGTCCTCCCCCTGGTCCTCCACTGCAGTACCCCCCAACCCCCACCCCCGGTCCTCCTCTGCAGCGCAACCACCGTGGCTTGAGCCAGGCACCCAGGGCTTCTGAGTGCCCACTGCTGGGTGGCAGTGGCACTAGCGTGAGGCTGGCTCTCAGGCCTGCTGGCCACCACGAGCCCCACCCAGCTGCAGCTTCCCTGCCCTGGCACCTCTGCAGAGGCCTCAGTCAAGCTGGGCCATCAGAGCCCTTGCCCCCAACTAGCCCCTGCTGTGTGATCTCCTCTCTGAGTTAGGAAGGAGGCCCTGCCCTGAGGGTTTCTAGCCCTTGCCCAGGGGTGCTGGGGAAGGCCCCACACTGGTGTTTCATGACGGTGCCCTGTGGTGGGGCAGTGATGGCCAGCTGCCAGGGTGGCCTGCACGTGGCAGGCTAAGAGTGACCAGCCTGAGGGGCCCAGGCTCTCACCTGGGAGACTGAGAAGCCGTGCTGGCACTCAGGAGGGACTTCCAGCTCCTAGTCGTGTGGGTTGCAGGCCGTCCTGTCCCAGGGCTGGGGGACTTCCTTCAGGCCCATTGCTGCCTGTGGAAGCTGGCCTGGTGTCTTGTGGGTGTGCTGCCTGGATGGTCCCTAGGTGGTGGCGAGGGTCACACGCTGTCTGGGCCAGGACTCGGTGACTTCCCTGGGTCGGCTGGTTCTGCTGGCCTTTCCTGGGGCTGGATCCCCAGGCCTGTGGCTCCTGAGGTTTGGGGGCAGGAGGGATGGAGCCACCACCCAGAGCCCCAGGCAGCACAGGGTGCTGTGTGGAGTGGAGGCCGGGTGGGCAGCAGCCGTGCTTGCAGCGCTGTGTGGAGTTGGGGGCCGGGTGGGCAGCAGCTGTGCTCGCAGTGCTGTGTGGAGTGGAGGCCGAGTGGGCAGCAGCCGTGCTCGCAGCGCTTAAGCAAGTAGAAAGTGACTCGCCTCTGCCTCCGTCTCCCCATGCCCCAGTGGGGCAGTGATGGGGGCTTGGCTGTGGCCTTATGATTGGACGACCGGGCTTGACCTTGTGAGGGCACTAGGGCACCTGTCCTCCGGGGGGGTGGTCCTGGGTGGGCTAGTGGCCCAGAAAGGGTCGGCAGCACTTGGAGTGGGAGCACCAAAGGTGTGGACACTGGCTGAGAGTTGTGTGTGTTCCTGTGGGGCTGGGCCAGGAGTGGGGGAGGGCTCCCTGAGACAAGCCCCCTCACCGCCAGCCTGGCTGCCGCCACCTGACCTTGGGAGGGAGCAGCGTGTGCCAGATGACCAGAGGGCTCCCAGCACTCCCACGGCCCAGCGGGGAGCATCTCTGGGGAGGGCGGTCATGAGGGGAGGCCTGGGGCAGCAGCAGAGGGTGGGGGACGTGGCCCTGGCATCTTGGCGAATCCTGCTCTGGAGACAGGGTGGGCACAGCTCTGTGGTCAGAGGCCTGGGGGCCACTGCTGGTGTTGTGCTGGGGCAGGGGATGGAGCAGGGGTGCCTCTGCCTCTTGGGTGTCACCTCCTCCCCTGGAGCACCTGAGGGCTGGCTGTGTGTCTCTCCAGTCCCGCAGCGTGGACAAGCAGCATGCCGTCATCAACTACGACCAGGACAGGGACGAGCACTGGGTGAAGGACCTGGGCAGCCTCAATGGGGTAAGTGTGAGAGGCCCTGGCCTGGCCTTTTAACAGCTCGACCCTTCAGCCCTGGCCCCTCCCTCTCAGTTCTGGCTCCTCCCCCAGTCATAGCCCCTCCCTCTCAGCCCTGGCCCCTCCCTCTCAGTTCTGCCTCCTCCCCCAGCCATAGCCCCTCCTTCTCAGCCCTGGCCCCTCCTTCTCAGCTCTGGCTCCTCCCCCAGCCCTGGCCCCTCCCTCTCAGCCCTGGCCCCTCCCCCAGCCCTGGCTCCTCTCCAAAATCTGGCCCCTCTCCCAGATCGGGCCCCATCCCCAACTACAGAGGCCCCCAGGCCTCCCCAGAAGGCTCCCCCTGGCAGGGTCTCAGGCCGCCAAGGATCAGGCTGCTCTCAGGGAGAGTGGACCCTGCAGATGGGAAGGGAAGCACTAGGCTGGGGAATGGGGCCCCTGAAATGGAAGGAGCTATGCTTGGGTACCCAGTCTGGGTATGGGTGGAGCCATGTGATCCTTTCTTCTGTAAGTTGGGGGTGGCAGGGGCAGGAAGGTAACCCGGAGGGAACCCCTGGCTGCAAGAGCAGGGTTGGGGGGTCAGGTGAAAGGAATGGGGTATGGGGTGGAAGCAGGCAGGAAGGCTGGAGGCCCCTCTCTGGGGGCGTGTGTCTGTCCCTGAGGTCCCTGTCTGGATGTCTCTGTCTGTTGCTGCGCTTGGCGGACTCCAGCTTGTCCTGGGACACTCTATCTTTACTGCACTCTGCAGTCCTGAGCTGGGGGGCCCTAGCAGCCCCTCAGCAGCCCCTCAAGGAGCTCCGGCCAGGGGGTCTCAGGCTGCTGGGGTCTGTCCTGAGCTCCCTCCTCCCGCAGCATGCCTGTCTGATGAAGCGGCTGTCCCTGAATGGCTGCACAGCAAGTGGCCGCTCCTCTGCCTGTGTGGACTGCGTCACCCACATGGGCTTTGAGAGGGTCCCCGGGGTTGTTGGCCTGGGTTGCATGGCACCGTCCCAGTCCGTGCTCCTGGGCCCTGCATGGTTGGCTACTTCTGAGGCCTGTGATGCCCACAGACCTGCCTCCCACCTGCCTGTGGGACTGGTGCATCAACACTCCTGCCAGTAGGCAGCCTGGAGGGGGGTATCAGACCCTCTGAGGCCTGACCCTTGGCCAAGGGCCACCACAGGGCAGGCCTGCCTCGACTGTTCCCAAGGGCTCATGGGGCCAAGGTGGGGGCTGGGGCCAGCACGAGGCTGTATGGGTGAGAGGAAGCATCTCTTGGAGTCCACTTCACAAAGATGCTCAAAGAGTTCTGTTCTGGAGGGTTCCATCATGGTCCCTGCAGTGCTGGGTGGGCCCCAGTGTCTGGGTGCCCCTGCCATGGCTGTGGAACTTGGGGCTGGTGCCTGGGACAGTGCTGCACAGGCCATCACTCGCCGTGGGTTCCAGAGAGTTGGTGCCCCCGCGGCCCTGCCCACTGCCACCCACCTGCTCAGCCCCACCACCCTGCGGCCCTGCCCACAGCCACCCACCCGCGCAGCTCCCCCCCCCCCCCCGCCACCTGTTTTCCTGCAGACGTTTGTGAATGACATGCGCATCCCGGACCAGAAGTACGTCACGCTGAAGCTCAACGATGTCATCCGCTTCGGCTACGATATCCTGCCCCTGAGCGTCCCTCCTCCTGGGCTTCTTCTCAGTCCCCAGGACCACAGTCACCCTGTTACTCCAGAAGCAGGGCTGTCACTGCTGGGGTTGCTGGGTAACAGAGCACCAAGGATGACCCTAGGGCTGGGCTCCACCTGCTGATGGAGCACCCCAAGGAATGCCAGTCCCTGCAGCCCGGCCCCCCGTGGACACCCTGGCCACGGGTACCTGCTGCTTGCCCACCCACCCAGCCTGAGGTCACATGGGGCCTGGGGAACTGGTGACCACTCCCTAGGACCCCGAGTCCTGGCCCGACCTTGGGACTGTCTGAGCACATGGGTGGGCATGGCTGTGCCTCCCCGGGAAGAAAGAGGCCCCTCCTCTGCCTGCCTCGATGGGCCCTTGAGCTGGCACACCTGTTGCTGGGCGTGGACTTCAGCGCTGGGCTCCTGGCTCTTCTGCTCTGTGTTCGCCTTAACACGTGTCCACATTCCAACATGTATGTGCTGGAGCGTGTGCAGCACCGAGTCCCGGAGGAGGCACTCAAGGTTAGTGCTGGCCAAGCCCGGGTGGCTCAGCCACGAGGGCTCAGCCCCCCATCCTCCCCACCATGCTCCCGCTGCCATCTCCCCAGCAAACACTCACCAGGCCTCTGGGGCGCCCTGTTCAGGCTGCGGGTGCCATGAGTCAGGCCAGCCTGTCCTGCCCTGCCAGATGGCCCAGTCCGGCAGGTGGGAAGGTAGTCATTACCCCCAGCCTGCTGCAGTGACAGGTGGCGGGGGCACCGGGACGCGGGTGCCACTGTTGTGGATGCAGCAGCATCCGGGCTCTGGGAGGGGCCTGGGAGGAGCCGGGCTGCATGGTCAGCCTGCTGGAGCTCCTGGGCTTTCGGAGCTGCATCGCTGGGCACTGGCGGATTTAGCTGTGGCTCACAGAACAAATGGCTCATTGGGTGAGCTGGGTGGCCAGAGCCCAGGAAGCTGCTGGGGTCACCCTGCAGGAGAGTGCAGCGGGGCTGAGGCGGGGGCCAGCAGCCTCCCTGGGAGCAGAGGGCCCCGTTCAGAGGGCCAGGAGGGTATAGAGCCCCTGAGCCCCCCAGCATCTTTTTGGGAGTGTCTCTCAGGTTAAGTAGCTTTGGGGTCTCATAAGGGGCTTTAGATTCTCTGACATTACAGTTATTTGGAGTCTTCGAAGCTGAAGGGATTAAGAGTCTCTAGACAGAGTGTTTAGGGTCTCTGAGGCTGGGGAATTTGGTCTCTCTGTGAGTGAGATATTTAGGGTTCCTTAGGCTCGGGGGATTTGAGGATCTACGTGTTAGAGGATTTGGCGTTCCTCTGGGTGAAGGGATTTGAGGTCTCTGAAGCTGAGGTGCTTTGGGGTCTCATGCCCAGGGGATTAAGTTCGCTCCAGGTTAACGGATTTGAGTCCTTCAAGGTGGCAGGATTTGGGGTCACTTCAGGCTGAGAGGATTTGTTGCTTCTTAGGGTGAGGGGATCTGAGGTCTCCTGGGCTGAAATCTGAAGGTCTTAGGCTGAGGGTTTATAAGGGTTTTACGCTGCACGACCAAGGCCCCCCGAGTTCCTGTCAGTCTCTCCGATCTCCTCCCGCACTGCCCGCCCTGGCCGGGTGCCCTCTCGGAGCCCCTCAGGAGGTAACAGCTGCCCCCAGCACATTGATGAGGCCGCCAGCAGGGGGTGGCCAGAGGCAGGAAGGAAGGGTGCTGGAGGCCGACGGTGGCAGCCTTCAGGGGTGGGCATCCTTGCGTGCCCTTTCCCCGGTGTGCTGGCGACACGCACAGCCGGGGCCCCTGTGGGGGGCGTGAGGGTCCTAGGTGGGAACGGCATCTCCTCGCCCTCACTTGTTCATGTGGGAGTTGTGGAGCACAGATTCAGGGCCCTGTTCAGAGCTCCCCGGGAGCCCTTTGGGGCCAGGGCGCTTAGCCCGTTCCTCGGATGATCTCCGAGCAGCCTGGGGTCCCCCAGCCTGCAAGGGGCAGGGCCTAAGGGAGTCAGGTTCTGTCTGATGGCACAAGCGGCCCTGCTGCCCATCCCAGGGCCCCCACTCTGATGATCGCAGCCTGCTCTGTCCTGCCCCACCCAAGCAGGCCCCTGCTTTCCCTGGAAGCTGCCCCTCCCCAGGCTTGAGCTGGACCCCGAGCCGTGTTACCTGGGCAGGCTGAGGCTCTGTCTGCTCTTTTGGGGAGCATTAGGGAGAGCTTGTGACATGCAAAGTCATAGCTGGGCCCTCTGGATGGAGAGGAGAGGCTGGGCCCACCCTGGTGGGTTCCTCCTGAGGCTGGGCCCAGTACCTCACCCCGCCTGGCCTGCCCACAGCATGAAAAGTACACCAGCCAGCTGCAGGTGAGCGTGAAGGGTTTGGCGCCCAAGAGGAGCGAGGCACTGCCGGAACACACACCATACTGCGAGGCCTCGAACCCCAGGCCGGAGAAGGGGGACCGGAGACCAGGAACAGGTAGGCCCAGGCAGTGCGGATGGGGTGAGCACACAGGGCCACTGCCAGGCCCTCTGCCCCGCACCTGCCTCTCTGCACCCCTTAACCCTCTGCATGCATATACCATGTACACCCATACCCCTCACCCTTTGCACACACCTACCCTTGCACATGCACACCCCTCACCCATTGTGCACACCTACCCTTGCACACCCACATTCCTCACCCATTGCACACACCTACCCGTGCATGCCTGCACCCCTCACTTCTGTACACACCTACCCATGCATGCCTGCATCTTCGTTATACACACCCTACTCATGCACACCCACACCACTCACCCCTGTGCACACCTACCCATACATGCCCATAGCTCTCACTGCTGTGCACAGACCTATCATGCACACCCATACTGCTCACCCCTGTGCACTCACACCCCCACCCCTGTACACACATCTACCTGTGCACACCCACATCCCTCACCTCTTACCCCACACACACAGCTACCCATGCACACCCACACTGCTCACCCCTGTGCACACCTACCTGTGCACGCCTGCACCCCTTGAGCCCACAGTTCTTGTGGGGTTGGTGGGCCACCAGCTGGGCACCCTCTGTCCCCAGTGGTGAGAGGCAGGTGATGGGGGGGTGAGGCTATGCTCCCTAGTATCAGGCATTTGGACTGGATTCTGCAGACCGAGCCAGCAGGGCTCAGGGGTTGGTGGTTTCTGATGAAACCTGATTTGCGCCTTTGGCAGTCAGTGCAGCGGGTAGGCAGAAGTCTGGGAGGAGGACAGCTGCACGAGGGTCCGCGTGGGTCCGGTGGGCACAAAGGGAAGGGAAGGAGCGAGAGTGAGAAAGTGCCTGGTGGGGTGTGGAGGGGTCGGGGTGGGGTATCCAAGCCTGAGGCCCCAGACTTGAGTTCTGGTTAGACAGGGGTGTATCCGGGGATCAGGCTCTCGGCTCCCACCTCGGTCCAGGAGGGGTCACCCTGCCACCCCCAGCTTTGGCCCCATGTCTGCTGTGTTCTGCTGTCAGCCCACACATCTGTGTTGTACAGCCGCAGCTGCCGGTGTCTGGTTGGGATGCAGGTCCGCCCAGAATGGAAGACCGCTGGGGACTGGGAAGCTTTCCAGAAAGCCATCTGAGCTCCCCAGAGCACCTGTCAGTGTCCAGACTGTGAAACACATGCAGCTGGTGACAGCCAGTGTGGGGCTGTCCCGGAGGTCATGACAGGTGCAGCCAGCTGGGCAGCCTGGCTCCTTGGCTCCGTTAGAGCGAGGGCAGCACATTGTGGGGACCAAGGAGGAGTTCAGGGCCGGCAGCAGATGGGGACTGCCTGGTAGCAGATGCCCCTGCCTCAGCAGCCCCTGGGTGTGTCCCTGGGTCAAGAGGGAGTCCCCAGGGAGGGGTAAGGCGTGTGTGACACATCTCAGGGGCCCTGCATCCCCAGCGCAGTGTGCACATGGTTCCCTATGGGTAACTGGCCCCAGCGCAGTGTGCACATGGTTCCTGACGGGTGACTGGCCCCAGACCCTCTGGCCCCCCAGCAGTGTAAGCAGCTGGGGGCCATGACGCAGAGGCCCCCTGGGCTTCCGCAAGGATGGAAAGAGCTTGGGTGGAGGGCCCAGGAAGGAGACTGTGGGCATGAGGGCCAGCGCCCTGACCTGAGGGCACTGGACACTGCTTCTGTTCACTGCTGCCATCAGGAAGGGCTGGGCTGCCGGCTTCTCAGAGGGAGTCAGGAGTGAGATTCTATCTGAAATATACAATTTCCCTCCTGGTCATTAAGGCAAACAAACTAAAATGCCGCAGGGACCATGTAGATTGCAGTGGCTGCCCACCCCCAGGGCCACCCATTTGTGGCCTGAACCATTTACCAGCCTTGGAGGTGGCTGGACCCAGGTGTGGGCTCCCCCTGGCCTCCTGCCCTCTGTTGGATGCGCTCTGGGGTCGGGAAGGCCGGGGCAGGGTTGCAGGACGGAGGTGGGGGGCCCCCACCATGCCCCAGGGGATGAGCCTCTGAGTACATCAGAGGGGAGAGAGGAGGGGCCAGGCAGGGAGGAGGGGCCAGGCAGGCAGGGAGCCTCTAAGCACTTGTGGGAGGAGGTGGGGCCAGGCAGGGAGGGGCCAGTGAGCCACCTCGGAACTCAAGGTAGTCAACATTCCCCACAGAGGCGGGGCCCTGGGCTGCCACAGGGCCAAGCTGGGAGGTGATGCCAGGGCCTGCCCCAGAGTCCAGCCTCTCCTGGGCTGCCAGTTCTCTGCTTTTCACACTGGGGGCCCCAGCAACACAGGGTCTGACCTCTCGCTCCCTCCACAGAGGCAGCCTCTTACCGCACACCCCTGTATGGGCAGCCCTCCTGGTGGGGTGAGGACGATGGTAGCACGCTGCCTGACGCCCAGCGCCAGGGAGAGCCCTACCCAGGTTGGTCTTGGGGCCAGGCTGGTGAGACCCTGAGGGCTCCCAGAGGGTGGTGTGTGAAGGGGATGGCCTGGGCTTGAGGAGCCCACTCCGGGGGACATGGGGCCTGTCTCCCCCTCTTGGGTGGAGTGGATGGTCCTGGCTGAGGAGGGTGGTGGCAGGTGGTTACCCTGAGGCCCGGTCTGAAGACATCTTCCCACACCAGAGCGCCCCAAGGGACCAGTGCAGCAGGACGGGGAGCTCCACGGCTTCCGCGCCCCTGCTGAGCCTCAGGGCTGCTCGTTCCGGCGGGAGCCCAGCTACTTCGAGATCCCCACGAAGGAGACCCCGCAGCCGTCGCAGCCCCCCGAGGTGCCGGCACACGAGATGCCCACGAAGGATGCAGAGGCAGGTGGGGGCGGAGCGGCCCCTGTGGTGCAGAGCCACGCCTCCTTCACCATCGAGTTTGATGACTGCAGCCCTGGCAAGATGAAGATCAAGGACCATATCACCAAGTTTTCCCTGCGCCAGCGGCGGCCCCCGGGCAAGGAGGCCACACCTGGCGAGATGGTGTCGGCTGAGACCAAGGTGGCCGACTGGCTGGTGCAGAATGACCCGAGCCTGCTGCACCGGGTTGGCCCTGGGGATGACCGCCACAGCACCAAGAGCGACCTGCCTGTCCACACCCGCACCCTGAAGGGTGAGTGCCCAGCTGGCGGCCGTGCCAGTCCCGGGACAGGCAGGGGACCGGACTTTGGCTGGGTCTGCACTGTTGCCATGCAGAGGGGCCCATTCAGCTGGGTTGACTTCCCATTTTTCAGTTAATTGCCTAAGAGCCACCTGCCTGGTCAGGAGTCCGGTCCTGCGTCTTCCCGTTGCACTTCTTTGCCCTGTGTGGGGGGGCCCTGAGGGCTGGGGTGCTTTGTCAACTCAGCTAAGGCATGGGGTGATGAGGCTGCCTGAGATCGACAGCTGTTTCCTTTCTCTCGGCCTGACAAGGTGGGGTCCCCTGTCTCCCCCAGGCCACAAGCACGAGGACGGCACGCAGAGTGACTCAGAGGACCCCCTGGCCAAGGCGGCCTCGGCCGCTGGGGTGCCCTTGGAGGCCAGCGGGGAGCAGGTGCGGCTGCAGAGGCAGATCAAGCGGGACCCCCAGGAGCTACTACATAACCAGCAGGCCTTTGTCATCGAGTTCTTCGACGAGGACACACCCCGAAAGAAGCGCTCCCAGTCCTTCACGCACAGCCCGTCCGGGGACCCCAAGGCCGACAAGCGCCGTGGCCCAACGCCGGCCGATAGGGACCGCCCCAGTGTCCCAGCCCCAGTCCAGGCAGGGGGCCGCAGCTCGGGGCCACAGAGGGCCGGCTCGCTCAAGCGGGAGAAGACAGAGGAACGGCTGGGCAGCCCCTCGCCCGCCTCCCGAACCCCTGCCCGCCCCTTCGGAAGCGTGGGGCGCCGCTCCCGCCTGGCCCAGGACTTCATGGCCCAGTGTCTGCGGGAGAGCTCCCCGGCCGCCCGGCCCAGCCCCGAGAAGGTTCCTCCGGTGCTGCCCGCTCCCCTGACACCCCATGGGACCAGCCCCGTGGGCCCCCCGACCCCACCGCCCGCCCCCACGGACCCCCAGCTGACCAAGGCACGGAAACAGGAGGAGGACGACAGCCTCAGTGACGCAGGGACATACACCATCGAGACCGAGGCGCAGGACACGGAGGTGGAGGAGGCCCGGAAGATGATCGACCAGGTGCAGCCCAGCGGCGAGTGAGAGCCCTCGTGGGGAACGGGGGGGTGGAGGCGATGCCGGGGGTGGCGAGTGAGAGCCCTCGTGGGGAACGGGGGGTGGAGGCGATGCCGGGGGTGGCGAGTGAGAGCCCTCGTGGGGAACGGGGGGTGGAGGTGATGCCGGGGGTGGCGAGTGAGAGCCCTCGTGGGGAACCGGGGGTGGAGGTGATGCCGGGGGTGGCGAGTGAGAGCCCTCGTGGGGAACGGGGGGGTGGAGGTGATGCCGGGGGTGGCGAGTGAGAGCCCTCGTGGGGAACGGGGGGGTGGAGGTGATGCCGGGGGTGGCGAGTGAGAGCCCTCGTGGGGAACGGGGGGTGGAGGTGATGCCGGGGGTGGCGAGTGAGAGCACTCGTGGGGAACGGGGGGTGGAGGCGATGCCGGGGGTGGCGAGTGAGAGCCCTCGTGGGGAATCGGGGGTGGAGGCGATGCCGGGGGTGGCGAGTGAGAGTACTCGTGGGGAACGGGGGGTGGAGGCGATGCCGGGGGTGGAGGTGGGCGGACGTTGTCCTGCTCCGGCCCAGCCCTGGCTCCTGCCTCTGGCCCAGCTGGGCAGGAGGGAGCCTGGTATGCTGCCCACAGCCCCGCCCCTCCCCTTCCCAGGGCTGGGTCCGTATCCCATCCGCATGTCCTGCTGACAGCCAGGCTGCATGTCCCGGCCACCAGCCACTCTGGCCAACCAGGTCCCTGCTCTCCCTGTGGCCTGGGGGTGGCCAGTGTCAGTGGAGGGTTGGGAGGTGGGCTTCTCTGACCCTCGGTGCCTGGGACCATTTCCTCTTGGCAGGTCTTTGGGGTGTTGGAGTCCCCTGAACTCTCCAGGGCATCTTCGGCCACCTTTCGCCCAGTCATCAGAGGGGACAGAGATGAGTCTGATGACGGGGGCGTGGCCCAGCGGATGGCGCTACTGCAGGAGTTTGCCTCCCGGCCACTGGGTGCGGCCCCCCAGGCGGAGCACCAGGTACAGGCACAGACGGCCACCCCAAGGAGGGGCTGGGCAGGAAGAGGGCAGCATCCAAGCCGGACCTGGGGTCAGCGGGCCCCCCATGGGGCGAGACTGGACTTTCCTCTGAGGGACACGCTCAGAGGAGGGTGGGCTGGGGCTTCCATGAGGAGGGATCGGGGCCAGGTGTCAGGCCCACTGTTGATTTGAGGTCCTGGGCAAAACGGGCTCTGAGGTCAGGACAGGGCCACGGCTGCTCTGCCAACCTGGAACTGAGTTCTGTGAGGCTGCCTGGGCTGGGCAGGCAGGGGGTCGCGTTGGAGCAAGTCCAGGCGAGGCAACTGGGATCCCTGGCTGCCTTTGCAGGGGCACGCTTGCTCATGCGGCAGGCCCTGGGTGGCGCGCATGCGTGGGGCTGGTGTTGGCTGCTCTGGACGCCCCTCCTGTTCCCTGGCACCCCCTGCTTCTCGCCGTTGGGCTTGCGTGTGGAAACACTCCCACCCTCCTCTCCACAGGGCCTCCCGGTGCCGGGCTCCCCTGGGGGTCAGAAGTGGGTGTCCCGCTGGGCCAGCCTGGCTGACAGCTACTCAGACCCGGGCCTCACAGGTAAGTGGCTCCAGTGCTGCGGGGGAGTCGGGCCAGGCCGGGGCGGGCCTCAGGCCACTGACCACGGACACAGGCTGCCTCTTCCTGAGCGTGGAGGGCCTGCAGACCAGCGGCCCTCTAACCGGCTGCCTTTGTGCTCCACAGAGGATGGCCTGGGACGTAGAGGCGGGGAGCCGGAGGGGTCCCTGCCTGTGCGCATGCGGCGACGGCTCCCTCAGCTGCCCAGTGAGAGGGCTGACAGCCCTGCGGGCCCAGAGAGCAGCAGGAGGAGTGGGCCTGGGCCACCGGAGCTGGACAGTGAGCAGCCCAGCCGCCTCTTCGGCCAGGAGGAGTTGGATCCTGACAGCCTCAGCGATGCCAGTGGGTCGGACGGGGGCCGAGGCCCCGAGCCAGGGGTGGAGCCACAGGACAGCAGACGCAGGAGCCCCCAGGAGGGGCCCACGTGGAGCAGGGGTCGGCGCTCACCAAGGGCCCCCGGGGAGCCAACTCCCGCCTCTTTCTTCATTGGGGACCAGAATGGGGACGCTGTGTTATCTAGGAAACCGCTTGCGGCTCCAGGGGATGGGGAGGGCCTAGGGCAGACAGCCCAGCCCAGCCCCCCAGCACGGGATGGCGTCTATGTCAGTGCCAATGGGAGAATGGTCATCCAGCTACGGCCTGGACGGTCCCCAGAACCCGACGGCCCTGCCCCAGCCTTTCTCCGGCAAGAGAGCTTCACTAAGGAGCCAGCCAGTGGTCCCCCAGCGCCCGGCAAGCCCCCCCACATCTCCAGCCACCCGCTTCTACAGGACCTGGCCGCTACCCGGGCCGCACGCATGGACTTCCACTCCCAGGACACCCACCTGATCTTGAAGGAGACGGAGACGGCCCTGGCGGCCCTGGAGGCCCGACTCCTCTCTAATTCTGTGGATGCCGAGTGTGAGGGGGGCAGCACCCCGAGGCCGCCGGAGGACGCCCTGTCTGGGGACTCGGACGTGGACACAGCCAGCACCGTCAGCCTGCGTAGTGGCAAGAGCGGGCCCAGCCCCACAACCCCCCAGCCTCTGCGGGCACAGAAGGAGATGTCGCCATCCCCGCCAGCTGCACAGGACCCGGGAGGCACCGCCCTGGTCAGTGCCCGTGAGCAGTCCTCAGAGAGGCAGCATCACCCACTTGGCCCGACGGACATGGGCCGTGGAGAGCCGGTACGGCGCTCAGCCATAAGGCGTGGCCACAGGCCCCGAGGGTCCCTGGATTGGCCCAGTGAGGAGCGTGGCCCTGTCCTCGCCCACCTACCCAGCTCAGATGTGATGGCCTCCAACCACGAAACCCCTGAGGCCACCGGGGCAGGACGGCTAGGTTCTCGCCGGAAACCAGCGGCCCCACCGCCATCCCCAGCTGCCCGGGAGGAGCAGAGCCGTAGCTCAGCCAGCTCCCAGAAGGGGCCGCAGGCCTTGACCCGCTCCAACAGCCTGTCCACCCCTCGCCCCACACGGGCCTCCCGGCTGAGGCGGGCCCGGCTGGGGGACGCTTCAGACACTGAGGCTGCGGATGGTGAGCGGGGGTCCCTGGGCAACCCTGAGCCCGTGGGCCGGCCAGCTGCTGAGCAGGCCAAGAAGCTGTCACGCCTGGACATCCTGGCCATGCCCCGGAAGCGGGCCGGCTCCTTCACAGGGACTAGTGACCCCGAGGCAGCCCCTGCCCGCACCAGCTTCTCTGGCCGCAGTGTGGAGTTGTGCTGTGCCAGCCGCAAGCCCACCATGGCCGAAGCACGGGCTGTCTCCAGGAAGGCTGCCAACACAGCCACCACCACGGGTCCCCGCCAGCCCTTCAGCAGGGCCCGCTCAGGCAGTGCCCGATACACCTCCAGTGAGTGCCAGGGCGGGTGGGAGGCCAGGGCCAAGACAGGGCTGCCAGTGGGTCTGCAGCATCTTGGATGCCAGCTGAGTGCTGGCCGTGGGCCCCTGGTCCTGGCACGAGAGGAGCCTCTGTTCCCAAAGCTGGGGTAGATGTGTTGCTGGACTCACGTGCACACACACACGTGCATGGGCCGAGGGCAGGGCCCGCAGTCCCCTGGTGTGGGTAGAACACCCTGACCATCTCTGGCGTGGAGAGGGCCTTCCATCCCCCAGGGTGTGCCTCAGGGCCCCGAAGCCCAGGCTGGCCCTCCCCACTCTTCCTGTACTCCTGGCTCAGGCCCCTGGTGCCTTTGGGTCCCCACGCCATCTGCCCATGGGCCTGAGGCCCTAGGCCTGGGGAGGGCTGTCCCATGGATCTCTGCCGCAGTACTGTGGCTCAGTGAAGGGTGCCAAGTACACCTGTGCCCTCCGCTGGTAGCTGCTCTAACACCCTTCTGAGCCCGCAGGCCCCATGACCAGGGAGGGAGGGAGGGCTGTGAGCAGAGTCCTGCCCTGCCCCCCAGATGTCCATGGGCACAGCAAGCGGGGATGGTCCTCTGTGGCCACCAGAGCTGGCCTCCTACCTGGGGTGGCCGGACATCCGCGTCTGCAGAGCGGGGCCCACCCCGCCCGCCGAGGCAGCTGAGCTGTCCTGCGAGTGGATTGGTTTGAGGTCAAGGTGCTGCTGCTACTGCCTTCTGCCCTGTGCACCCACCTACCCACCCACGATCCCAGTGGAGCCTCTTTCCTGACTCCCAGCATCCTCCCACAGCCCCACCCCAACTGCTGGCTGCACTGGGCAGGCCTTGCGTATGGCTGGAGGCTGAGGCAGGGTTCGCTGGAGGAAGGGGTGGGGCGGGGCCGAGGGTCACCCCTGCTTGGTGGAGCCTGCTGTCCCTACCCGACGTGGTGCACTGGTGGTGTTTGACCCAAGCATGCGGCTCGCCATCATGCCCCGCTACAGTGCAGGAGCGCAGCTGCTGCCAGGCTTAGAGCAGGGGCTGGTGAGGAGGCCAGGACTCTGCCCAGGAGGGCGGAACCTGAAGCTTTGGGTCTGACAAACTCAAGCAGGCAGCAGGGAGGGACTGCAGTGGCCTTGCTTGCGCTCTGACTGGTCCTTGCCTGTCTGTGTGGTCCAGCCTGGGCCGCAGCAGGTCCTGGTGGGGAGGTTTACTCTGTTTTGGGGTCTGTCAGGCACTGCTTTCCCACCACCTGTAAGGGGGTTTCCCACCTAATCAGCTGCAGACTGCTCCCGGGTTGCAGCCACTGGCCTGGGAGCACCAGGCCGCCTTCCCCGCATGTGCCCTGGGCTGGTGGGGGCCTTGTGGTCCCTGGAGCTCAGCAGCTGTTGATGTTTCAATGAAGGGCTACTGGGTGGGGGCACCAGCCTCGACGCTGCCCAGCCCTGCAGCACTGAGCCCTCTCCCAGAGGGACCCTGGGACTGCCACAGGGTGCTGAGTGCTGCTTTGTTCTGTTCTTGCTTCTAAAACCAATTCACTCACCAAGACACGAGGCGCCGGCAGCAGGGCTCGGATTACACGTCCACCTCTGAGGAGGAGTACGGCTCCCGCCACGGCTCCCCCAAACACACACGCTCCCACACCTCAACAGCCACTCAGACCCCGAGGGCTGGCAGCTCCAGCCGGGCTCGTTCCCGGGCCCCCGGCCCCCGGGACACGGACGACGATGAGGAGGAGCCTGACCCTTATGGTTTCATCGTGCAGACGGCAGAGATTGCGGAGATTGCCAGGTGAGTAGCCCATTCAGAGTAAATCCACTGGGTGCCAGTGCGTTTTCTTGAGTGAGAGCACCCTGAGGGCAGGGACCAGGCTGGGAGCTCCCTTCTTGAGTGGATAGATGGTACGGCAGATGGCTGGCTGGCTGGATGGATGGACAAATGGATGGATGGATGGATGGATGGATGGATGGATGGATGGATGGATGAATGGATGGATGGATAGGAGGGTGGGTGGGTGGATGGATGGATAGGAGGGTGGGTGGGTGGGTGGATGGATGGATGGATGGGCAGGTGGGCAGGTAGATGGATAGGTTGCTGGGTGGGTGGATGGGTGGATGGCTGGGTGGGTAGGTGGGTGGGTGGGTGGATGGATGGATGGATGGGAGGGTGGGTGGGTGGATGGATGGATGGATGCATGGATGGATGGATGGATGGATGGATGGGTGGGTAGGTGGGTGGGTGGGTGGATGGATGGATGGATGGATGAATAGGAGGGTGGGTGGGTGGATGGATGGATGGATGGATGAATGGATGAGTGAGTGGGTGGATGGATGGATGGGTGAGTGGGTGGGTGGGTGGATGGATGGATGGATGAGTGTGTGGATGGATGGATGGATGAGTGGGTGGGTGGATGGATGGATGAGTGGATGGATGGATGGATGGATGGATGGATGAATGGATGAGTGAGTGGGTGGATGGGTGAGTGGGTGGGTGGATGGATGGATGGATGGATGAATGAGTGGGTTGGTGGATGGATGGATGAGTGGGTGGGTAGATGGATGGATGAATGGATGGATGGGTGAGTAGGTGGGTGGGTGGGTGGATGGATGGATGGATGGATGGGTGAGTGAGTGGGTGGATGGATGGAAGGATGGATGAGTGGGTGGGTGGATGGATGGATGGATGAATGGATGAGTGAGTGGGTGGATGGATGGATGGGTGAGTGGGTGGGTGGATGGATGGATGGATGAGTGGTGGGTGGATGGATGGATGGATGAATGGATGAGTGAGTGGGTGGATGGATGGATGAGTGGGTAGATGGATGGATGGATGGATGGATGAGTGGGTGGGTGGATGGATGGATGGATGGATGAATGGATGAATGAGTGGGTGGGTGGGTGGATGGATGAATGGATGAGTGGGTGGGTGGATGGAGGGATGGATGGATGGATGGATGGATGAGTGGGTGGATGGATGGGTGGGTGGGTGGATGGATGGGTGGGTGGGTGTGTGGATGGATGGGTGGGTGGGTGTGGATGGATGGATGAGTGGGTGGGTGGATGGATGGATGGATGGATGGATGAGTGGGTGGGTGGATGGATGGATGGATGGATGGAGAGTGAGTGGGTGGATGGAGGGGTGGGTGGATGCAGATCTTCCCAGGAGGTGAGACCGCCAGTACAAGGAGGGCCTCCTCAAAGGTTTTCATTAGAAATGAACTCCCTCACATGGTCATTCAGTAACAGGGCCCTCTCCAGGCCAGGCGCTGGGGAGGATGGGGTAGGGAGTTGGGTGGGAGTGAGAGTGGTCTTTGCCAAGCAGTGGTCAGTACTGCAAAGGCAGTCCCTGAAAGGCTGTGGGGCAGGCAGGGGGGGTCCCAGGACCAGGGTGGATGGCAAGTGTTTGTTGTGGAGGATGCTGAGCTTGAAGCCCATGAGGGACCTGGAAGGAGGTGGCCAGGAGCAGGCGGCCCTTAGAGAGTGGCCCACACTGGGGTGGAGGCGCAGGCACCTGAGGCTGTGAGCAGCATGAAGTTGGTGGGGAGGACCTGGGGGGCTTGGAAGGATGGGGACTGGGGACAGGGCTCTTGGGATGCTTGAGGTATTGGGGGAGCATAGGGAAGAAGGCTGCCATCAGCGGAGGAGGCTAGCACAGGGCTAGGGCTCTGGACAGAGACACTGCACCTGGCTGAGAAGGGGGTGGGTGCTTCCAGGCCTGAGAGCAGAAGGGGATGTGGGGGGCCCATGTGGGTTTCTGGAGTTCTCTGCCTTCCATGGTGGGTGAGCTGGAGCATGCCATATGACGGGGGCAGGAGGCCAGGGAGTGCTGGGCGGGGGCCTGAGGGCCAGGGGCATGTGCCAGTTGGTGTCACCCAGAGGTGGAGGGAGGGCTTCCATGTTTTGTCTTGATGTGGAATGGTGGACCCAGCTAGGACCCAGTCCTGAATGGGGCCAGGGCAGCCAGTGGGATGTGCAAGGCCATCTGGGCAGAGGGTGCTGGGGGTGTTTCTCTGGTCGTGCCAGTGTCTGGCGAGGGTTGTGGTGCCGCTGGAGGTAGGGGTAGGGGGAGGGCCCTCAGGGTGGTCTGTTCCTTGGGTGACTGCCAGTGTGGGGGCCGAGGAGGCTTGGGGTGGGGCCTGTCCCCATGAGGATGGGTGGTTGGCAGTGACAGGGAGCCTAGGTCCCCACGGCCTGGGCTGAAGGCCTAAGTGGGGCAGGACCTGCTGGTGGCCCAGGTGCTTAAGGGGCCAGCAGGACAGCTGACGAGGCTGTGCGCTCCAGCAGAGGGCTGGGAGCTGCTCACGGGCCCGGCAGGCCCCTGTCCTCGCTGGGAAGTGTCTGTTACCTCGGCAGGGTGGAGGCCTGTGCCCCCTGGGCACATCCTAGGGGGACTGAGCTGGCCAGGCTTGAGCAGGGGGCTAGGCTGAGCTGCCATTGGCCTCACTGGCCTGCAAGGGGTCCCCTCCCTCTCTGGATCTGCCCAGCCCCACCCTCTGCCCAGCCCCACCCTCTGCCCAGCCCCCACCCTCAGTGTGAGGAGTGCCAGGCTGTAGTTTCTGTGGCCTCAGCCCACTCCCTTCCTTGCCTCAGTTTCTCTGCCTGCAGAGCTGGGCACCCGTGGCACCCACACGTTCTATGACTGAGTCCCATCCATCCCATTTGGGCCCCGCAGCTGTGATGCTGGCCCTGGGGGGCCGGAGAGAGAGGAGGTGTGGCCTGCCCCAGAGCCAGCAAGGGTTTCTGTGCACCCTTCTTTTCAGGCTCCGTCCCAGCCCCCCACCATCCCTCCTTGTGGCTGTGGGGAGTTTGGCCTCCCTTTGGGGCCGTGGCCAGTGCCTGTGTAACCAGTGGCTAGGCCGGTGTTTGGGGCCAGGCTGGGGAGCACCTCCCCCAGGCCCCACCTCTGGCCAGCAGCTGCCTGGGAGCTGGGAGGGGCTTTGAGGCCTGTCTGGCCCCTGCTGCCCCGACTTCCTCTGTGCAGAACCTGCCGTCTTTCCTGCCGGCTGCAGGCTGAGCCAGACGCTGGTGAAGGACGTGGCCATCCTAGCCCAGGAGATCCACGATGTGGCTGGGGACGGTGACACACTGGGCTCCTCGGAGCCTGCCCACAGCGCCTCCCTCAGCAACATGCCCAGCACCCCCGCCTCGACCATCTCTGCCCGGGAGGAGGTGAGCCCCAGGCTTTCTGAGGCCCCTGTGCCAGAGCCACCCTCGAGGAGGGTCAGGCCAGGTCCCCACAGCCCTTTGCATGCCTCGGCTGAGGCCCTGCTGCACATCCCCACTTGGCGAGCTGGAACATGTCCCCCTGGGTCAGCGCCCCAAACGGCCACCGGAGAGCTCGAGGTCTGGGGCGCTCGTGGCACCTGAGTCAAGCCTGACTGTGCCGTCATCCCCAGCCCAGCTGCCTCCATGGCGGGGCAGGGGCACAGGAGGGACCTTGCACAGACGGAAGGTGGGTGTGCTCTGTCCACCTGCCGGGCCGGAGCAGGGAGGTGCAGCCACAGCCTGGCAGGAGCCTCTGCCTGGGGCCCACGGTGCCGGCCCTCCCTCTTGCAGCTGGTGCAGCGCATCCCCGAGGCCAGCCTCAACTTCCAGAAGGTGCCGCCCGGCTCGCTGAACTCTCGGGACTTTGACCAGAACATGAACGACAGCTGTGAGGACGCCCTGGCCAACAAGACGCGGCCTCGGAACCGAGAGGAGGCACGGTGCCCACTACCGCCACGGAGCTGGGTGTGGGGGGAGCAGGGGCGGGGCTCCTCGAGGGCGGGGCCATGCTGAGGCCGGGCTCTTGCAGGTGATCTTCGATAACCTGATGCTGAACCCGGTGTCCCAGCTGTCGCAGGCCATCCGTGAGAACACAGAGCACCTTGCCGAGAAGATGAAGTGAGTCGGCTTCCTGGCTGAGGTGGACGCCCAGACACCAGCACAGCTGCATGAGCTGAGACTCAGCCTGGCTGAATCCCTCAAGGGCAGCGGTTTCATGGGTACTCGTGTGCACCTGTGGAGCAGCCCTCCCGTGTGCACGTGTATGTGGCTCCCAGCAGGCAGACCCTGAACTCAGAGGAGCCAGCGCCTCCAGGGCGGCCCTTCCTCCCCTTCTCCCCTAGCCCTCATCCCGGGCCCAGCCCTCCCCACCGCCGAGTGTCAGGCACAGATGGGACTTTGGTGCCCTTCATGCATCAGGCCTCAGTTTCCCCCTTAGGCCCAGGTGGGCTGGGATGAACTTCACCATGGCAGAGGAGGTCTGGGAGAATTGTGCCTCAGCTCTGTCATCTCTGTCCTTGTCCCCCCATTTCTGCCTCCCCCTACCTCGGACAGGATCCTCTTTCAGAACACAGGGAGAGCTTGGGAGGACCTGGAAGCCAGGATCAACGCCGAGAACGAGGTGCCCATCCTGAAGACATCTAACAAGGTGAGCGCTGGGGCCCCGTGCCCCTTGGCCTGCCCCCAGCCAGCCTGCCTTTGCCTGGCTGGCCCCAAACCTTGTCCCAGCTCCTGCACACAGAGCCCCGGGGCAGGGCTGCAGCCCGTCAGAAGTTGACTCCACCTCCCTTCCTGCCACGTTTCCAGGAAATCAGCTCCATCCTGAAGGAACTGAGGCGGGTGCAGAAACAGCTGGAAGGTGAGTGTGGCCCAAGCCTGGGGCAGCAAGGGAGGCTGGCAGGGCCTTGTGGGGAACCCTGACTCACAGGGTGGGAGCAGGTGAACTGGATCCGCAGCCTGACCCTCCCTCCCCACCTCCAGTTATCAATGCCATCGTGGACCCCAGTGGGAGCCTGGACCTGCTCACAGGAAACAGGAGCTTGGCCAGCTCTGCACAGCCGGGGCTGGGGAAGGGCCGCGTGGCTGCCCAGAGCCCACCCTCACCCGCCTCAGCCGAGGCCCTGCTGCCAGCCCTGCCCCTGAGGAATTTCCCACAGCGGGCCAGCTGTGGGCCTCCCAGCCTCCCGGACCCCACCTTCCTCCCTGATGCCGAGAGGTTCCTGATCTAGGCCCCAGACCTGGCCAGGCCAGCCTCCCTGTGCGTGTGCGTCTCTGCCTTCCGTCCGCCGCACACCCGCCTGCCTGGCCGCAGGTGGTTCTCCCTGAAGACCCCCACATGTGCCATATCCCTGTGGGCGGGTGCCTCCCACGCCCTTGCCCCCTCGTCAGCTCCCAGCCAGCACCCTACTCACCCTGTCCAGCCCCATGGCCACCCCCACCCCTGCCTCGCCCCCTACAGGCCTCTGGGCCCAGCTCCTGGCCAGGCTGCTGCCAAGGTCAAGCCCTCAAGGGCATTACCCCGCCTCCTCTTCATCACTGTTATTTTTGTCTTTAGCTTTAAAGGAAAGAGTTGTTGGTGCCATTGCAGGTGCCCCCTCCAGGCCTGACTGGCTCCGCCAGGCACTAACCTGCCATAACCCTTTGTGCTGGCCTGCGGCCAGGCAGAGGAAGAGAGGTCGACTGTGGGGTCATTTGGTGCCAAACATGGAGGTGGGCAGGCTCACCTGTTCCTGGGACTGTCTGAGATGGCAGGGCACTTGCCCTGGTGGCTCCCACCTGACCCCAGGCCTTTTATAGGCAGGAGCCCCACTGCTTCCAGCCTCTGGTGCCAACACAGTTGCCAAACCCATTGAGCTTGGGGCTGCCCTGTGGAGGCCTCCTGGGTATGGACCAGGGGCTTGTTGAGAGCTGAGCCATGCACACAGGTGCAGACACCCCCCAACTCCCATGCACACGGCTAGTCCAGGCGCCTCCACGCTGCACCGTGAGGACTGCAGGGCATGTCCCCGTGAGGGGCTATGGGCCTCTGTAGGTGGGCTTCCAAGGTCCTGGGTGCAGCCGGGTGCATGGCAGCCCTTCTGGCGGGGGTGAGCGCACGACCAAAGTCACTGGAAGCCGGGTTTCCGGAAGCTCGCAGCTTGGCCTGCACCACACGCCCTCCCCTTTTGGCTTCACGCCATCAGGCCTCAAGTGGGCATGGGGGCAGGGACGGGCCCAGGAACTGTTGTTTTCTCAGGATTCTTTCAGCTGGGAACATGGCAGGTGAGCAGAGCTTGGTGCCTCTGCCGTGGCCCCTGCTGGGGCAGCCCGTGTTGCCGGAGCCTCTAAGCCAAAGAGCCCGTTGGCCGTGGTTGGTGGGGGTGGACGTGGGGGTGTCCCACCTGGACCAGACTGGCGTGGGTGAGCTCCACACCCTGCCTGGCAATGGTATGAGAGTCGGACCTGGACAGGGCCAGCTGCTGGGGGAGCGGCACTGGGGACTGGAGGCTGGAAGCGGGTGGTGTGTGTCCCCTGTTTACTTTTAGCTGAGCTGGGGTTGGGTGTACGGGTTCTGTTCCTCTGAGCCTGCGGCCCACCTGATGTTTACGTGTGTGTGTGAGGGGGGGCGGGGGTGGCAGGTGTCCCCCCCTGGTCCCCGCCCCAAGAGCCTGCTGTCTGTATGGAGGAGGTGCTAGCCCGGTCCACCGGGCTGCTGCCCACCCCTGCATGCCCCAGTTGCCCACCCCGCCTGCCCCTGGACATGAAGTGGTCACGCTTCATCCACGGCTCCTTCCCACCCCTCGGCAGTGGCTGTGCAATGTTTTAAGTTCACAAGTTCCTGCTCCTCCCCACACTGAGCTCCTTTGTTCCTCCCCCTCCAGCCTTTGCCTGGGAACTGGTCCTTGTTTGCCGGGCTTCTCGGAGGGTTCACTGTACATTCGTTCTCAGGTGGTCTTGTGGCTGTCTTTCGGAAAATGGTTATTTTATATGATTTGTCATGGAATTTGTTCTAATAAATCATTCTTCTATCACATGGCAGCACGCTGGAGCCTGTCACCTTGGCCTTGTTTCTCTATCCTTGGTGTTTGGGGTGGGTGGGGCCCTGCACATAGGACAGACCAGGGGTGGCTGCAATTCAGAGATGCTGCCACCAGGAGGCGGCCTGGGCTAGAAAGCAGCATTTCCAGATGTTTACTCCTAAAAAACAGAAGAGTTAATTTATGAAAACTGTTCAGTGAGACAGCATCCGAGAGCGCTGTTTTTGTTTGTTTGTTTGTTTTTGAGACGGAGTCTCACTCTGTCGCCCAGGCTGGAGTGCAGTGGCGCGATCTCGGCTCACTGCAAGCTCTGCCTCCTGGGTTCACGCCATTCTCCTGCCTCAGCCTCCCGAGTAGCTGGGACTACAGTCGCCCGCCACCACGCCCGGCTAATTTTTTGTATTTTTAGTAGAGACGGGGTTTCACTGTGTTAGCCAAGATGGTCTCGATCTCCTGACCTCATGATCCGCCCATCTCGGCCTCCCAAAGTGCTGGGATTACAGGCGGGAGCCACCGCGCCTGGCCGAGAGCACTGTTTAAAACCCCGCTCATCCTGCATAAAAATAGGCAGTAAGCAGGCACACAGTCCCCGTGTGGTGAGCACCACCTCCCGCCCCAGTTCCTTCTCCCTGCTAGGGCTTCGGAGGACACCCACTGCCCGTTGTTACATCACGTCACTGGCACCCATCACACCCGGGTTGTTGGAGGTGTCAGAGGTCACTGTCCACTTCCGGCCACAGGGCGGGCCCCACGGTACTGATGTGTTGTCCGGCTGCCAGGCTACCAGGCAGTGGTTCAGGTCCTCAGCAAGGCTGACCTTGAGACCCTGGCGGGAGTAGCAGGGCGGGCTTCTTACCTCCGCAGCCCAGCCGTCTGGCTGCTCCGAGCCCCTTGTCCTTCCACTCCCTGCGGTGGCCGTGGAGAGGACATCGCCAGATGTTCCTGGGTGGACTGCCTTTATGATGCCACCCTCCCCTGCCCTTGGGGATGCATTTGAGTTTGCAAGGGGGTGGTTGAGCCGAGCGGCCCGCCGAGAACTTGAGGACAGGGCTCCACAGGCCTCATGCAGCCACTCGGGGCCTCCACGCCTTGTCTTGCATCTGAACCATCTGAACGCCACTCCCGGGGCCACACTGGAGGTGGTCACCGCTGGCCCGGCCCCCTTAACGGGAGGCCACAGGGAGGACTGTGGGTAAGGCCAGGTAGTGAGACCTTAGTCTGGGCAGCAGACTCCTGAGGGCCTTCTGAGTGGGGCCCCTTAACGGGCCTTCCCAGAGACCCAGGACCTGCTGGAAAGTCAGCCTCAACAGACGTCCCAGGGCCCACGGCTGTGGAAGGTGCCGGGGGTGCGCCAGCCCTAGGGTAGGGCTGGGCCTGGCGGGCCAGTGGGCGGTGATCTGGTTTGGTGGGCTCAACATTCCAGGACCTCCCTAAGGAGTGCGAGCTTTTCTTGTTCCTTGTCTAGTCAGAGTGAGGAGGGCTTTGACTGGGAGTGAGGGCACAGGGGCTGCGGGAGGAGGCGGTGGAGGGCAGATGGGCCGTGTGGAGAGGCCGGAGGCTGAAGGGGCTGGGTCCCCGGCGGAGGGGCAGAGAGGGCCAAGGACATGCCCAGCTCCTGGCCCAAGTGGCCCAGATGTGGGGACAGTGGGTGAGATGCTCAGGTGACAGTTGGGGATGCAGTCAGGGAGCTGGAGCTGAGGAGAGAGAACCCTGCGGGACAGAGGGGAGCTCAGTGGCTCAGGGCCTGCTTTGGGTCTTGGGTCATTTGCAGGAGTGAGTGAAGCACACATGTGGTTTGTGTCCAATTAATCTTGCTAGTGACAAATATAAGAAACCATTAGACAGAATGAAGCCCGCACCTTTTCCATGCAAAAATTAATGGCTTTTTCAGAGAAAATTTTCAGAAAAATTCAAAGAAATGATGGCCAAACATTCAAATTATGACAAAAAAGACAGTAAACTGTTTTTACTCTCAAATACAATAAAATTTTACTGAGAAGGCTGTCATGATTTAGCTTGAAGAAGAACTTAAAATCATGCCACAGGCCATTTCTCCTTTTGGCCGTGAGTAATGGGGTACAGGATGGATTTGCCTTCTCACCTTGAACAGTGAGAAAATGACAAAATATGTGAAACGGCAGTTTTCAGACACTGGACAGCAGGCAGCACAGGACCGTGATGTCAAGAAAGGAAAGAAATGAGGTGAGCCCGACCGCCCGCCTTGCTCACAGCATAGCTTGCAGGCCAAAGGGCGGAGCGGCTCCCACGGGGTTTGGTGATGTTGCCGAGTTGAGGCCCAGATCAGAGTTTGGGGAGGCCAAAGCAACTGGAATTTGCAGAGTGAAGCAGCGGTGAGGAGAGCACCACACACACAGCCCCAGCGCCGGCAGAGGACCCCCTGCACACACGCGAGGAAGCCAGGGGAGGCAGGAAAACCACCCGCAGAACGCTGGAGCCGAGCATGCCTCGGATGTGATACAGGCCTGGAAATGCTTGCACCCCCACTGGCTGAGGGAGAAAGGCTCGTGGTGCACAGGACACTGGATGGTCCTCAGAAGGGAACTGCCGATGAGTAGGGCACCATCAGCCCACAGCCCTGCCTCCCCTCCCGCTGCAAAGCTTGGGTCTGGTTTTCTCACTGTCCGAGGTGAGAAGGCAAACCATCCTGTACTCCTATCGCTCACGGCCAGAAGCAGCCTGTGGCATAATTTTAAGTTCTTCCTTAAGCTATCAATTATAAGGCAATTTCTTTCTTTCTTTTTTTTTTTTTTTTTTTGGAGATGGAGTCTCGCTGAGTGCAGTGGTGTGATCTTGGCTCACTGCAACCTTCTCCCGGGTTCAAGCAATTCTCCTGCCTCAGCCTCCTGAGTAGCTGGGATTACAGGCATGTGCCACCACACCTGGCTAATTTTTGTATTTTTAGTAGAGACGGGGGTTTTGCCATGTTGGCCAGGCTGGTCTCGAACTCTTGACCTCAGGCAATCCGCCTGCCTCAGCCTCCCAAAGTGCTGGGATTACAGGTGTGAGCCACCGTGCCTGGCTGGGAATTTCTTAGTAAATTAGGCTACCTGAAAACTAGGAACCTCTATTCATCCAAAGACACCTTGAAGAGAGTGAAAAGGACAAATAATTTGGACTCAAAATGTATAGTAACTATTATAAGTCAGAGAAAAAAGATGGGCAACCCAATAAAGAGCAGGGAAAGTGAACAGGTGCGTTGCAGGAGGGTGTCCAAGTGACCAAACACCTTTATGAAAACATGCCCAATATCATTTGTCAAAAAAAGAGAAGTGCAAATTAAAACCATAATGAGATACAACCATACCCACCAAGGTAGCTAAAACTAGAATCCTTGGCTTGGCAGGTGAGAGTATAGTGGTTCAACTATTTTGGAAAAAGTGGCAGAATTTACCAACGCTATACATATGCCTACCTCGGACCCAGCAATTCTACTCCCAGCTTTATACCCAAGAGAAACAAGTGCATTCAGCCCTTCAAAGGCATGTCCAAGACTGCTCATAGCAGCTGTATGGGTAAAATCTCCACATGGAAAGCAACCTCATGGCCCTCGACAACAGAATGGGTGAATAACACCTGGTATGTTCGAGCCCTGGGCTAGGACATGGCAAGGGAAAAATAAATGACTACACTTCATAAAACATGGATGATTCTCCAGACGTCGCAATGAGCAAAAGTAGCCAGACACCAAAGTCTACATGCCGTAGGATTTCAAAAGCAGGAAAAAGCGATCCATGACAGCAGAAATCACAACACTGGTTACCTCTTGGGGGGAAGGTATTAACTAAGATGTTCAAGGAAATGTCTTCCACCTGTCTCCAAAAAAAAAAAAAAAAAAAGGCCAGGCATGGTGGCTCACACCTGTGGTCCCAGGCTTCCAGGTAATAGATGGATTCAGGGATTTTCTGGTTGCCAGTTGATTGAAAGAGTTATCTGAAGACCTGGAATCAGGCTGGGAGCAGTGGCTCACGTCTGTAATCCCAGCACTTTGGGAGGCCGAGACGGCTGGGATCACCTGAGGTCAGGAGTTGGAGACCAGCCTGAACTGGTGAAACCCCATCTCTACTAAAAATACAAAAAAATAGCCAGGCACGGTGGTGTGCACCTGTAGTCCCAGCTACTCTGAGGGAGGAGGCACAAGAATTGCTTGAACCTGGGAGGCAGAGGTTGCAGTGAGCTGAGATCGCACCGCTGCACTCCAGCCTGAGAGAGAGAGCAAGACTCTGTCTCCTAAAATAAAATAAATAAATTTGGTCACTCTACATATGTATGTTATACTGCATACAAATTTGAAAAAAATAAGGATAGAAAATATCTAATAGCATCAAATTGTTCCTAATATCCTCTTGTCTTTCTCGCCTCTGTAGGAGCCGCTGACGCTCTCATTTTCACTCCTGATGTTGGTGATTTGTGCCTTTTCTCGCTCTTGTTTCATTCTTGCTGTGGTTTGCCAGTTTCAATACTCTTCTCATAAAACCAACTTTTTGGTTTTACATATTTTCTGTTGCCTGTTTATTGTTTTCTCTTTCATTGATTTCTGCTGTTAGTTTTAATTTTCTTTTTGTTTGTTAGCTTTTTTCTTTTCTTCCCTATCTGGGGTTTCTTTCCTACTCCTTTCTTTCCTTCGTGACATGGACAGTCACTGATTTTTCTGCGAATCTTCTTTTCTAATACACAGATTTAAAGCTATACATTTCCTTCTAAACATAATTTTAGCTGATACCATAAGGTTTGATATATTTTCATCACTATTTAGGTAAAACAATTTCTAGCGTTTTGTGATTTCTTTCTTGGCCTGTCAGTTATTTAGATGTGTGTTGTTAAATTACCAAACATTTGAGAATTTTCTGGTTAGTCTTTTGTTATTGATTTGTAGCCTCTTTTCACTATGGTCAGAATATATGCTTAAAATTATTTCAGTCACTTGAAATGTATAGAGAATGACTTACGGCCCAGTATATGGACACTTTTGATAATTATTACATGTGCCCTTGAAGAGAATATGTAAACTTCCAATTTTTTTTGGAGAGGTGTTATTTTTTGTCAATTTGACCAGCTTCATAATTTATGTTCAAATAATCTATATCCATATGAATTTTCTTCCATCTGCTTATTCTACTAGTTACTGAAAGGACTGTGTTGAAGTCGCCGCCGTGATAGCAGATCTCTCTATTTCTCTTTTCAGTTCTGTAAGTTTTTATTTTGTTTTATTTTATTTTATTTTTTGAGACGGAGCCGCACTCTGTAGCCCAGGCTGGAGTGCAGTGATGTGATCTTGGCTCACTGCAACCTCCACCTCCTGGGTTCAAGCCATTCTCCTGCCTTAGCCTCCCGAGTAGCTGGGATTACAGACTCCCACCACCACACCTGGCTAATTAAAAACCCCATCTTTTTAAATAGAGATGGGGTTTCACCATGTTGGTCAAGCTGGTCTCGAACTCCTGACCGCAAGTGATCTCCTGCCTTGGCCTCCCAAAGTGCTGGGATTACAGGTGTGAGCCACTGTGCCAGGCCTATAAGTTTTTCTTTATGTATTTTGAAGCTATGCTATTAGGTGCATACAATTTAGAATTATTAACTTCCCGGTCGATGAGCCCTCTTATCATTATGAAGTCTCCGTTATCTCTAGTTGTTTTTTTATCTGAAGTCCAGTTTGTCTCGCATTATTATAGTTCTGCCAGCTTTTTTTCTAGTTAATGTTATCATGATTTATTTTTTCCATCCTTTTATTTATTTATTTAAACCAACTCACTTCAAAGAATTTCTGTCCTTTTAACGACATTTTTGTGGGGCTTGTTTTAAAACATTCAGTCTGACAATATTTCTTGTAATTGGAGTATTTTTAGTATACATCTATTATATTTATCAATGTACTTAGGTTTAAATCTGCTATATTACATCTGCTATTTGTTCTTTTTTCTCCCTTTTTTTTTTCCTTTTTTAGGATTAATTAAAATATTTTATTTTACATCCTCCGATTTGCTTGTTAGTCATACTTTTACTGTACTAGTAGCAATTACCCAAACAATTATAAAATTAATCCTTCACTAATTATGGTCTAAGGCAAATTGTTCTTTTTACTACTTTCTGGCAATTATACAATTATAATTATAAAATCATTTACAATTATAAAATGTAATTATAAAATTCATCCTTCACTTACCAGGGCCTAATGTAAATGTGTACTTTTATCACTTCCTGGACAATGTAAAGACCTTCTAACGCTTTATTTATTTATTTATTTTTTGAGACAGAGTCTCGCTCTGTCGCCCAGGCTGGAGTGCAGTGGTGTGAACTCGGCTCACTGCAACCTCTGCCTCCTGGGTTCAAGCGATTCTCCTGCCTCAGCCTCCGGAGGAGCTGGGGCTACAGGCATGTGTCACCATGCCCAGCTATTTTTTTTTTTTTTTTTTTTTAGTAGAGACGGGATCTCACCATGTTGGTCAGGCTAGTCTTGAACTCCTGACCTCAAAGGATCCACCCGCCTTGGCCTCCCAAAGTGCTGGGATTACAAGTGTGAGCCACCACGCTCTGCCCTTCTAACGCTTTAAATCCATCGGCCTCTCCCCCACTTTTTGTGCTGTCATTCTCAGGTATTTCAGTTCTGCACAATGTTAAACCACACAATAAATCATCTTATCATTTTCTACAGCCGGCGTGCATGGAAACGCACTGGCGTGTTTCTTCTCTGCTGCTCTTTTATTCTTTCCCTCCTGCATTTCCATGTTTCCATCCAGGACCATTTTCCAAAGGCCTCCATTGTGATTTGTCTTGTTTATTAGTGCATGTTTGCTGTAAGGAATTCTCTCAATTCACTGGGGAGGGTGTCTGAAAATGTTTTTGTTTTGCCTTTCCCTTTCACTTGAAATAGCATCCCAAGTTGGCAGTTATTTTCTCTTGGTACTTAGAGAATGTTGTTCCATTGTCTTCTGGCTTTCAGTGCTTACGTGGAGAAGTCAAGAGCCTCATTATTGCTTCTTTGAAGGTGGCATCTTGTTTTTTCCTGGCTGTTATTTGTTTAATTTATTTTTATTTTTGTAGAGACAGGATCCTCCTGTCTCGGCCTCCCAAAGTGTTGGGATTACAGGCGTGAGCCACTGTGCCCCACCTCCTGTTACTGCTTTTCTCCTAGTTAGTGGGTTTTCAGTGGTTTTACTACAATGTGCTTAGGAGTATCTTTGTATTTCTCTATCTTGAAATGTGTAGCACTTCTTGCATACGCAATTGGTATGTCTTTCATTGGTTTTGGAAAAGTTGCACTCATTTTCTCTTCAGATATTGTTCTGCCCCATTTGCAATCTCCCTTCTTGGATTTGAGTGACAGATGTGGTAGGCCTGTTGACGGCACCCTGTGTGTCTCTGATGCTATGTTCCGTGCAGTTTTCTCTGCGTGCTTCAGTCTTCTGTCGGCTGCTGACCTCAATCGGTGCTTGTTAATCCTCTCTTGAGTTCTGTCCACTAACAGTCTGTTAACCCATCTGTCACAGTCTTTACCTTGGTTATTGTATTCTTAGTTCTAGAGTTTCTATTTGATTTTTTCAAGATTTCATTTCTCTAGTGAAAATTTCCATCTCGCCGCTTATTTCTCAGAGCAGTCATCAGAGTCACTTCAAAGCTCCAACAGTTTCATCCCCTGCTTTTACACTTGGGTCTATATATTTTTTAATGTGTCTGGTGACTCTTGGTTTAAAACGACAGACACTGTGGAAAAAAAGTACAATCTCTGGATGATATTGTGGCCATCAGAGAGGACCCGCCCTGTCCTCTGCCACAAAGCAGGGACAGATCACCAGTCAAGTCATGACTGAGCTGTCTAGGACAGGCTGTAGACATGGTAAGTCTGGTTCCACCTCTTGTTTGCCCTCTGATTTACCTCTTTGTCGTGCTTCTAGGGCACACCCCTCTGGGGTCTCAACTGCAAGCCAGGAGAGTTTAGCAGTACCTCCCTCCTCCCTCCTCCTTTGAAGGAAGTCCTGGGCTCAATTTTGCTTCCCCCGAGCCATAATAGAGTGAAGTTTCACTGAACTCTTCAACCACTCAATGCTCAGCCTCTTAGCTGAGGTGAACGTGACTCTCATGTCGGGTGAGAATTAGCCACTGCCTCAAGAGGAAAACCAGCACAGGAAGTCCGGCTCTCTTCTCAGATCCTCTATTCTCTGAATAATTTCCACCCCAATCCTGGTGGTCCTGGCAGGGTTGAGAGCCAACGTCTATCTCCTGAGACTTGTGAGTTTGCCAGAATCTATTACGCATGTCTTTTCTGCCTCTTAGCAACCATCCTCTGCCCAACTTCTCAGCCCCTCACCCTCACTGCTTAATCTCTACCCCTTGAAACAGCTAGAATTGTCAGCTAAAAGTAAAATCAAAATTAGACATCATTATAGGCAAGAAAGGGAAATCCCCATATGCCAGAAATGGAGTGGGAACCGCGAGCCAGGACGCGCAGGGAGCTGACGCTGCAGGTGGGAACCGAGAGCCAGGACGCGCAGGGAGCTGACGCTGCAGGTGGGAACCGAGAGCCAGGACGCGCAGGGAGCTGTCGCTGCAGGTGGGAACCGCGAGCCAGGACGGGCAGGGAGCTGACGCTGCAGGTGGGAACCGCGAGCCAGGACGGGCAGGGAGCTGTCGCTGCAGGTGGGAACCGCGAGCCAGGACGGGCAGGGAGCTGTCGCTGCAGGTGGGAACCATCAGCCAGGACGCGCAGGGAGCTGTCGCTGCAGGTGGGAACCATCAGCCAGGACGCACAGGGAGCTGTCGCTGCAGGTGGGAACCATCAGCCAGGACGGGCAGGGAGCTGACGCTGCAGGTGGGAACCGAGAGCCAGGACGCGCAGGGAGCTGACGCTGCAGGTGGGAACCGAGAGCCAGGACGCGCAGGGAGCTGTCGCTGCAGGTGGGAACCGCGAGCCAGGACGGGCAGGGAGCTGACGCTGCAGGTGGGAACCGAGAGCCAGGACGGGCAGGGAGCTGTCGCTGCAGGTGGGAACCGTCAGCCAGGACGGGCAGGGAGCTGTCGCTGCAGGTGGGAACCATCAGCCAGGATGCGCAGGGAGCTGTCGCTGCAGGTGGGAACCGCGAGCCAGGACGGGCAGGGAGCTGTCGCTGCAGGTGGGAACCGTCAGCCAGGACGGGCAGGGAGCTGACGCTGCAGGTGGGAACCGAGAGCCAGGACGCGCAGGGAGCTGTCGCTGCAGGTGGGAACCATCAGCCAGGACGGGCAGGGAGCTGACGCTGCAGGTGGGAACCGCGAGCCAGGACGGGCAGGGAGCTGACGCTGCAAGTGGGAACCGAGAGCCAGGACGCGCAGGGAGCTGTCGCTGCAGGTGGGAACCATCAGCCAGGACGGGCAGGGAGCTGACGCTGCAGGTGGGAACCGCGAGCCAGGACGCGCAGGGAGCTGACGCTGCAGGTGGGAACCGAGAGCCAGGACGCGCAGGGAGCTGTCGCTGCAGGTGGGAACCATCAGCCAGGACGGGCAGGGAGCTGACGCTGCAGGTGGGAACCGCGAGCCAGGACGGGCAGGGAGCTGACGCTGCAAGTGGGAACTGAGAGCCAGGACGCGCAGGGAGCTGTCGCTGCAGGTGGGAACCATCAGCCAGGACGGGCAGGGAGCTGTCGCTGCAGGTGGGAACCGCGAGCCAGGACGGGCAGGGAGCTGACGCTGCAGGTGGGAACCGAGAGCCAGGACGCGCAGGGAGCTGTCGCTGCAGGTGGGAACCGAGAGCCAGGAAGCCCAGGGAGCTGTCGCTGCAGGTGGGAACCGCGAGCCGGGACGGGCAGGGCAGGGAGCTGACCCTGCAGGTGGGAACCGAGAGCCAGGACGCGCAGGGAGCTGTCGCTGCAGGTGGGAACCATGAGCCAGGACGGGCAGGGAGCTGTCGCTGCAGGTGGGAACCGCGAGCCAGGACGGGCAGGGAGCTGACGCTGCAGGTGGGAACCGAGAGCCAGGATGGTCAGGGAGCTGACACTGCAGGTGGGAACCGAGAGCCAGGAAGCCCAGGGAGCTGTCGCTGCAGGTGGGAACCGCGAGCCGGGACGGGCAGGGCAGGGAGCTGACCCTGCAGGTGGGAACCGAGAGCCAGGACGCGCAGGGAGCTGTCGCTGCAGGTGGGAACCATGAGCCAGGACGGGCAGGGAGCTGTCGCTGCAGGTGGGAACCGCGAGCCAGGACGGGCAGGGAGCTGACGCTGCAGGTGGGAACCGAGAGCCAGGACGCGCAGGGAGCTGTCGCTGCAGGTGGGAACCATGAGCCAGGATGGTCAGGGAGCTGACACTGCAGTATCTCTGGGACGTTTATGGGCCCAGAAATAGCCCTACTGGCTAAGCACCCGAGATGTTCCAGCCACCCGGTCAGGGGATGAGGCCTTATGCTAGGAGAGGGGAGAGATGACATTGAGAATCCTGCTCCGAGATGTGTGTTCAAAGGGCAGGGAAAGGGGCCAGATAAACTTGACTTGTGGCTCCAGTGAACAGGCAAGGAAACTTGTCTATCCCCTGACTGTGGGTGAGAAGGAAAATTCCACAGTGAGAAATTGAAACCTCAGGGAAAGTTGACCAACTAATTAACAGAGCTGAAGAAACAACTTGCAAATGGGAAGGTTGATCATCAGAAATTAGGCAGATGCAGGAATGGGATGAAGACATGTAAAATGTCAAAGGAGATTATGAGGCATGGAAGATAGAATGAAAATCTATTTAATGAGTTTTACAGGATGAGGATAAAGAAATAAGAGGAGTCGATATTCAAAGAGATAATGGCTGAGATCCTTACAGAAATAACCAAAAGCATAAATCCTTAAGTTTAAGCTGCACGAGTCCCAAGGAGAATGCATAAGAATAAATCTAACCTGAACACAGCATGTTGAAACTGCAGAACTCCAAAGACAAAGAGAAAACCTTAAAAGCAAACAGAGATAAGAGAAACTGTTTTCAAAGGAACAACAATTAGCTTGGTGCATATTTCTCCACAGCCACATTATGTTTCAGAAGTCAGTATCTTCAAATTGTAAGAATATAACAACCAATACCCAACTTAAGTATTATTCAAGAGTGAAGGAGGGAGCAGGGCACAGTGACACATGCCTATAATCCCAGCACTTTGGGAGGCCAAGATGGGAGGATCACTTGAGCCCAGGAGTTCCAAACCAGCCTGGGCAACGTAGTGAGACCTTGTCTCTACAAAGAATAAAAAAATTAGCTGGACATTGTGGTGTGTGTCTGTAGTCCCAGCCACTCAGGAGGCTGAGGTGGAAGGATGGCTTGAGCCTGGAGGTCAAGGCTGTGCTGAGCCGGGATCACACCACTGTACTACAGCTTGGGCAACAGAGTAAGACCTTGTTTCCTAAAAAAAGAAAAAAGTGAAGGAGGAATAGCTATTTTCAGACAATAAAACCTGGCAATTTACCACTGTTAGAGCCATGATGAAAGAATCACTTAAGGATAATAAACTTTAGGAAGAAAAAACCCTTTAATTCAGAATTCAGAAGGAAGTTGGGGCATGCAAGAAGAAATAGTGAGTAAAGAAACTGGTAAATATGTGGTAAATCTAAATAATCATTGAATGTTAAAAAGTTATAATGGCTATGAAAGTTTATACCAAAAGGTAAAACTAAAATACTAAGGAATAAAAGCCAGCATCCCTCAGGAAGCAGTTGGAGCAAAACATTCTGAGCCCTTTTTGCTGTTCAAAAGGGTGGAGAGATGAAGTCTAGACTTCTGAAAGTCAAGTATCATGTTACAAATATAAACGTAGCCACTAACAGCACAGAAAGATAATGGGTTCTTTTCTGTCAGCTGTATTGTAGGTTCCCAGGAACCAGCAAGTATGATAAAACCTTTAAGCTTTCCTGTTCTGTCTCCTCATCTGCAGCTGGTCCTACCATTCCTCCCCTAAGGTAACATGATTAAAGCAGGGAGAAGGACCACAGCCCTGAAAAGTTCTGCACTCTCAAAGGGAAAGGGAGAAGTGAACGTGTGGGAGACCCTGGAACAGCAGGTGCTGCCTGGCCATGCAGTGGCCTCATTATCAAGGGGAGCTTCTGGATCTCAGGACTTAATATCAACTTGTTCTCTTATTAGCCTCATTTGGAACTGTTGAACCAGCGTCTTACCAAGCTACAGGCAGAGATGAAAGTGAGACCTCAGCCCACCTGGGTGTATCTCTCTTCAGTCTCCCCTTGTTTCACGTGGTCTCAGGGTTGACATTTATGTTACAGCTGACCATTAAAGAATCTAAGTAGGCCAGGTGCAGTGGCTCACACCTGTCATCCCAGCACTTTGGGAGGCTGAAGCAGGCAGATTGCTTGAGCCCAGGAGTTTGAGACCAGCCTGGGTGACATGACGAAACCCTGCCTCTACCAAAAAATATAAAAATTACCTGGCTGTGGTGGCACACACCTGTGGCCCCAGTGACACAGGAGGCTGAGACAGGAGGATCATTTGAGCCTGGGAGGTTGAGGCTGCAGTGAGCCGTGATCATACCATTGCACTCCAGTCTGGGTGACAGAGTGAGACCCTGTCTCAAAAAAAAAAAAATTAGAATCTGTAAGTAAAGAATTAGAGAAATTCATTCAAAGTTTTGTGGGTTGATGGTGACCCCTGCAGAAGCAGAAAGGCAAGCATCTCCAATCCAGGGCCCTCAATGCTCCCATGCAGCAAAGCCTGGCAAATATGAGCTCACATCAAAAGTTGTTTTTTTTTTGTTTGTTTGTGTTTTTTTTTTTTTTTGAGACAGAGTATCACTGTGTCATGCAGGCCGGAATGCAGTGGTGTGATCTTGGCTCACTGCAAGCTCTGCCTCCCAGGTTCACGCCATTCTCCTGCCTCAGCCTCCCGAGTAGCTGGGACTACAGGCACCTGCCACCACGCCCGGCTAATTTTTTGTATTTTTAGTAGAGACAGGGTTTCACCGTGTTAGCCAGGATGGTCTTGATCTCCTGACCTCATGATCCGCCTGCCTTGGCCTCCTAAAGTGCTGGGATTACAGGCGTGAGCCACTGTCCCCGGCCCAAAAGTTATCAAGCAGCAACACCAGCAAAAAATGACAGATGGACACAGTACTGGAAGATGCAAAAGGAACAAAAGAGCATGGGATACAGCCAGAGTCAGAAAAACATCACATGGAAAACTATAATGACTGAAAATAAAGATCTTTCAAAACCTCAATGAAAGAGTTAAACAGCAGATTAGACACAGTTAAAACAAGAATTAGTCAACTGTAAGAAAGATGAGAAGAAATTACCCAAAATGCAATACACAGGAACATGGTGGGAATAGAAAATGTGAAAGACATGTTAATAGGCATAGAAGACTGCGTGACAACATATAACATACATCTATCTGGAGTTTCTGAATGAGGGAGTCGAAAGGATGAGACACAGGAAATATTCAAAGAGATCAGGCCAGAATTTTCCAGAACTGGGAAAGACACATACCATGGATGAAATTGTCTCTCAAAAGATGTTAAAGTCCTGATGCCCAGTGCCTGTGAATGTGGCCTTATTTGGAAATAGAGCCTTTACAGATGATCAAGGTAAGATGAAGTAATTGGGGGAGATCCGGTAAACCAAAAATAAAAACCTAAGCTCCCGACTGACTGATGGATCCCCCCCTCAGCAAAGGGCATTCCAAAGTTAACCTAAAAGACTAGCTCAGGCCATGATGCGAATTAGGGGTCAGATGCTTCATTATACCCTCTTCCCTTTGGAATTCTGGCACAGCTGACCAGCATTAACATTTCAACAGAAAGATTAAAATTAGGACTGATAGAACAGACTATTGAAGTCTGATAAGAAACATCTGCAATCCATTCTCTCTGAAGTCTGCTACCTGGAAGGCTTCATCTGCATAGTAAGAACCCTGGTCTCTACAACCGTTATCTTAACCTAGACACCCCCTTCTATTGATTCCAGGTCTTTAGATAACTCTTTTTTTTCTTTTTTTTTTTTTGAGATGAAGTCTTGCTCTGTTGCCCAGCCTGGAGTGCAGTGGTGTGATCTCGGCCCACTGCAACCTCCACCTCCCAGGTTCCAGCGATTCTCCCACCTCAGCCTCTGGTGTAGCTGGGATTACAGGCATGTGCCACCATGCCTGGCGAATTTTTGTATTTTTAGTAGAAATGGGGTTTCATCATGTTGGCCAGGCTGGTCTTGAACTCCTAACCTCAGGTGATCCTCCAAACTTGGCCTCCAAAAGTGCTGGGATTACGGGTGCGAGCCACCATGCCTGGCCTATATTAACTCTTTCAACCAACTGGCAACCAGAAAATCCTTGAATCCATCTCTGACCTCGAAGCCCCCACTTCAAGTTGTCCCACCTTTCCAGACCAAACCGATGTACATCTTACATGTATTGATTGATGTCTTATGCCTCCCTAAAATGTATAAAACCAAGCTGTAGCCCGACCACCTTGGAAACATGTCTCAGGATCTGCTGGGGCTGTGTCACAGGCCATTAGGCACTCATATTTGGCTCAGAATAAATCTCTTCAAATAGTTTACAGAATTTGACTCTTTTTATTGACAACCCTAATCCCATGTGACTGATGCCTTATGGTAGGGGAAATTTGAGACAGACATGTACAGAGGGAAGGCATGAAGACACAGGGAGAATTTCATCTATAAGCTAAAGAACACCTGGGGCTACCAGAAATTATGAGAGAGCCACAGGATCCTCCCTCACAGCCTCAGAAGGAATTAACCTTGCCGACACCTTGAGTTTGGACTTCCAGCCTCTGGAACTGTGAGACAATACATTTCTGTTGCATAAACTACTCAGTTTGTGAACTTCACTACAGCAACCCTAGAAATGAATACAACATATATCCACAGAAGATACAAAAACATAAGGGAAGCCAAACAGAATAAATGAAAGTAAAACTACACAGTTACATCACAGTAACATTGAGGAATACTGTAGATAATAAAATTTGTTTAAAACAGCCACAATAGTAAAGAAGGATTCTCTACAAAAGAATGGTGGTGGCCAGGCATGGTGGCTCACACCTGTAATCCCAGCCAGCACTTTGGGAGGCAGCGGTGGGTGGATCACCTGAGGTCAGGAGTTTGAGACCAGCCTGGCCAATATGGCAAAACCCCGTCTCTAGTAAAAATACAAAAATTAGCTGGGTGTGGTAGTGTGCACCTGTAAACCCAGCTATTTGGAAGGCTGAGGTGGAAGAATCACTTGAACCTGGGAGGTGGAGGTTGCAATGAGCCAAGATCATGCCATTTGCACTCCAGCCTGGGCGACAGAGTGAGACTTTGTCTCCAAAATGAAAATGAATGGTGGTGGATTTCTTAACAATGGGACCCTAAAGACCTCAAAGTTTCCAGAGAAAATAATTGTCAATCTGTAATTCTATACCCAGAAAAATGATCTTTCAATACTAAAGGAAAATTAGAAATATTTTTATGTTACATAACAACTAAGAGTTTACCAACACATCTTGACTCAAGGAAAACAATTGACAACCCAAAATTTTATACCCAGCTAAACTAATATTCAAGTAGACTTTAAAGGATATATTTCAGGAAGAAGGACAATGATCACAGAGGGAGAGGCTGAAGTCAAAGAAGGAATAGTGAATAAAGAAATTGCTAAAAGTGGCTGGGCACTGTGGCTCACACCTGTAATGCCAGCACTTTCGGAGGCCAAGATGGGTGGATCGCCTCAGCTCAGGAATTCGAGACCACCCTGGGCAACATGGTGAAGCCCCACCCCTACTAAAATACAAAAAAATTAGCTAGGCATGGTGGCGTGCACCTGGAGTCCCAGCTACTCAGGAGGCTGAGGCATGAGAATTGCTTGAGCCCAGGAGGCAGAGATTACAATGAGCTGAGTTATGCCACTGCACTCCAGCTTGGGCTACAGAGTGAGACTCTGTCTCAAAAAATAAATAAATAAATAAAAGTATTTTTAAAAGGAAATCATTAAAAGTGGATAATTCTAAACACACTCTCACTAGATAAATAATATCTAGTTAGACAAATATATAATTATAGTAGTTAAATATATCATCCTTATAAACATTTAATTTATGGAGTTTAAAATAATAATATTACAAGTGCTATGGTCAGGCAAGTATTAATAAAAAGAAAGCTGATGTGGCTAAACTAATATTCTCTTTTTTTTTTTTGAGACAGAGTTTTGTTCTTGTTGCCCAGGCTGGAGTGCAACGGTGCAATCTCGGCTCACCGCAACCTCCGTCTCCTGGGTTCAAGTGATTCTCCTGCCTCAGCCTCCCGAGTAGCTAGGATTACAGGTGTGCGGCACCACGCTGTGCTAATTTTGTATTTTTAGTAGAGACGGGGGTTTCTCCATGTTGGTCAGGCTAGCCTCGAACTCCCAACCTCAGGTGATCCACCTGCCTTGGCCTGCCAAAGTGCTGGGATTACAGGTGTGAGCCACCATGCCCAGCACTAAATTGATTTTCAAAAAAATATATTTTAAGACAAAAACCATAATTAGGGAAAAGAAGGCCGGTATATAATAATGAATAGTATTGTTCAGAGGATGTAAAGATTCAAAACATGTATGTACCTGAAAACAGCCATAAGTATGGGGAAAAAATGAAGAAGACTGCAAGTAGAAATTGATAATTCTATCATAAAAGAAGATTTCAACACAACTCTCTCAGTGACTGCCAGGTCAAGCGGATAAAACATTAATAAAAGGTGAATAAGATTCCAATAGCACATTTCGCGAGCTGGATTTAAAGCCATATCTAGACGTGACCGTTAGAGAGGACACATTATGCTCTGGTACGTGTGGAGCACTTACAACAATCAGCACACGCTTAGACATAAGGCAGGGCTTAACACACTTCAAAACCCACTTATGACAATGAGCACATGCTTAGACATAAGGCAGGGCTTAACACACTTCAAAACCCACTTAGGACAATGAGCACACGCTTAGACATAAGGCAGGGCTTAACACACTTCAAAACCCAGTGTCATATGACTTCACTCTCTCAGCCAAATGTAATTCAACTCTCAATCACTCACTGAGGAAGAGTGTTAAAATACATCTGGAAACCTTATAACAGATTTCTAAATCATTCATGAATGAAAGAAAACGTAAAATATTTAGAACTAAATAATAATGTATCCCTGACACACTTACATTAGTAAAGAAGAGCAGCTGAAAATTAAAAAGTTAAGCATCCGGCCGGGCACGGTGGCTCATGCCTGTAATCCCAGCACTTTGGGAGGCCAAGGTGGGCGGATCATGAGGTCAGGAGTTTGACACCAGCCTGGCCAACACGGTGAAATCCTGTCTCTACTAAAACACAACAATTAGCCGGGCATGGTGGCGCAGGGCTGTAATCCCAACTACTCAGGAGGCTGAGGCAGGAGAATTGCTTGAACCCAGGAGGCAAAGGTTGCAATGAGCCAAGATCGTGCCACTTCACTCCAGCCTGGGCCACACAGCGAGACTCTTGTCTCAAAAAGAAACAAACAAACAAAAATGTTAAGCATCCAACTGAAGGAAGTCTAAAAATGACAATAGGAATATACTAAGAAAGTAGAAGGATGAAGATAAAGGTGAAACATAAATAAATGAAAAACAAAACAAAACTAGAACTAAAAATATCTAAAACTAAATTAGAACTAAAAGCAGAACTAACATATATAAATTTGATTTCTTGAAAAAATTAATGAAATGGCCACAAGATCTCTGAAGGGAAAGACCGGCAAGAGGCACAAAACCCTACTGAGAAATGAGAGGAGGGCTGCTCTACAATGCAGCAGAGGGCAACATGAGTGATCTCACAGCAAGGCAACTTGGAAAATTACACAAAATGGACCATTTCTAGAAAAACATTATTTGCCAAGTTTGATTCATAGAGAAACAGAAAGCCCAAAGAGTCCTATAATCCTAGAAGAAATTAAGAAGTTAAAATCTTCCCACAAAGATGTCAAAAATCTAAGACAATTTTACATGTTCTGCCAAAATTAAAAAGAATATTTTATCCCATTTTACAAACTTCAAAATGTAGGCAAAAGTGGGCACATGACCTAGTTCACTGTAGGACTCTATCATAATCTCAATACAAAGACAGGACAAGTGTGTACCACAAAAGAAAAAGCACACTCTTGGGCACGGATGAAAAATCCTATATAATTATTGCCCTATCCAATCTCAAAAATGTATAAAAAGTACCGTTAACCACTGCACCCCCAACACACAGTCAAAAATCTACGTATAACTTTTGACTCCCCCCAAGTTGATGACTAGTAGCCTACTGTTGACCAGAAGCCTTACAGATCACACAAACAGTTGATTAACACATATCTTATGTTGTCTTTATTATATGCTATATTCTTACAATCAAGTAAGCTAGAAGAAAGAACATAATATTATTAAGAAAATCATAAGAAAGAGAAAATATATTTGCACTTCATTAAGTGGAAGTGGATCATCCTAAAGGTCTCCATTCTCGTCGTGTTCACAATGAGTAGGCTGAGGAGGAGGAGGAAGAGGAGGGCTTGGTCTTGCTGTGTTAGGAATGGCAGAGGCAGAAGAAAGTTTGCGTGTAAGGGGACCCATGCAAGTCAAACCTGTGTTGTCCAAGTTTCAAACTGTGTATGATATTTTGGTTCAGTTGGGATTATTCCAGGAATCCAAGGTTAATTTAATTTTAGAAAATGTCTAAGTCATTCCATTCACATATTAAAGGAGAAAAACCATATTGTCATCTCAATGGTTGCCCCAAAAGCACATGGTGCTTCTAAAGAAGGGAGAGACTTGCTCATCAGACCGCGCACCTCAGAACAAAGCTGTGATAATGAATATAGAACAACACAGCACGGAGAGAAACGGATCAACGGAATGGGAAAGAGAACCGGGACAAAGACCCGCACATGTGGCGACTTGAGTTCGTCAGAGCTGGCCAGACATATCTGTTGGAGGAAGACGGAATAGTCTTAAATACCCACGAGGAAAAGAAGTGAAATGGAACTCTGCCTCCAGCCTTCCAAAGCAATCAGTTCCAGGTGTAGACAACACCTCAATGTGAAAAAACAGGGGGGCCTTTAGAGCAGAGTATTTGGCTTTACACACTTAGATAACAGCAAAAGAAAAAAAAACTTGCAAAGAAATCTTAAATTTCTCTTACTAGTATTACTGGCTGTAGAGATATTGGAATTGTTATTTTGAAAACATGTTAAATATAGGGTAAGCTAAAGCTAGTAATTACATTAAAGTTGTTAGGAGCCAAAATTTTCCATATAAGAGAAATGACATACAAGTACAAAACCAAAGAAATTAAGAAAAACTCTTTTTTTTTTTTTTTTTTTTTTGAGACATGGTCTCTGCTCTGTCACCAAGGCTGGAGTGCAGTGGTGCCATCTCGACTCACTGCAGCCTAGACCTCATGGGCTCAAGCAATCCTCCTACCTCAAACTCCCACATAGGTGGGACTACAGGTGTGCACCACCACACCCAACTAATTTTTTGTATTTTTTGTAGAAATGAGGTTTTGCTATGTTTCCCAGGCTGCTCTCAAACTCTTGAGCTCAAGCGATCTACCCACCTTGGCCTCCCAAAGTGCTGGGATTACAGGCGTAAGCCATTGTTCCCAGCCTAAGGAAAATTTTTAATGTTAAATTTGAATTGGAACTATCAATAGGAACTCATGATTTAACCTGGGTTTCTAAATGCCATTTCCCCACTTTAAAGACCCATGGACTCCTCAGTAAGTAGCTGAGTCCAGGTCTGGTGCAGGAAATGTGTAATAAGATAAGGCTGGAAGATCTTGTTGTGGCAGAAAGCAGCTGAATTAAGATGCATAGATTATTGGAAATATGAAAAAAGAATATAGTGGCCAGAATGATGGATTTTGTTAGTGGGGTAATGAAGCTGTGATTATGCAGGAAGCTTTCCTTCTTTATTCAGAAATGCATACTCAAGTATTTAGAGGTAAAATATCATTTATCTCTGCCCATTACTTTTAAATTTTCCAGCAAAAATGATGAAAGAGCTCCCACTGACCAAAGAATGATGACTGAACTGGATCAAAACACATTAAATATATAATAATCCGTGAGTCCATAATGATACATCAAAAAGTCAAAGAAAGAAAACTAAAGCAAAAAGCAAACAAAAACTCATCTGCCACCATCAGAGACAGCCCATTGCACAAACCCCTTACCCTGAAAATTGGTAATTAGAGAGAAAGATTCAAGCTTTTCTCCTGCCTCGCCAGCAAGAACTACACATATGTTGCAAGTATTGCCGACTCAATTCCAGGCCGCTGCAATGTCACATAAATGTTTCAGCTTTCCAGTGCATACAAAAGTTATCTTTATACTTTACGTAGTCTAGTAAGTGTACAATACCATTAAGTTGAAAAAAAACTGTACGTACCTTAATTTTAAAATATCTTATTGCTAAAAAATGCTAATAATCATCTGAGCCTTGGGGGAGTTGTAATCTTTTTGCCGGTGAGGGTCTCGCCTCAGTGTTGATGGCTGCTGACTGATAGGGTGGTACTTGCTGAAGGCTGGAGTGGCTGTGGCAGTTTCTTAAATAAGACAACAATGAAGTTTGCCGCATCAGTGGACGCTTCCTTTCATGAAAGCGGCACTCCCCACGATTCAAGTACAGATGGTCCCATCTTAGGACAATTCGAGTTAATGATCTTTCAACTTTATCGTGGTGCAAAAGTGACACACCTTCAGTAGAAACCATGCTTTGAGCACCCACACAACCATTCTGTTTTTCACTTTCAGTGTAGTATTCAATAAGTTACACAAGGTATTGACACTTTATTATAAAGTGGGCTTTGTGTTAGGTGATTTTGCCCAACTCTAGGGTGAAATCATATGCCTGTTAGCCATGTTTTTTTGGTTTTTGTGTTTTTTTTGAGACAGAGTCTCACTCTGTTGCCCAGGCTGGAGTGCAGTGGTGCCATCTCAGCTCACTGCAACCTCCGCCTCCCGGGTTCAAGAGATTCTCCTGCCTCAGCCTCCTGAGTAGCTGGGACTAGAAGCACCTGCCACCATGCCCGGCTAATTTTTGTATTTTTAGTAGAGACAGGGGTACACCATATTGGTCAGGCTGGTCTCAAACTCCTGACCTCAGGTGATCCATCCGCCTTGGCCTCCCAAAGTGCTGGGATTACAGGCGTGAGCTACCAAGCCCGGCCTTTGTATATCTTCTTCTCAGAAATATCTGTAAGTTGGCCAGGTGCCGTGGCTCACTCCTGTAATCCCAGCACTTTGGGAGGCCAAGGAGGGCAGATCACAATGTCAGGAGTTCAAGACCAGCCTGACAAACGTGGTGAAACCCCATGTCTACTAAAAATACAAAACTTAGCCAGGCATGGTGGCGCTTGCCTGTGGTCCCAGCTACTCCGTAGGCTGAGGCATGATAATCCCTTGAATCTGGGAGGCAGAGGTTGCAGTGAGCCAAGATTGCATCACCAAACTCCACCCTGGGCAACAGAACAAGACTCCATCTCAACAACAACAACAACAAAAAGAAATGTCTGCAAGTGTTCTGATCACGTTTAAGGTCAGGCTATGCTATGATGTTCAGTAAGTTAGGGGTATTAAATGCATAATGCATTTTCTTTTGAGACAGAGTCTTGTTCTATTGCCCAGGCTGGAGTTCAGTGATGCAATCTTGGCTCACTGCAACCTCTGCCTCCCGGATTCAAGGGATTCTCGTGCCTCAGTCTACGGAGTAGCTGAGACCACAGGCACACGCCAACATGCCCAGCTAAGTTTTGTATTTTTTGTAGACACAGGGTTTTGCCATATTGCCCAGGCTGGTCTTGAACTCCTGGGCTCCAGTGATCTGCCCACCTCAGCCTCCCAAACTGTTGGGATTACAGGCGTGAGCCACCTCACCCAGCCTGCATTTTTGACATGATATATTCTTAATTGATACATAATTTTTGTACATATTCACGGGGTGCATGTAAGCTTTTATTACATGCATAGCATGCGTCATGATTAACTCAGTATTTAGGGTGTCCATCACTTCAAGTCTTTGTCATTTTTATGTGTTGGGAATATTCCAAGTCCTCTCTTCCAGCTCTTTTGAAATAAACAATACATTGTTGTCAACTATAGCTACCCTACTCTGCTATCAAACATTAGACATATTCCTTCCATCGCACCATAATGAGTGCATTTGTGCTCATTAAGCATCCTCTTTTTGTCCTCCCCCTCCACTGGAAGGAAATAATGTATACAGTGGTCCATTTTCAAGACAAAGTGCCTTAAATCGGCTTAGGTCAGCAAACTACAGAAGAAGCAGGATATACTAGGCCCTGGGTTGGATAGCCAATGCCTGCTTGTCACCCACCCTCCCGCCACCTACTTAAGTTGCCCTCACCCAAACCAAAGAAGTTTGGTCTAAGATAAAAGTTTGCTAGCCTGTAAAATAGCTTGCCTTGTCTGTTCGTATCAGCCTGCCCAGCTACTTAGGTCATAAGTCAAATACTTGAAGAGCCCCTGAGCTAACTAGGATTGCAATGCATTGTGGGCTGCAACAAAATGCAGCAAGACAACTCTAAAGAAAACACCTAAAGCCCCTGCCCAACAACCAATAGGTGACGTCCAGGAAGGTTGTGACCCCATAGTACTCAGCCTATGAGGAACCGGGGGAGGGACCTGCACACGAGGGGATAAATTGCTTGTTGAAACTGTGCTGGGTGTGCCTGCCCACCAGACACCCGATCTTGCAAGACTGTCATTAAAAGTTTCACTTTGGCTTTTCTCCGGGTCTCTAAGTCCATTCTTTGGGTTTGGATGGGTGAGTTTGTTTCTCACATACCCACGCACCCTTCCTAGACTCTGGGATCTATCGTTCTCTTCTCTGCCTCAGAGGTCAACTTTTTTCACTCCCATGTGTGAGTGAGAACATGTGATGTTTGTCTTTCTGTGACTGGCCTATTTCTCTTAACATAATGACCTCCAGTTCCATTCACGTTGCTGCAAATGACAAGATTTCATTCTTTTTATGACCAAACAGTATTCCATTGTGTGTGTGTGTATATATATATCACATTTTCTTTATCCATTCATCCATTGATAGACAGTTAGGTTGATTCCATATCTTGGCTACCGTGAGTAGTGCCGCAGTAAGCATGGGAGTACAAGAATCCCTTTCATATACTGATTTCCTTTCCTTTGGATAAATACTCAGTAGTGGGATTGCTGGATCGTATGGTAGTTCTGTTTTTAGTTTTTTGAGAAACTTCCATACAGTTCTCCACAATGGCTTCACTAATTTACATTCCCACCAACAGAGCATAAGTGTTCCCTTTTCTTGGCATCCTTGTCAGCATTTATTTTTTGTCTTCTTGATAACACCAATTCTAACTGGGGTGAGATGATATCTCATTGTGGTTTTGATCTGCATTTCCCTGATGACTAGTGATACTGAGATTTTTCTCGTATGCCTGTTGGCCATTTGTATGTCTCTTGAGAAATGTCTATTCAGATCTTTTGCCTGATTTGTTTTTTCAAGACTGAGTTTCGCTCTTGTTGCCAAGCTGGAGTGCAATGGCACAATCTCGACTCACTGCAACCTCAGCCTCCCGGGTTCAAGCGATTCTCCTGCCTCAGCCTCCCGAGTAGCTGGGATTACAGGCGCCTGCCACCACGCCCACCTAATTTTTTGTATTTTTAGTAGAGACAGGGTTTTGCCATGTTGGCCAGGCTGTTCTCAAACTCCTGACCTCAAGAGATCCGCCCACTTTGGCCTCCCAAAGTGCTGGGATTACAGGCGTGAGCCACCGTGCCCGGCCTATTTATTTTTTAAACAGTGTCTTGCTCTGTCACCCAGACTGGAGTGCAGTGGCATCATATTGGCTCACTGCAACCTCTGCCTCCTGGGTTCAAGTGATTCTTCTGCATCAGTCTCCCAAGTAGCTGGGACTACAGGCATGCGCCACCATGCCTGGCTAATTTTGTATTTTTAGTAGAGACAGGGTTTCATCAAGTTGGCCAGGCTAGTCTCAAACTCCTAGACTCAAGTGATCTGCCCACCTCGGCCTTCCAAAATGCTGGGATTATGAGCTACTGCACCTGGTCACATTAAAAAAAATTTTTTTAGCAACAGGGTCTCACTGTATTGTGCAGGCTGGTCTCAAACTCCTGGTCTGGAGTGATTCTCTCACCTTGGCCTCCCAAAACTCTGGGATTGCAGGCGTGAGTCACCTTGCCCAGCCTGCTGGGAGTTTTTATCATGAAGAAGGGATGTCGAATTTTATCACATGCTTTCTCTGTATCTATTGAGATGACCATACGGTTTTTGTCCTTTAATCTGTGATTTGACGTATTGCATGTATTGATTTGCGTATGTTGAACCATCCTTGCATCCCCAGGATAAATCCCACTTAGTCATAATGTATTATCTTTCAATGTGCTATTAGATTCAATTTGCTAGTATGTTGTTGAGGATTTTTGTGTATCTATTCATCAGGAATATTGACCTGTAGTTTTCTTTTTTGTTGTTGTGTCCCTGCCTGGTTTGAGTATCAGGATAATGCTGGCCTCATAGAATGGGTCAGAGAGAATTCCCTCCTCTTCAGTTTTTTGGAACAGTTTAAGGAGAAATGGTATTAGTTCTTTTTTGTAAGTTTGGTAGAATTTAGTAGTAAAGCCATCTGGTCTATAGGCCTTTTGCGTTGTTGTTGGGAGATTTTTATTACTGTTCCAATCTCATCACTCCTTATTGATCTGTTCGGGTTTTTTTGTTTCTTCCTGATTCAATCTCGGCAGCTACGCGTGTCCAGGGATGTCTCCATTTCCTCCAGGTTTCCAGTTTCTGAGTGTATAATTTCTCATGTAGTCTCTGGTGATCTTTTGTATTTCTGTGATATCAGTTGTAATGTCTCTTTTTTGTTTCTGGTTTTGGTTATTTGGGTTGTCTCTCTTTTTTTCTTCATTATCAACTTAGAATATTTTCAGCTTCCATTTATGATGGGCTTATCAGGACATAGCTCCACCATGAGGTGAGGTGTGTCTGATGTGCTTACGGTGGGGTTTAAGTGCTCCCACAAGCCTGCTCTGACAGTCTGTACTTATTTGGGGTAAAAAACAAAAAAAAACAAAAAAAAAAAAAACAAAAAACTTAGCTCTGCTGACAAATAATGAGTCATATTTTCCCACAAAGTTAATTTTTGAAATAACAAAGGAAATTAAAGAAAAAATGTTCAGGCTGGGCACGGTGGCTCACACCTGTAATCCCAGCACTTTGGGAGGCCGAGGCAGGCAGATCACGAGGTCAGGAGATTGAGACCATCCTGGCTAACACGGTGAAACCCCGTCTCTACTAAAAATACAAAAAATTAGCTGGGCGTGGTGGCGGGCACCTGTAGTCCCAGCTACTCGGGAGGCTGAGGCAGGAGAATGGCGTGAACCTGGGAGGCAGAGCTTGCAGTGAGCCAAGATCACACCACTGCACTCCAGCCTGGGCGACAGAGCGAGACTCCGTCCAAAAAAAAAAAAAGTAAAATGACAGGAAAAGATATAACATTCAAACAGCAACTCAAAGAGAGGTGGAGTTCCTATACTAATATCAGAAAATATAGATATTAAGACAAAAATTATTGTTAGAGACAAAGAAGGATGTGTTATAATGATAAGAGGGTGATCCATAAGGAAGATATAATAACTAGAAACACATATGCACTAGCTGGGCACGGTGGCTCATGCCTGTAATCTCAGCACTTTGGGAGCCTGAGGCGGGTGGATCACGAGGTCAGGAGATTGAGACCATCCTGGCTAACACGGTGAAACCCCGTCTCTACTAAAAATACAAAAAATTAGCTGGGCATGGTGGCGGGCGCCTGTAGTCCCAGCTACTCTGGAGGCTGAGGCAGGAGAATGGCCTGAACCTGGGAGGCGGAGCTTGCAGTGAGCCGAGATGGCGCCACTACACTCCAGCCTGGGCGACAGAGCAAGACTCCATCTCAAAAAAAAAAAAAGTTTTGCTTCATGGGAAATCCCCAAAGTCCCTCCCCACACCCCATGGGACCAAAGGGCCCTAGACCTCAGGGTGGGGCCTGCAGCGCAGGGAGCAGAGCCGGCAAGGAGCTGCCCTCAGGTCGTTCCTGGCCACACAGCCAGCCTCGGAGCCACTGAGAGGCCTGCCCTGGGTCCCGAATCTAGACGCCCCTTCCAGCCTCAATCTTTCTTCCAGGGTAAGCAGCCTGAGAGGCCAAGAGGACAGTCCACCGAACCCTGAGCCCAAGGCCCAGGATTCCTTGCTTAAACATCCCCAAGCCTGGATCCATCCTCCCGAGGTAGAGCTGCCTGAGCTGTACCCAGTCCTGCTGGCCTGAGGGGCAGCCAGGGGAGGTGACGTGGTGCTTTTCTGGGGCTGCAATGAGCTCAGACCCACGGGCTGGGTGTAGCATGTGGGCTCATTGAGGCCCCTCACAATGTGGGGAAATCGGAGAGGGGACTGGCTGGGGCTGGCCCTCCTGCAAGGACTTCTGAGAGTGCTCCAAGGAGCCCTGGGGTCCTCCACTTGCCCCTGGCCTTCCAGGCCCTCACACACCATTGTTGTCCAGACAGAAGAGACTGGGCGCTGTGGTTCACGCCTGTAATCCCAGCACTTTGGGAGGCCGAGGCGGGTGGATCATCTGAGTTCAGGAGTTCGAGACCAGCCTGGCCAACATGGTGAAACCCCGTCTCTAATAAAAAATACAAAAATTAGCCGGGCGTGGTGGCACGTGCCTTAATCCCAGCTACTTGGGAGACAGAGGCAGGAGAATCGTATGAACTCGGGAGGCAGAAGTTGCAGTGAGCCGAGATAAAGCCGTTGCACTCAAACCTGGGGTACAAGAGCGAGACTTCTCTCAAAGGAAAAAGAAAAAAAAAAAGACAGAAGAGAACCTGTTCTGTCTAACTGCCTTTTGCTTGAGTGCAGGGAAGGCAGCCTCCCTTCATACTCATGCCCCAGCCCTGCAAATGTCACAGCAGGACCCACCTGGCTGCCCCTCCCCATACCCAGAGTAACCCTCACCCAGAGTCCCTGGAGGACCCAACCCTCGGGGGCATGCCTGGGGCCCAGCTGCATTCAGGCATCCAGCAACCCAGCCAGAGGGCTGGGGCTCCCCAACCATGGCCGGGAGGTAAGGGCTGAACCCAAGGCCAAATCAGAGCATCAGGAAGGTGAAGAGAGATCTGGGAGGGGCTAGGGAGAGGATGGATCTCTTCCCCATTCACTTCCTGGCCCACCCAGACTGGCCCCAGGGGTGCAGCTGACAGGCCCCACCCTTGGGAACTGCACCCTCCTGACTGGTGTCCTGCAGGCACCCTGAGGCCATCACCCTGGACCCCTGCCCTACATAGGCCTTACAAGGAGGAGCCAGGGTGGACACCCAGACCTCATTGAAAGTAGGAGTGTTCTCAAGGTCCCAGACCTTACTCAGGGACCCCAGTCGGGGGGTGGGGCAGTGGGAGGCAGAGCCCCTTGCTAGGAGCTTCTAGCCAGGCCCACCTTTTCAGATATGCCAGTGAGCAGCCCCAGCTTCGTTCTCCAAGATAAAGACCCTAGTTACCTCCATTGCTCAGCCTCCCTTGCAGCTAAGTGTAGCCATGTGACTAAGTTCTAGATCAAGTTCCAGATCACAGATAAGTGGAAGTGCCCTGTGGGACTTCCAGGAAGTCTCCTCTGGGATGTCCCTTATTCTCTGCTAAGAACACAGAGGCAATGGCTGAGTTCCAGCAGCCACTGTGAGGCCATGAAGGCAGGGATCCTAGGGACTGGGATCTGAGAGCCTGGCTCCCAATGGCAGTGGAGCAATGCCATCATCTCTAGCAAGGCCGTCTCTAGCCTGCCAGCCCCTGGACCTGCTTAGTGTTCGAGAGTAATGAACAACCTTGCTGAAGCCACTGTTCCTTAGGTGTCTGTGGCCTGCAGCTGAACTTGACTCCGATTCGTAGGCCCGCAACTGGAGGGCCTCTACCTCGAGGGAGTGGGGTGTAGATTTTTCCTGGAGGTGAAGGTTCTCAGCCCTACCCTCTAGCCCGCCCACCCAGCTCCAGCCGTCTGTTTCTGTCTCAGATGAGAGGGGGCCTCTCAGGACAAAGAGGAAGTAGCTGGAAGGGGAAGGAGCCAGCTGCAGAGAGGAGGAGGTGAGCTGCAGAGAAGAGGAGGTTGGTGTGGAGCACAGGCAGCACCGAGCCTGCCCCGTGAGCTGAGGGCCTGCAGTCTGCGGCTGGAATCAGGATAGACACCAAGGCAGGACCCCCAGAGGTATGTGCCAATGAGGCCAGGGCAGCTGAGAAAAGCCAGGCATGGGGAAAGGGCTGCTGTCTGCCTCCCTATGGCCTCAGCCTCCCAGCAACCCCAGGTCCAGAGAGTCACACAGCCTCCAGCTAGTCCTGTAGATGACTCGCTCCGTCCCCAGTCCGTGCAGCTGGGATAAGCTGGGCCCTGGCTCTCCAGCCAGGTGACAGCTGGGCCCTCTACCTCAGCCTGGGACTGGCAGCCATGCCTAATGCCCTGCAGGGCAGGAAATCTGGCACCTTCAGCCATGACCTCTGATGTCTGCAGGGTCTTACGCTATCTACCATGGGACCAGGGGGCTACAGCCCTACTCTGCAGGGGTCTCTCAGCTTGAGCCAACCTGGCTGGCGGTCCTCCCAGGTTCCATTGCAGGAGGAGGTGGTGAGGCGCTCTGGGGTCTGTAGTCCTGGGAGGGGACTTGGACAGGCTCCAAGTCTGAGATGGGGCCTGCAAGAGGCAGCGCCTCTGTGCTCTGAGCTGCCCGTCTGCCTGGAGCATTTAAGGGAGCAAAGGTCCTCTCTGGTGAGGGCAGGGAGTGTGGGGAGCAGCTGTCCAAGAACAGCCCTGGCACCTCGTTGCCCAGCCACAGCCCAGGATTCCATGTTTCCTCTCATTGACCAGCCACAGCCCAGGATTCCATGTTTCCTCTTCTGAGAGTTAGTGGGGGAGAGCAAAGGCCCGATGCTGGGCCCTGAATCCCTGGGGACAGTGGGGACACGGTGGGCACCCTGAGGTCTCCTCTGTGGGGTGGGGGGAGCATCCCCCAGAGTTCAGCTCTGGGGTGGGGGCGGCACCCACCCACCTCTGCAGGACCCCCCAGCGTGGGGGGAGTTGGGCCGCAGTGACTTGGCCTGAGTCCCCTGTCCCCACACTTGGTTTATGCTCCTACCCCCAATCCCCCATAACGCTTGGTCTCCAGGGCAGACTCAGTCCAGGCCCGACTCCTGTGGTGTTCCTGGCATTTCCGCCCCATGCTGAGGCAGGCCAGGTTCTCAAAGCCCTCAGCCCTGACCCGTGGGAGGACAGCCCAGACGAACCCCAGAGGCCTGGAGGCTGAGCTGGCTGCTCCTGGGTGGACAGCCGACCCACCGAGCCCTGGGTCCCAGCGCCCAGCCTGGCTGCAGACACTGGCACTCAGCACTGCCCAGGCCCAGGCCCCAAACCTCGGAGACATCCCCATCCCAGCCAGGGGCCAGCCAGCTCCTGCCCTGGTGGATGTCTCAGTCAGAGGCTGGCCAGCCAGGTGACCATGCTGGGCACAGACCCCTCCCTGCACCCGGGGAGGGCGCCTCTGTACTTGTGAGGCACCCTTCCCCCATGGTGGCACCTGGGGCAGCCTGACTGCTTGCTTTGGGGGTAGGAGTGGGGATGGGAGCCCACATCCCACAGGGCCCAGATGGCCTGGCTCCCAGCTCCTTGTGGGGTGACCACTCTGAGGAGATAAGGCGAGTCCCTGCAGCAGAGGACAACCCCCTCTGCCAGCAGTAGGGGTCCCACTCTGCCGCCATCTCTGCCCTCTCCACGCCTAGCCTCTCCAGCAAGGGTACTGCTCAGCTGCCCCCTCTGACCTGTGGCTCTCTGGAGGGGCTGCCGTGGGGCCAAGACAGGAGCCCAGCCCAGGAGGGAAGCAGTTATTTATAGGCCAGCAATAAGAGGACCAAGCGACAAAAGCAGAAACAGCCCTTTCAGACGCAGTTTCAGTTGTGGTTGAAACAGGGAACTGAGATGCAAATACCTAGATACTCACTGAGTGGGAGACCCTGAAAGGGGAGACACAGAAAGCCGGGGCATGTGGCTAGGCACAGACGCCCGCCCGCCCCTCGTGCTTGGCCCAGGCTCAGCCCTGGGGACCGCCTTAACAGCAGTCCTTCCGGCTTGGCCAGGGGGACAGGACAGGTGACATGTGGCCGGCTGCGGGCTCCAACACCCACACGGCTTGTCCTCGTGGAAAGCACACCCCCAACATCCAGGGCGTGACCTCGGGCATGAGTGGGGGGCTTTTGGGGGCTTATGTGGGTGTCTGTGCAGGGGTGTCCCCAGTGCCCAGCTGCCCAGGCACTGAGGGGCAGTTCTGGGCAGAGCTGGAGCTGCTGGTGATGCCAGGCTGCCCTGTGCAGATGCTGAAGCCTCTTTGGAAAGCAGCAGTGGCCCCCACATGGCCATGCTCCATGCCGCCCCGCCGCCCGTGGGACAGAGAGGCTGGCACGGTAGGACTGGGGGGCCCCAGGGGGGAGGTGGCTGGGATCAATGGCCTTTCAAGAGCTCCGAGCCAGAGTGGAGAGGTCACAAGCAGCCTTGAGGGGGCCTCCAAGCAGAGGTGCCCTGACTGGTGGGCAAGGGAAGCCTCCCTGGGCTGCTCCAGACCTTCCCTTTATGCCCCTGCTGGAGGTGCTGGGGACAGCCAGTTACCACGAGCCACAGCATTGCAGAGTGGGCTGCAGGCCCCCTGACCCCTGCCACCACCCTGGGCTGGGGGCCTTCTCTGTATCACCCTCCCCTCTCCCTTGTCCACCCTAGTCCCACCCCAGTGGCAGCCCAGGTCCGGGAAGTCAAGACGGTCTCTGTCTCAGCACTGGAGGGGCCATCGTGGCCCAGCCAGAAGTCAAGCCCCGCCCTGTCTGGTGACCCTGCGGGTGCTGCCCCATCCAGTTGCAGGTCCTGGGAGCGCTGGCTGTGCTGTGGCTGGGCTCCGTGGCTCTTATCTGCCTCCTGTGGCAAGTGCCCCGTCCTCCCACCTGGGGCCAGGTGCAGCCCAAGGACGTGCCCAGGTCCTGGGAGCATGGCTCCAGCCCAGCTTGGGAGCCCCTGGAAGCAGAGGCCAGGCAGCAGAGGGACTCCTGCCAGTAAGTGAGCCCATGGAGGCCTGCGGGGGCAGGTCTCAGTTTGGGGCTGCTGCCTGTGTTTCTGCCCTTGGATCTGCCCGTGAGATAAGGGGGGCCCTCTACCAGCTCCTCCAGGAAGGTGCAGGTCACCAGGGAGGGCCACGACCATATGAGCTGGAGTGGGGGCTGGGGACGGGGCAGGCGTGTGGTGCTTTTTGCAGCAAACAGAGGCTGCCACCTGGGGGCTCTGACAGGCTGGAGAACACTGCCTGTGCTGAGGCTCACCCCCTCAGTCCTTCCACCCCTGGGGGTAATGTCACTGTCCCCTGCCGCCCCTCATCCTTCCCTCCCACCCTTCTTTCCCTGCGGTTGGGGTCCTGGAATCCCAGGACTGCCCCGGAGGAACCTGTTGGGCCATCCTGCACACATCCCCTGGAAACGGGAGCTTACCTGCCCCTGGCCCAACCTTTCCCTTCCAGGCCAGCTCTGGCCACCACCAAGGGCTTCCACACCACGAGGCCACCCCAGACCCCAGACTCCACAGCTCTGCTCTACTCTGCCCGGCTTCAGGAGCAGCTGCTCCCTGTGGGCAGTGCCTCAGGGCTGAGTGGGGCCAGGACCCCCCAGTCTAGCCTGCTCTGGACCAGGCAGCCCCTCTCAGGCTCCTTCCCAAATTGCTCCTGGGTGTCACCACCCCAGCAGCATGCTGGGCTCAGGCCCACCCTGCCCAGTCTGTTTTGTTGCCTATACCTTAAACCCTTACCCTGCACACTTGGCCTGGGCTCATCCCGGGGGCCACCTGAGCAACGGTTGCTCTGGCTTGGCAGTGGGATGGGGCAGGTGATGTGAGGTGGGCTGGGGGCTCCCGCACCCATACTGAGCCCAGTGTGGCTCTCCCCACAGGCTTGTCCTTGTGGAAAGCATCCCCCAGGACCTGCCATCTGCAGCCGGCAGCCCCTCTGCCCAGCCTCTGGGCCAGGCCTGGCTGCAGCTGCTGGACACTGCCCAGGAGAGCGTCCACGTGGCTTCATACTACTGGTCCCTCACAGGGCCTGACATCGGGGTCAACGACTCGTCTTCCCAGCTGGTGCGCCCCGCCCTGGCCCCACCGCATCCTGGTGCTGGAAACACAGCAAGTCAGGCTGCCTATCTATGCAGGCGTCTCGGGCACCAGGCCCGGGGGCTCAGCTTGGTGGTAGGGTCTAGCATGGAACAGGGATTAGGCCGCTCCTTTGGGGGCTCTAACAGCAGAGGTGTCAAGGAGCTGGGCCTCTGGGTGACTAAACACTCAGACTGTGCCTGGTGCAGTTTGGCTCTCACCAAGGGTCATCCAGATACTTGACCTGACCTTGAGCTGTGGGCAGTCATAGGTGGGCCTCCTGAGGAGGACATGGGTCCTAGTGGGGATGCGGAGGAGAGGGCAGCCTGAGGTCAGCTCTCATGGCTGGCCTGGCCTTGCAGGGAGAGGCTCTTCTGCAGAAGCTGCAGCAGCTGCTGGGCAGGAACATTTCCCTGGCTGTGGCCACCAGCAGCCCGACACTGGCCAGGACATCCACCGACCTGCAGGTTCTGGCTGCCCGAGGTGGGTACCTGCACCATGCTGGGCACCACTGCCCTAGCGTCGGGCATGGGCTGTCTGGCTGGCACCACAGGACAAGGAAAAGAAGTGAGGGTGGGAAAGGTGCCCTGGACTTCCCTAGGACACCCCAGGAGGGCAGGACCCAGGGCTCTGAGGTCCTTTGAGTCAGCTTCACCTGGGCACAGGGCTGGTTCCACGGATCCAAAAGTGCCATTTTCCACAGGGCAGAGCACAGGTGGCCTCGGAGCCCTGCTGAGCCCAGCAGCTGACCTGTGGGTGGAGGCTCAGGCTGGGACCTCTGGCTGGGCAGTGAGAGGCCATGGGCAGTCACCACAAAGGCAGGCTCTGGAGCTGAGCTGCCCAGAGGGATCCTGGGCCAGTCTATCCCTCTGTGTCCTCACCTATAAAATGGGGATGAGGATAGCAGCAGCTTAGTAGGACTGTTGTGAGGACATCTGAGTCAACCCCACTGTCAAGAGCTTGGGGTCAGGCTCACCATGAAGCTAGCACTTAGCAAGACCTAGTTCATCCCATTGCCTGAACTCTCCACCAGGTGCCCATGTACGACAGGTGCCCATGGGGCGGCTCACCAGGGGTGTTTTGCACTCCAAATTCTGGGTTGTGGATGGACGGCACATATACATGGGCAGTGCCAACATGGACTGGCGGTCTCTGACGCAGGTGAGTGCCAGGGCCCTAACACAGGAGGCCTGCCTGAAGCGTTTCCCCGCCTGCACTCCTGGGGACTTGGCCTGACATCTCAGTGCATCTGGAGAAAGTCGTGTAGTCCTGTTTACAATTCACTATGGTAGAAACAACCGGAGACTGGTCTAATAAATGATAGAATTCTACACAGCCACTGAATTCATGCTGTGGAATCACATTCAATGACATGGAAAGATGTTCAAGTCACATTACCCAGGGAAGCATGGAGATTACAAAATACAAGCCTTTTTAGGAAAAGCAATGCATGAAAAACGTGTCAGAATGGTCATGGCAAAGGCAACCATGGTTATCACTTGACAGTGGGATTAAGAATGATCCCATTCTTAATGGCTTGATGCATTTTCTATTGTTTTTGTAATAAACGTGTATTGCTTTGATCATTGGAATACAATGTTCAAAAACACAGGCACCCGCTGGGCACTCCTCCCACCAGCACACTCTATTACAGATTCCTACAGGCAATGCTTCCCGCAAGTGGGGACCAGTCGGGCAGGGACTGCACCTGCCCCAACATCCCTGGCCTGGGTGGAGTGGGGTGGAGGCCCCACAGAGGGGTTTTTCTCCCACAGCGCCTGACTTTGGTCCCTGCAGGTGAAGGAGCTTGGCGCTGTCATCTATAACTGCAGCCACCTGGCCCAAGACCTGGAGAAGACCTTCCAGACCTACTGGGTACTGGGGGTGCCCAAGGCTGTCCTCCCCAAAACCTGGCCTCAGAACTTCTCATCTCACTTCAACCGTTTCCAGCCCTTCCACGGCCTCTTTGATGGGGTGCCCACCACTGCCTACTTCTCAGTAAGACGGGTTGAGAAGGAGCCCATCAGAGGCCCCTGTTCTCCCCTGGCTGGCCAGACCCACAGGGAGCCCTCTGGGCTGGCCCTGCAGACACCAGCAGCATCAGCTGGGTCCTCAGGCAGCCAGCACCATGGGTGGGGCTGTGGCCCTGGGGTGAGCAGCAAGCAGGCTGGCATCAGTAGGCTCTGGGCTGTGCCTGGAGGCAGGCTTAGCTCCAGGAGGACAGCTGGTCAGCACCATCCCTGGGAAACAGGCCGCCTGGGAGGTGGTGGGAGGACCTGGGGCCCTGGGAGTCTCCAGACTGCTGGGCGAGGCCAAGGGGCTTAGCTGGGCACTGGAGAGGGAGGGGAACCCCACTTGCTCTGCGGGGAAGGAAGGGAAGAGTGAGGGGTGGGCAGATCCTCCTTTATCAGCCCACGGGGGTGGGGGTGGACAGCCCTCCAGCCAGCCGAGGGACTGGTCTGTAGTAGAGGCTGTATCAGAACAAGGGAAGCCTCCCTAGATGGGGGTGGGGGTGGCACCCTGAAGGGAGTGGATAAACTTCCCTGTGGCCAGGAACTGTTTCTGGGACGTCAATCCAGCCTGGAGCCCAGGGCAGTCCAGCTGCTTCCCCACTCTCTCCGCCAGGCCTCAGAGCCAGTCCCCAGGACCCCTGTTGAGCCGACCCCTTCTTTCCTCATATTTCCAGGCACCTGGGCCCCCTCCCTCCACACCACATGGGGCCTCTTAGGTGGTGCATGGTGGGGTCACAAGTTCAGAATGGGCTGGGCTGGCAGAGCCTTCAGGGATTTCTCTCCCGTCACAGGCGTCGCCACCAGCACTCTGTCCCCAGGGCCGCACCCGGGACCTGGAGGCGCTGCTGGCGGTGATGGGGAGCGCCCAGGAGTTCATCTATGCCTCCGTGATGGAGTATTTCCCCACCACGCGCTTCAGCCACCCCCCGAGGTAGGTCTGAGTGGGAGGTGGGCGGCCTGCTCTGCTGACGGGCAGCTCCTGGGCACGTCCCCTCCTGCTGGGACCCCTATCGGGCCCGGCTTGTAAGCAGAGCCCCGTCCCTCCCCACCCCAAGGTACTGGCCGGTGCTGGACAACGCGCTGCGGGCGGCAGCCTTCGGCAAGGGCGTGCGCGTGCGCCTGCTGGTCGGCTGCGGACTCAACACGGACCCCACCATGTTCCCCTACCTGCGGTCCCTGCAGGCGCTCAGCAACCCCGCGGCCAACGTCTCTGTGGACGTGGTGAGGGCGTGCTCCCGGCCGGGCGTGGGAAAGGCGGCCCTCCTGCCGCCCTTCCTGACGCGCTGCCTCTGCTCCCCTAAGAAAGTCTTCATCGTGCCGGTGGGGAACCATTCCAACATCCCATTCAGCAGGGTGAACCACAGCAAGTTCATGGTCACGGAGAAGGCAGCCTACATAGGTGAGCGCGATCAGATCACGGCGGGCGGGCCCCAGGGTGGCCAGGCACGGGCGAGGGAGGCACTGGCTTTGTGACCGGCGTGGACACCTCAGGAGGGAGGGGCTGCTGCTGAAGGGGGACGGGGTCTCCATGGAGTTCCGGGGACCAGGCCACCCGCCTGTCACCTGGCCCCACAGGGCCCCAGAACACTGAGTCAGGACGCCTGTCCCCAAGTGATGAAGGTGGAGTTCTACCGCGACCAGCTGTCCCTCCCGCACCTAAGCGAGGGGCTTCCCCGGCTGGAGTCTGATGACAGTGGAGGGGCCAGCTGCCAACCGTCCCCAAACCCGTAGCCGGGCCTGGCGCTGAGCGGGCTGCAGAGGGGCCTGTGGGAGCCGGCGCCCCAGTGTCTCCTCCATCCTCCCCGCAGGCACCTCCAACTGGTCGGAGGATTACTTCAGCAGCACGGCGGGGGTGGGCTTGGTGGTCACCCAGAGCCCTGGCGCGCAGCCCGCGGGGGCCACGGTGCAGGAGCAGCTGCGGCAGCTCTTTGAGCGGGACTGGAGTTCGCGCTACGCCGTCGGCCTGGACGGACAGGCTCCGGGCCAGGACTGCGTTTGGCAGGGCTGAGGGGGGCCTCTTTTTCTCTCGGCGACCCCGCCCCGCACGCGCCCTCCCCTCTGACCCCGGCCTGGGCTTCAGCCGCTTCCTCCCGCAAGCAGCCCGGGTCCGCACTGCGCCAGGAGCCGCCTGCGACCGCCCGGGCGTCGCAAACCGCCCGCCTGCTCTCTGATTTCCGAGTCCAGCCCCCCCTGAGCCCCACCTCCTCCAGGGAGCCCTCCAGGAAGCCCCTTCCCTGACTCCTGGCCCACAGGCCAGGCCTAAAAAAAACTCGTGGCTTCCCGGTGCCTCTGTGTGAGTCCCGCGCGGGCGGCCCTTCATCCTCTTGCCAAGGGCCCGCCTCTATGCGCCCGCCCCTGCGAAACTGCGCCGCGCGACCGCCGTGGCAGCGCCTCAGCTAGCCCCGGGTCCGCGAGAACCTGGGGCGGGGCGGGGCGGGGACCAGACGGGCCTCCCAGGCGGAGCGAACCCTCCACCTCCCACCCCGCGCCGGGCTGCCGCGCTCCGGAACCCAAATTCCCGCCCCGAGGCTGCCGGGGGAAGCGAGAGGCGCGGAGCCCACGCCCGGGACTCCAGCGGAGGAAACGCAGACCAAGGCGCAGCGCCGCGCACCCACCGCCAGGGGGCAGCTCCTACGGCGCCGGACAGGGGCGGCGCGGGAGGGGAGCGGGGCTGAGGGGACCGGGAGGGCGGGAGGGGACCTGCGACTGAGGGGACAGGGAGGGCGGGAGGCGACCCGCGGCTGAGTGAGGGAAGGGCGGGAGGGGACCCGCGGCTGAGGGGACCGGGAGGGCGGGAGGCGACCCGCGGCTGAGTGAGGGGAGGGTGGGAGGGGACCCGCGGCTGAGGGGACAGGGAGGGCGGGAGGGGACCCGCGGCTGAGGGGACCGGGAGGGCGGGAGGCGACCCGGGGCTGAGTGAGGGGAGGGCGGGAGGGGAGCGGGGCTGAGGGGACCGGGAGGGCGGGAGGGGACCTGCGACTGAGGGGACGGGGAGGATGTGAGGCGATCCGGGGCTGAGTGAGGGGAGGGTGGGAGGGGACCCGCGGCTGAGGGGACGGGGAGGGCGGGAGGGGACCCGCGGCTGAGGGGACGGGGAGGGCGGGAGGCGACCCGGGGCTGAGGGGACGGGGAGGGCGGGAGGGGACCCGCGGCTGAGGGGACAGGTCCTGCGTGCGGGCTGGGGAGACAGGCGGGCGAGGGTAGGGGTGCACAAGGCTGTGTGGTTTGTGGGCTGTTGTGCAGGGTGGGTCCAAGCATGTGGGGGCAGGCTTGTCCTGGGGATGCAGTGCCCAGGGTTGGTGGATGGGGCTGAGAGGACCAGCATTTGAGCTGGAGGGCAGGAAGGTGACTCCAGTCTGAGACCAGGACTTGGATGCAGCTCCACTGGAACTCACCCTATCCTGGGAGCCACCTGGGCACCTGTCCTGCAGATGCAGGATTTGAACCCAGGTTTGGCAACTCAGTTCCCACTCTTCTGCTATGAATGCTGGGTCAGAAGGATTCTCAAAACACCCTGGCTTATCTCACCTGATGGTTCCTGACCAAGACCACAGGGTACCCTCCCCTGGTGGAGGTCCATGGGGCCATGCTAGGCTGGAGTTCAGGGATGGCTCAGCGGTATGAAGGAGCACTGGATGCTGAATGGACCCCAGGGTGCCCCGAATGCTCTCCCGGTCTTGAGGCACCACTTTCCTACCCTTCTCTACTTCTCTCCTTTTCCTACCCTTCTCTACTTTTTTCTTTCCTACATTTGTGTCCCTGCCACACTGTGAACTCAGCCATATCTTCCTCTTCCCTCTTTGCTTTGGGGAAAGCTAGCAAAGTTCATCTCAGGTACAGTACAAGTTACTTTTCTGTTCGATTAGTGACCTCATACTTCCCCCATCTAAAGGACACCTTAGACTTCAGCATTCTGTCTGTGCAGAAATCTCCTACACCCATCCTGCCTCCCTGCCCAAGCTTGTGAAAAGCTTGCTGCAGATGCTGCAGGGGGATAGGGATCCACATAGCCCTGCAAGGCCTTCAGGAGCTTCTGGGGGCTGCTTTGTGTGTGAGCTGCACTTGGCCAAGCCAAGCTCTGGCAGTTGCAGTGGCTGCTCCCTGTGGCTTCCTATCCCTCATTCATGCTCCATATCTCCTCAGTAACCATCTGGCAAAAAGCTTCGTGGCAACACCTGGCTCAGAAGCCGATATCATCCCAGACTAAGCTCTGCCCTCCAGGGTTGCACGTGTGGGTTTGCTCCCTGGTTCTTGGCCTTATACCTGAATGTGTCTCAGAGCACTTGGCCTGCTCTCTTGGCCTGCCAACTATGTTCTAGGAGGGCTCTGTGCTCCAGGCTGTGATTTGGACAACTGGCTGGTGGCCCTCAGCCAGTGAAAGGCCTCTTTCCACACACCTGGGGACTGGCAGTCACACCTCAGTGGCACTGACAGAGGCCTGCTTCAAGGCAGATGCCTATTCCAAAGGAAATCCAGCTTGACAAGGCTTGGGAGACCCCAGGAGGGTGCCACAATGTGGCCCCTTCTGGGCTATAGCAGACAGACTCTAGAATGGCTCCCTTGACCCCCACCTGCTGGTATGCATGCCCTTGTGTGATCTCACCTTGAGTGTGTGCAGGACCTGTGCCTTGTTGTAACCAATAGAATACAGAGGTAAGGGGATGTCACTCCTGTGACACCTTGTGATCATGTGACATAAGATTATAACATTATCAAGGAATAGCAGTCTATCCCTTGCTAGCTTTAAAAAGTGAGCTGCTAGGCTATGAGCTGTCCTATGAAGAGGCCCATGTAGCAGGGTACTGGGGTTGCCTCCAGCCCCCAACTAGCAAGAAACTGGGGCCCTCAATCATCCCATCCACAAGGAGTTGAGTGTGGCTAGCAACAACGTGAGCTTCAGAAGTGGCTGCTTTCCTGGTCATACCTGAAGGGGAGACCACAGCCCCAGCTGACATCTTGATTGTAGCCTAATGGGACCTTGAGCAGAGAACCCAACAAAGCCACACTTGGGCTCCTGATCCACAGAAACTGGGAGATCATAAATGTGTGTTGTTTTAAGTTGCTAATTTGTAGTGATGTTCTTATGCAGCATAGATAACTCATACACAGAGAACCAAGGCCACGCGAGAACCCTGTGGGGGCCCCTGCTGCTCAGCCACTCCTCACATGCTGGGACAGCTGTCTCTCTGGCCTCTAGCACCAAGGTCCCCACTATCCCAGGCCTTGACTCTTGGATCAGAGAGGGACAAAAGCCCCATGGAGCCAAGCAGACTCCTCCCCCTGGGCTGCACTCACCTAGCTTGTCTGGCACACACAAGTTGGAGTAGAGAAGGCAGGAAGCCCTGGGAAGGGAGAGGGTGATGGCCTTGCTTAACTGGGATGAGTGTCCACCAAATTTCCCTTCCCACTTCCCCTGCTCATGAGCCCCCAGGGGACCTGTGTCAGTTCACTTTCTAGAGGCTTCTATGTGCCCTAACTTGGATGACACCCACGGGCCTCCCCAACTCAGCACAGGGAACATATGCCCATGGTGGCATGGGGAAAGAACCCAGCCTCTCCCCTGCCCAGGCTCCTGCACCCCATAGCTGTCACCCCTCTGGAACCTCTCAGGGCAGCACGAGTGGTAGCCTCGGAGTGGCCTTCACCCTCCAGGCACTGCGGTCCTCCAGATTGGCTCACAGCCCAGCTCTTGCTCCCATATCCACAGCCATGAGAGCAGCCACCTCCCCAGGGGGCCATAAGCGCTTCTCACCAGGAGCCCACCTAGGCCAGGAGGGAGCTGGGGGCAAGTTCCAACTGCCCCCTTGAACACTGCATACCCATGAATCTGGCAGGGGCATCTGGGAAGAGATTTGACCACTGAAAGACTGTAGGGAAACCCTTGAACCTCAATCCGCTACGCCACGTGGATTTGCTTCCTGTGGGCTGCCCAAGAGCGCCTCTGTGGTGAAGGAAGCTTCTGAGGATGGGCCACTAAAGATGGCCAAGGTCACCTTTCTGTGCTGTCCCCACTCTGCACTCCATCTCCCATCCCACACTGCCTCCAGCTGGAGGGAGGGAGGGAGGGTTGTACGTCTGTGTCCCTGCCACACTGTGAACTCAGCCCTATCTTCCTTGTCTTCCTCACAGCCTCTGGCTCAGAGGAGGACCTGGACAAATGGATGATAGGTAGGCAACCACCCAAATGTTCCTCATTGACTGTTCTCTAGAGCTGCTTAGTAGAGACCAGGAGTGTGTGGGAGGAAAGCCCTGGTAAACTTCGACCCTGAGACAGAAGACCTCAGCAGCCTTCAGCATGGGATGCAGCACTTTCTTTATTGCCCATCCAGGGAACAGCCAAGCCAGCTCCATCTGCATTCTGGCTGCAGCGTGTACATTAGGGGACTCAGGGGCCACAGTGTGGGACCGTGCACACTGGCAAGGCACTGGCGGATGCTGGCAGGCCAGTGGACATGGATAGATGAGAATGACAACTCACAGATGTCCTAGCTTCTGCTGGCCCAGCTGCCAGCCACTGGCCATCACCCTTTTGCCCAGCATGTGTGCATTGTCACCCAAAACATCTTGAAACTTGCCATTAGTGAGGCATTCAACAAAGAAGTAAGCTAAGTGAGTAGGAAACAGTGTTTCCTGGAATATACCGCACTCTGCCTGAAATAGGAAAACTATGTTTGCCGGGAAGCAGCAGCAGCAGGAAAGAAGTTATACCAAAAACGACTTGTACACCACAGACATTATAACCCTTTCCTCAAAGAAACAGTCATGTTCTGTTGGGTATTATGGACAGGTCTCTGGAAATTTATCTAATAAAGACCAACAAACTTCCCCAGCAGTGCCTCTGAGTACCGTGTGAATTCTGGTGTCTTGTGGAAGTCAGGGTGCCTTCTTTGCATCCAAAGCTTTGAGGGAGCTGGGAAGCTTTGGTTCCATTTTAGGAGGGCTGTGTGATGGTGACAAAGGTGTTCTGGTCATTTCTGCTCTGTTCTCCGTTCTGTGAAGTGAGGTGGATGTAATGTGCTGTGGGATGGGGTGCTCCATATGTGTGTGTAGCCTTTACTTTCCAACTTAGTTTTTTGCATCTCTCTTGTACTGATGAGCCATACCTCTCAGCCTTCATTTGGTCCCAGGCCTGACCCTTTGCTTTCATCGTCAGCTTTTCTGTCCTGCTCGGGCAGGATTAACTCTGTTCTTGCCGCGGATGTCACCATCACTCTGGAGTCCAGCCCAGTGCCCACAGGCCCGATCAGTTCACCCTCTTCCTTCTCTTCAGGGGAGAAACTTTCTCGGGCATCAAAAAACGTGATTGTTTCTTCTTGAAGTTTTTGTTCTTCCAGCTCTGCCCCATCTTCGGTGCTTTTGCTTTTCTTGGTAGGAGATGAGGAGAACCCTAATTTGGGAAATCGGAACCAGCCTGCCTTCTCCTGTTTTTTAGGCAGTTCTGCCTCTGGTCGTGCCTCAGGCTGTGTTTGAATGGGAGCAGATCTCTGGACGTCATTTTTGGAATCAACACCTGTCTCATCAACAGAAGAGGAAAACCCAATGTTTGGAAGCCAAAACCAGAGCAGACCAGATTTTTTACTTTCTGGTTTGTCTTTTGGAGCCCTGCCTTCATCTGCCAGTGGTGTGGTTGCCTCTTGGCTATCATCAGGGGGAAACTCAAGAATTTCTGCTGGCTCCTCATCTGAACAGCTGTCTGCAAGCTGGTGGCCAGAAGGAACTTCAAATGTGAGTGTTTGCTGTCCCAGTACATTGACGCTGGAAGAGATCATCTCAAATGGTTCTCCAGTGTCAGGCTGGAGATCTCCAGAAATGGAGTCTACTCCTGGGGTGGCTTGTATGGGAGCCTCTTCTGTGCCCTCCTGAGTCCTAGAGTGTTGAGTCATTGTTGTGTACACTCTAGCCTGCGTGTGGGGCTCTGGGATTTTCACTTTTAATAAGGAAAATCCGTACGAAGGTGTTTGAATCTCTGACGTGGGGATCTCTGATTCCCGCACAATCTGAGTGGAAAAAGTCCTGGGTACTGAGAGATCTACAAACTCTGGTGTCACTATGCTGTGTATAGTGACCTCTTGACTTTCAACCTGAGCACCCTGAATATGCACTCTGACCTTTGAAATTGGGGGAGCTTCCAAAGGCAGGTTAAGGTCCACAGGCTGCTCCCCAGGGACCCCAGCACCTGCCTTCAGGATGCTGGCTCCCCAGAGCCCCGGACTTTCCTTACAAAGGGCTGTATCAATATTGGCCTCTGGACACTGCACTTCCCTCACAGTGGGGATGAACACATCATCCTCTGAGCTGGGGGCAGGGAAGGAGAACCTTGGTACCATTAATTTGGGGAATTTGACAGTTAGGACAGAATCTTCCCACAGTTGATCCACATTAACCACAGAAATCTGGGATGGCATATCAGTACTTGAAGCTTTCAATTTAAGTGGACCTTCAGGCTGGGAAGACCATTTCTCTGTTTTATCCTCCATGCTGGCAAGGTCATGTCCTGGCTTGGAAAGAGGAGTCTCATCTATTTCTCCTGGAAGAACCTGGGTTTCTGGAAGCCTCATGCCAGGCATCTGAAAAGGGAGAGGTCCTTTGGATGGATGGATCCTGACCTCAGAAGTGGAAAGCTCATCCCCAGTCATCCCAGCAGTGGAGAGGTGCAGCTTCAAGCCTGTGCTGTCAAGATCACACCTTAGAATATCTGTGGATGATTTGCTCTCAGAAGCTGTCACTTCTGCATCTGCCTCTGGGAGCTGTAGGGACATAGCTGCCTCCACGTTTGACCCAGAAACAAGGAACTCTTTGACTTTAGCTGCTGCTTCACCCCCTGTTGCTGCCGGTGCCTGTGTCTGAGCCACTTCCAGCTTTCCAGCCCCGCCTCTGTCCCTGAAAGAGCGCCTAAGGCTGGGCATGCGGAACTTGGGCATTTTAAACCAGCTTTCCTGCGAGTACTTGGTCATGGCTTCCTCCTCTGGGCTTTCCACTGTGAGGACTTCAGCATCTGGTTTTCTACAGGATGGCTGGAGGGGATCTTCAGGTGTGGGGGCTATCCCCTCCCCACAAGGCTGGCTCACTGGGACATCCCCGAGCCCACATCCTCTGCTGTCACCTTCGGTAGACAGATCATGTTTGGGAAGAGGCAGGTCAGCTTCAGGCTGGCTCACCTCCACCTTGGCCTTGGAGGATCTGAGATCAGGTTTGGCAAAGCCCAAACTGGGAATGTGGACCTGTGGCCGGTGGAGGTTCACACCCTCACTTCCTGTGGCACTTGCTGTTGCACCAAGTCCTCCCCTACCACCGTCACTGCTGGCCTTTTCTGTGTCTTGAAAGCTACCCCCTGCTGTGGCACTAGAAAGGGAAGGATCCACGTCTCTCTGTGGCAGGCTGACCCCACTCTTAGAAGCCTTCATTTTGGGAAGTGCAAGTTTTGGCATGGCAAAGCCAGGCTTTGTGCTCCTCCCCTTCTCTCCATCCCTCTCAGGAGGCAGATCCATGTGGATGGCAGACTGCGGGGCCACTTCATCCTTGTCTAAAACCAGGCTGAGTTTTGAGTCCTCCACGCTGCATTCTGGGTCCACCTTTGGCCCTGTTTCCTTCTTCGGGGACCACCTAAATGATGGAAGCTTAATCTTAGGCATTTTCAAGGGACTCCCTTTCCCTTCGTGGTCAGCATCTTCAGAAGGGGCTTCTCCAGGGGCCACTACTGATGTCTGCAAGGAGGCCACAAGCTCTTCTGGGCCCTGAGACACACAGGTGCCTGGGGATGGCAGCTGGGTGCTTGGCAAGGGGCACTGCACTCTTTCTCCAGGGCTAAGAGGAGACATGACTGGGGCACCCACTGCTGCATGTAGGTCTCCCTCAGGAACTGCCATTTGGGGGACTGAAAACACAAACTTTGGTTTATAGAATTTAGGAAAAGATACCTGACCAAGAGAAACAGGAATCATGGAATTCAGTGGGCCAGAGTGACTCTCAGCTTGAGATGTTGGAACTCCCTCTGGAGGCTGCAGGTCAGTGGAGCACTCTGTCTTGGGAAGAGGAATATCAGCCTGAGACCCAGAAGGAATTTCCAGAGCAAGCTCAGGGGCCAAGGCAGCTCTGGGAACAGTCACCTGGTATTTTGTAAGTGTAACATCCTCACAGGGAGAGAGAATAGAAGATTCAAAGTGAGGACCAGTGAGATCAAGCCGGGATGATGGAAACCCAGCAAAACCCACCTTAGGCATCTGCATGGATGGCTCTGAACAAGCCGAAACCTGTTGTAATTCAAAACTTGAGCATTCTGAAGATGATAAAGGAATCGTGGAAAGACCTATGCTAGACTTTGCACCTGGGACTAAACTATCTTTAGGAGTTTTGGTAGAAGAAAATGAAACTTTGGGCACTTTAAAATGCAGTTTCTTAAACTTCGAATCCATTCCAACTTCTCCAACAGCAAGCCCCAAGTTACCATCGCGAGATGGATCATGAAGATCACCTTCATGAACAACAGATTCCACAATGGGAAATGTGGAAGTCTTCTCATGGAATGTAACATTTCCTTCGATTTCAGAGGAAGACATGGAAACTTTCTTTGACGACCATTCAAAACCAGACGTGCTCAGTTTTGGTCCTTGAAACTTACTGTCTTTCCCAGCTACATCCTCGTGGGCCAGGGACAGGTCCCCCTCAAGCCGCGCACCATCCAGCATGGATCCTGGGGCCTGGACATCCGTCTCCACGCTGGGCAGAGACACCTCCACATCGGGGGCCATCACCTCTGCCTTTGGGCCTTTCAGGTCCAGCTTGGGGCCCTTGACGTCCACCTGGGGGCCCTTGAGGTCCACTTTGGGCATCTTGAAACTGGGCATCTCCACCTTGGGCAGGTGCCCTTTGAGGCCGGCTACCTCGGGCATGTGGCCTTCTGGAAGTTTCAAGTCCACCTGGCCAGCCTGGACCTCCAGGTCGGCGGAAGGGGCCTGAATGCGGAGGTCAGTGGTCTTGAGGTCCCCCTGCATGGAGGGAATGCTCATGTCGGCCTCCATCTTTGGCGCAGACACATCCACCGAGACCTCGATGGACTTGCCTGGGGACAACATCCCAAAGGATGGCATCTTGAACTTGGGCATTTTGAACTTGCTGTCTTTGGCAGTCACGTCCTTGTCAGCCAGGGACAGGTCCCCCTCCAGCCGCGTACTGTCCAGCTTGGCTCCTGGGGCTTGGATGTCCACCTCCATGCTGGGCAGAGACACGTCCAGGTTGGGGGACGTCACCTCCACCTTGGGGCCTTTCAGGTCCAGCTTGGGGACATTAACGTCTATCTGGGGACCCTTGAGGTCCACTTTGGGTACCTTGAAACTGGGCATCTGCAGCTTCGGCAGGTGCCCTTTGAGGCCGGCTCCCTCATGCACAGGGCCCTCTGGGAGTTTCACATCCTCTTGGCCAGCCTGGACCTCCAGATCAGCGGAAGGGGGCTGAATGCTGAGGTGAGTGGTCTTCAGGTCCCCCTGCATGGAGGGGAGGCTCACGTCAGCCTCCACCTTCAGCGCAGACACATCCAACGAGGCCTCGATGGACTTGCCTGGGGCAGACACCCCGAACGACGGCATCTTGAACTTGGGCATTTTGAACTTGCTGTCTTTGGCAGTCATGTCCTTGTCGGCTAGGGACAGGTCACCCTCCAGCCGCACACTGTCCAGCTTGGCTCCCGGGGCCTCGACGTCCACCTCCATGCTGGGCAGAGACACCTCCACGACGGGGGTCATCACATCCGCCTTGGGGCCTTTCAGGTCCAGCTTGGGGCCCTTGACATCCACCTGGGGGCCCTTGAGGGCCACTTTGGGCATCTTCAAACAGGGCATCTGCACCTTGGGGAGGTGCCCTTTGAGGCCGGCTCCCTTGGGCAGGGGGCCCTCCGGGAGTTTCACGTCCACTTGGCCAGCCTGGACCTCCAGGTCGGCGGAAGGGGACTGAATGCTGAGGTCAGTGGTCTTGAGGTCCCCCTGCATGGAGGGGAGGCTCACGTCGGCTTTCGCCTTCAGCTCAGACACATCCACGGACGCCTCCATGGACTTGCCTGGGGCCGACACCCCGAATGATGGCATCTTGAACTTGGGCATTTTGAACTTGCTGTCTTTGGCAGTCACATCCTTGTCGGCCAGGGACAGGTCCCCCTCCAGCTGCACACCATCCAGCTTTGCTCTCGGGGCCTGGACGTCCACCTCCATGCTGGACAGAGACATCTTCACATCAGGGGCTGTCACTTCCGCCTTGGGGCCTTTCAGGTCCAGCTTGGGGCCCTTAACATCTATCTGGGGGCCCTTGAGGTCCACTTTGGGCATCTTGAAACTGGGCATCTGCACCTTGGGCAGGTGCCCTTTGAGGCTGGCTCCCTCGGGCACGGGGCCCTCTGGGAGTTTCACGTCCACTTGGCCAGCCTGGACCTCCAGGTCAGCGGAAGGGGGCTGAACGCTGAGGTCAGTGGCCTTGAGGTCCCCCTGCATGGAAGGGAGGCTCACGTCGGCCTCCACCTTTGGCGCGGTCACATCCACTGATGCCTCCATGGACTTGCCTGGGGCAGACACCCCGAACGACGGCATCTTGAACTTGGGCATTTTGAACTTGCTGTCTTTGGCCGTCATGTCCTTGTCGGCCAGGGACAGGTCCCCCTCCAGCCGCGCACCATCCAGCTTGGCTCCTGGGGCCTCGACGTCCACCTCCACGCTGGGCAGAGAAACCTCCACATCAGGGGCTGTCACTTCCACCTTGGGGTCTTTTAGGTCCAGCTTGGGGCCCTTGATGTCTATTTCAGGGCCCTTGAGGTCGACTTTGGGCATCTTGAAACTGGGCATCTGCACCTTGGGCAGGTGTCCTTTGAGGCCGGCTTCCTCGGGCACGTGGCCCTCCAGGAGTTTCATGTCCACCTGGCGAGCTTGGACCGTCAGGTCGGCAGAATGGGGCTGAATGCTGAGGTCAGTGGTCTTGAGGTCCCCCTGCATGGAGGGGAGACTCACATCGGCCTCCACCTTGGGTGCAGACACGTGCACCGAGGCCTCAATGGACTTGCCTGGGGCAGACACCCCAAATGACGGCATCTTGAACTTGGGCATTTTGAATTTGCTGTCTTTGGCAGTCACATCCTTGTCGGCCAGGGACAGGTCCCCCTCCAGCTGTGCACTATCCAGTTTGGCTCTTGGGGCCTGGACGTCCACCTCCACGCTGGGCAGAGACACCTCCACATCAGGGGCTGTGACTTCCGCCTTGGAGACTTTTAGGTCCAGCTTGGGGCCCTTGATGTCCACCTGGGGGCCCTTGAGGTCCACTTTGGGCATCTTCAAACTGGGCATCTCCACCTTGGGCAGGTGCTCTTTGAGGCCGGCTCCCTCGGGCACCTGGCCCTCCGGGAGCTTCACATCCATCTGGCCAGCCTGGACCTTCAGGTCGGCAGAAGGGGGCTGAATGCTGAGGTCAGTGGTCTTCAGGTCCCCCTGCATGGAGGGGAGACTCACATCGGCTTCCACCTTGGGTGCAGACACATCCACCGAGGCCTCCATGGACTTCCCTGGGGCCGATACCCTGAATGACGGCATCTTGAATTTGGGCATTTTGAACTTGCTGTCTTTGGCAGTCACGTCCTTGTCAGCCAGGGACAGGTCTCCCTCCAGCCGCCCAGCATCCAGCTTGGCCTTCGGGGCCTGGACATCCACCTCCACGCTGGGCAGAGACACCTCGACATCGGGGACTCTCACTTCTGCCTTGGGGCCTTTCAGGTCCAGCTTGGGGCCCTTAACATCTATCTGGGGGCCCTTGAGGTCCACTTTGGGCGTCTTTAAACTGGGCATCTCCACTTTGGGCAGGTGCCCTTTGAGGCCGGCTCCCTCGGGCACGGGGCCCTCCAGGAGTTCCACATCCACTTGGACAGCCTGGACCTCCAGGTCAGCGGAAGGGGGCTGAATGCTGAGGTCAGTGGCCTTGAGGTCCCCCTGCATGGAGGAGAGGCTCACGTCGGCCTCCACCTTCGGCGCAGACACATCCAGCGAGGCCTCGATGGACCTGCCTGGGGCCGACACCCCGAAGGAGGGCATCTTGAACTTGGGCATTTTGAACTTGCTGTCTTTGGCAGTCACATCCTTTTCAGCCAGGGACAGGTCCCCCTCCAGCCGCGCACCATCCAGCTTGGCTCTCGGGGCCTGGACGTCCACCTCCACGCTGGGCAGAGACACCTCCACATCAGGGACTGTCACTTCCGCCTTGGGGACTTTTAGGTCCAGCTTGGGGCCCTTGATGTCCACCTGGGGGCTCTTGAGGTCCACTTTGGGCATCTTGAAACTGGGCATCTCCACCTTGGGCAGGTGCCCTTTGAGGCCAGCTCCCTCGGGCACGTGGCCCTCCGGGAGCTTCACGTCCACCTGGCCAGCCTGGACCTCCAGGTCCACAGAAGGGAGCTGAATGCTGAGGTCAGTGGTCTTGAGGTCCCCCTGCATGGAGGGGAGGCTCACGTCGGCCTCCGCCTTCGGCGCAGACACATCCACCGAGGCCTGGATGGACTTGCCTGGGGCAGACGCCCTGTACGACGGCATCTTGAATTTGGGCATTTTGAACTTGCTGTCTTTGGCAGTCACATCCTTGTCGGCCAGGGACAGGTCCCCCTCCAGCCGTGCACCATCCAACTTGGCTCCTGGGGCCTCGACGTCCACCTCCATGCTGGGCTGAGACACCTCCACGTCGGGGGCCGTCACATCCATCTTCGGGCCTTTCAGGTCCAGCTTGGGGCCCTTGATGTCTATCTGGGGGCCCTTGCGATCTACTTTGGGCATCTTGAAACTGGGCATCTGCAACTTGGGCAGGTGCCCTTTGAGGCCAGCTCCCTCGAGAACGTGGCCCTCTGGGAGCTTCACGTCCACCTGGCCAGCCTGGACCTCCAGTTGGGCAGAGGGGGGCTCAATGCTGATGTCAGTGTTCTTCAGGTCCCCCTGCATGGAGGGGAGGCTCAGGTCGGCCTCCACCTTTGGCGCAGACACATCCACCAAGACCTCAATGGACTTGCCTGGGGCAGACACCCCGAACGACGGCATCTTGAACTTGGGCATTTTGAACTTGCTGTCTTTGGCAGTCACATCCTTGTCGGCCAGGGACAGGTCCCCCTCCAGCCGTGCACCATCCAACTTGGCTCCTGGGGCCTCGACATCCACCTCCATGCCGGGCTGAGACACCTCCACGTCGGGGGCCGTCACGTCCGTCTTCGGGCCTTTCAGGTCCAGCTTGGGGCCCTTGACATCTATCTGGGGTCCCTTGCGATCTACTTTGGGCATCTTGAAACTGGGCATCTGCAACTTGGGCAGGTGCCCTTTGAGGCCAGCTCCCTCGGGAACGTGGCCCTCTGGGAGCTTCAGGTCCACCTGGCCAGCCTGGACCTCCAGTTGGGCAGAGGGGGGCTCAATGCTGATGTCAGTGGTCTTCAGGTCCCCCTGCATGGAGGGGAGGCTCACTTCGGCCTCCACCTTCGGCGCAGACACATCCACCGAGACCTCAATGGACTTGCCTGGGGCAGACACCCCGAACGACGGCATCTTGAACTTGGGCATTTTGAACTTGCTGTCTTTGGCAGTCACATCCTTGTCGGCCAGGGACAGGTCACCCTCCAGCCGTGCACCATCCAGCTTTGCTCTCGGGGCCTCGACGTCCACCTCCACGCTGGGCAGAGACACCTCCACGTCGGGGGCCGTCACCTCCGCCTTGGGGCCTTTCAGGTCCAGCTTGGGGCCCTTGACGTCTATCTGGGGGCCCTTGAGATCCACTTTGGGCATCTTGAAACTGGGCATCTGCACCTTGGGCAGGTGCCCTTTGAGGCCGGCTCCCTCGGGAACGTGGCCCTCTGGGAGTTTCACGTCCACCTGGCCAGCCTGGACCTCCAGTTGGGCGGAGGGGGGCTGAATGCGGATGTCAGTGGTCTTAAGATCCCCTTGCATGGAGGGGAAGCTCCCGTCAGCTTCCACCTTCAGCTCAGACACATCCACCGAGGCCTCGATGGACTTGCCTGGGGCCGACACCCCGAATGACGGCATCTTGAACTTGGGCATTTTGAACTTGCTGTCTTTGGCTGTCATGCCCTTGTCGGCCAGGGACAGGTCCCCCTCCAGCCGCGCACCATCCAGCTTTGCTCTCGGGGCCTGGACGTCCACCTCCATGCTGGACAGAGACATCTTCACATCGGGGGCTGTCACTTCCGCCTTGGGGCCTTTCAGGTCCACGTTGGGGCCCTTAACATCTATCTGGGGGCCCTTGAGGTCCACTTCAGGCATCTTGAAACTGGGCATCTGCAGCTTGGGCAGGTGCCCTTTGAGGCCGGCTCCCTCGGGAACGTGGCCCTCTGGGAGTTTCACATCCACCTGGCCAGCCTGGACCTCCAGTTGGGCAGAGGGGGGCTGAATGCTGATGTCAGTGGTCTTAAGGTCCCCTTGCATGGAGGGGAGGCTCATGTCGGCTTCCACCTTCAGCTCAGACACATCCACCAACGCCTCGATGGACTCGCCTGGGGCCGACACCCTGAATGATGGCATCTTGAACTTGGGCATTTTGAACTTGCTATCTTTGGCTGTCACACCCTTGTCGGCCAGGGACAGGTCCCCCTCCAGCCGCGCACCATCCAGCTTTGCTCTCGGGGCCTGGACGTCCACCTCCATGCTGGACAGAGACATCTCCACATCGGGGGCTGTCACTTCCGCCTTGGGGCCTTTCAGGTCCAGCTTGGGGCCCTTGACATCTAGCTGGGGGCCCTTGAGGTCCATTTCAGGCATCTTGAAACTGGGCATCTGCACCTTGGGCAGGTGCCCTTTGAGGCCGGCTCCCTCCGGCACAGGGCCCTCTGGGAGTTTCACGTCCACTTGGCCAGCCTGGACCTCCAGGTCAGCGGAAGGGGGCTGAATGCTGAGGTCAGTGGCCTTGAGGTCCCCCTGCATGGAGGAGAGGCTCCCGTCGGCCTCCACCTTCGGCGCAGACACATCCACCGAGGCCTCGATGGACTTGCCTGGGGCAGACACCCCGAATGACGGCATCTTGAACTTGGGAATTTTGAACCTGCTGTCTTTGGTAGTCACATCCTTGTCCGCCACAGACAGGTCCCCCTCCAGCCACGCACCATCCAGCTTGGCTCCCGGGGCCTCGACATCCACCTCCACGCTGGGCTGAGACACCTCCACGTCGGGGGCCATCACGTCCGTCTTGGGGCCTTTCAGGTCCAGCTTGGGGCCCTTGACATCTATCTGGGGGCCCTTGAGATCTACTTTGGGCATCTTGAAACTGGGCATCTGCAGCTTGGGCAGGTGCCCTTTGAGGCCGGCTCCCTCCGGCACGGGGCCCTCTGGGAGTTTCACATCCACTTGGCCAGCCTGGACCTCCAGGTCAGCGGAAGGGGGCTGAACGCTGAGGTCAGTGGTCTTGAGGTCCCCCTGCATGGAGGGGAGGCTCACGTCGGCCTCCACCTTCAACGCAGACACATCCGCTGAGGCCTCGATGGACTTGCCAAGGGCAGACACCCCAAACGACAGCATCTTGAACTTGGGCATTTTGAACTTGCTGTCTTTGGCAGTCACGTCCTTGTCGGCCAGGGACATGTCCCCCTCCAGCCGCGCACCATCCAGCTTGGCTCCTGGGGCCTTGACGTCCACCTCCACGCTGGGCAGAGACACCTCCACATCAGGGGCTGTCACTTCCACCTTGGGGTCTTTTAGGTCCAGCTTGGGGCCCTTGATGTCTATTTCGGGGCCCTTGAGGTCCACTTTGGGCACCTTGAAACTGGGCATCTGCAGCTTGGGCAGGTGCCCTTTGAGGCCGACTTCCTCGGGCACAGGGCCCTCCAGGAGTTTCACGTCCACCTGGCCAGCCTGGACCTTCACGTCGGCGGAAAGGGGCTGAATGCTGAGGTCAGTGGTCTTGAGGTCCCCCTGCATGGAGGGGAGACTCATGTCGGCCTCCACCTTGGGTGGAGACACATCCACCGAGGCCTCGATGGACTTGCCTGGGGCAGACACCCCAAACGACGGCATCTTGAACTTGGGCATTTTGAACTTGCTGTCTTTGGTAGTCAGGTCCTTGTTGGCCAGGGTCAGGTCCCCCTGCAGATGCGCACTATCCAGCTTGGCTCTTGGGGCCTGGACGTCCACCTCCATGCTGGGCAGAGACACCTCGACATCGGGGACTCTCATTTCCACCTTGGGGTCTTTTAGGTCCAGTTTGGGGCCCTTGATGTCCACCTGGGGGCCCTTGAGGTCCACTTTGGGCATCTTCAAACTGGGCATCTCCACCTTGGGCAGGTGCCCTTTGAGGCCAGCTCCCTCGGGCACGTGGCCCTCCGGGAGCTTCACATCCACCTGGCCAGTCTGGACCTTCAGGTCGGCAGAAGGGGGCTGAATGCTGAGGTCAGTGGTCTTCAGGTCCCCCTGCATGGAGGGGAGACTCACGTCGGCCTCCACCTTGGGTGCAGGCACATCCACCGAGGCCTCGATGGACCTCCCTGGGGCCGATACCCCGAACGACGGCATCTTGAATTTGGGCATTTTGAACTTGCTGTCTTTGGCAGTCATGTCCTTGTCGGCCAGGGACAGGTCTCCCTCCAGCCGCGCACCATCCAGCTTAGCCTTCTGGGCCTGGACATCCACCTCCATGCTGGGCAGAGACACCTCGACATCGGGGGCTGTCACTTCCGCCTTGGGGCCTTTCAGGTCCAGCTTGGCGCCCTTAACATCTGTCTGGGGGCCCTTGAGGTCCACTTTGGGCATCTTGAAACTGGGCATATCCACCTTGGGCAAGTGCCCTTTGAGGCCGGCTCCCTCGGGCACCTGGCCCTCCGGGAGCTTCATGTCCACTTGGCCAGCCTGGACCACCAGGTCTGCAGAAGGGAGCGGAATGCAGAGGTCCGTGGTCTTGAGGTCCCCCTGCATGGAGGGGAGGCTCACTTCGGCCTCCACCTTCGGCGCAGACACATCCACCGAGGCCTCGATGGACTTGCCTGGGGCAGACACCCCGAACGACGGCATCTTGAACTTGGGCATTTTGAACTTGCTGTCTTTGGCAGTCACATCCTTGTCGGCCAGGGACAGGTCACCCTCCAGCCGCACACTGTCCAGCTTGGCTCCTGGAGCCTCGACGTCCACCTCCACGCTGGGCAGAGACACCTCCACGTCGGGGGCCATCACCTCCGCCTTGGGGCCTTTCAGGTCCAGCTTGGGGCCCTTGACGTCCATCTGGGGGCCCTTGAGGGCCACTTTGGGCATCTTCAAACTGGGCATCTGCACCTTGGGGAGGTGCCCTTTGAAGCCGGCTCCCTCGGGAAGGGGGCCCTCCGGGAGTTTCACGTTCACTTGGCCAGCCTGGACCTCCAGGTCGGCGGAAGGGGACTGAATGCTGAGGTCAGTGGTCTTCAGGTCCCCCTGCATGGAGGGGAGGCTCACATCAGCTTCCACCTTCGGCTCAGACACATCCACCGAGGCCTCGATGGACTTGCCTGGGGCCGACACCCCAAATGATGGCATCTTGAACTTGGGCATTTTGAACTTGCTGTCTTTGGCAGTCACCGCCTTGTCGGCCAGGGACAGGTCCCCCTCCAGCTGCGCACCATCCAGCTTTGCTCTCGGGGCCTGGACGTCCACCTCCATGCTGGACAGAGACATCTTCACATCGGGGGCTGTCACTTCCACCTTGGGGCCTTTCAGGTCCAGCTTGGGGCCCTTAACATCTATCTGGGGCCCCTTGAGGTCCACTTTGGGCATCTTGAAACTGGGCATCTGCACTTTGGGCAGGTGCCCTTTGAGGCCGGCTCCCTCGGACACAGGGCCCTCTGGGAGTTTCACGTCCACTTGGCCAGCCTGGACCTCCAGGTCAGCAGAAGGGGGCTGTATGCTCAGGTCAGTGGCCTTGAGGTCCCCCTGCATGGAGGGGAGGCTCACGTCGGCCTCCACCTTCGGCGCAGACACATCCACTGAGGCCTCGATGGACTTGCCTGGGGCAGACACCCCGAACGACGGCATCTTGAACTTGGGCATTTTGAACTTGCTGTCTTTGGTAGTCAAGTCCTTGTCGGCCAGGGACATGTCCTCCTCCAGCCGTCCACCATCCAGCTTGGCTCCTGGGGCCTCGACATCCACCTCCACGCTGGGCAGAGAAACCTCCACATCAGGGGCTGTCACTTCCACCTTGGGGTCTTTTAGGTCCAGCTTGGGGCCCTTGATGTCTATTTCAGGGCCCTTGAGGTCCACTTTGGGCACCTTGAAACTGGGCATCTGCAGCTTGGGCAGGTGCCCTTTGAGGCCGGCTCCCTCGGGCACGGGGCCCTCTGGGAGTTTCACGTCCAATTGGCCAGCCTGGAGCTCCAGGTCAGTGGAAGGGGGCTGAATGCTGAGGTCAGTGGTCTTGAGGTCCCCCTGCATGGAGGGGAGGCTCATGTCGGCCTCCACCTTGGGTGCAGACAGGTCCACGGAGGCCTCAATGGACTTGCCTGGGGCAGACACCCCGAACGACGGCATCTTGAACTTGGGCATTTTGAACTTGCTGTCTTTGGCAGTCACGTCCTTGTCAGCCAGGGACAGGTCCCCGTCCAGCTGTGCGCCATCCAACTTGGCTCCCGGGGCCTGCATGTCCACCTCCACACTGGGCAGAGACACAGCCACTTCGTGGGCCGTCACCTCTGCCTTATGACCTTTCAGGTCCAGCTTGGGGCCCCTGACTTCCACCTGGGGGCCCTTGAGGTCCACTTTGGGCATCTTCAAACTAGGCATCTGCACCTTGGGCAGGTGCCCTTTGAAGCCGGCTCCCTCAGGCACGTGGCCCTCCAGGAGCTTCACGTCCACCTGGCCAGCGTGGACCTCCAGGTCAGCGGAAGGGGGCTGAATGCTGAGGTCAGTGGTCTTGAGGTCCCCCTGCATGGAGGGGAGACTCACGTCGGCCTCCACTTTGGGTGCAGACACATCCACCGAGGCCTCGATGGACTTGCCTGGGGCTGACGCCCCGAACGATGGCATCTTGAACTTGGGCATTTTGAACCTGCTGTCTTTGGCAGTCACATCCTTGTCGGCCAGGGACAGTTCCCCCTCCAGCCGCGCACTGTCCAGCTTGGCTCCCGGGGCCTCGACGTCCACCTCCACGCTGGGCAGAGACACCTCCACATCAGGGGCTGTGACTTCCGCCTTGGGGCTTTTCAGGTCCAGCTTGGGGCCCTTGACGTCCACCTGGGGGCCCTTGAGGGCCACTTTGGGCATCTTGAAACTGGGCATCTCCACCTTGGGCAAGTGCCCTTTAAGGCCAGCTCCCTCGGGCAGGTGGCCCTCCGGGAGCTTCACATCCACCTGGTCAGCCTGGACCTTCAGGTCAGTAGAAGCAGGCTGAATGCTGAGGTCAGTGGTCTTCAGGTCCCCCTGCATGGAGGGGAGACTCAGGTCGGCCTCCACCTTGGGTGCAGACACATCCACCAAGGCCTTGATGGACTTCCCTGGGGCCGATACCCCGAACGACGGCATCTTGAACTTGGGCATTTTGAACTTGCTGTCTTTGGCAGTCACGTCCTTGTCGGCCAGGGACAGGTCCCCCTCCAGCCACGCACCATCCAGCTTGGCCTTCTGGGCCTGGACATCCACCTCCATGCTGGGCAGAGACACCTCGCCATCGGGGGCTGTCACTTCCGCCTTGGGGCCTTTCAGGTCCAGCTTGGGGCCCTTAACATCTATCTGGGGGCCCTTGAGGTCCACTTTGGGCATCTTGAAACTGGGCATCTCCACTTTGGGCAGGTGCACTTTGGGGCCGGCTCCCTCGGGCACAGGGCCCTCCGGAAGTTTCACATCCACTTGGCCAGCCTGGACCTCCAGGTCAGCGGAAGGGGGCTGAATGCTGAGGTCAGTGGCCTTGAGGTCCCCCTGCATGGAGGAGAGGCTCACGTCGGCCTCCACCTTCGGCGCAGACACATCCACCGAGTCCTCCATGGACTTGCCTGGGGCCGACACCCCGAATGATGGCATCTTGAACTTGGGCATTTTGAACTTGCTGTCTTTGGCAGTCACCTCCTTGTCGGCCAGGGACAGGTCCCCCTCCAGCCGCGCACCATCCAGCTTTGCTCTCGGGGCCTGGACGTCCACCTCCATGCTGGACAGAGACATCTTCACATCGGGGGCTGTCACTTCCGCCTTGGGGCCTTTCAGGTCCAGCTTGGGGCCCTTGAGGTCCACTTTGGGCATCTTCAAACTGGGCCTCTGCACCTTGGGCAGGTGCCCTTTGAGGCTGGCTCCCTCGGGCAGGGGGCCCTCCGGAAGTTTCACATCCACTTGGCCATCCTGGACCTCCAGGTCAGCGGAAGGGGTCTGGACGCTGAGGTCAGTGGTCTTGAGGTCCCCCTGCATGGAGAGGAGGCTCACGTCGGCCTCCACCTTCGGCGCAGACACATCCACCGAGGCCTCCATGGACTTGCCTGGGGCTGACGCCCCGAACAATGGCATCTTGAACTTGGGCATTTTGAACTTGCTGTCTTTGGTGGCCACTTCCTTTTCTGTCAGAATTTGTTCCTTTTTTAAGCGTTTTTCATCGTGTATTAGTTGTATTTTTGTTGTGTTTGTCATTGAGTCACTGTCTTCTTTGTCTTTTAATCCTTCCTCTGTGCGTCTCTGTTCTCTTCTATCAGCTGTTGCTGTGGCCTCTCCTTCCCTTCCCTGCTCTGTGTCTTCTGTGGCTTTTTCTCTGCCTGTCTTTGTGTGCTTGCTTGGCGACCATCCTAAGGAGGGTATCTTGAACTTGGGCATTCTTATCTGTCCTTCTGTGTCTTCCCTGCCCTTGTCCTGTTCCTCAGTGATCCTTGTCCTCTGTAGTCCTTCCTCTCCATCTCCTTCATCCCCCTGTGCTTCTGCATGTGTGGTTGGTTCCCTGCCCGGCATCCACCCGGCTCCTTCCACCTCCTCACCCTTCAGGCCAGTACCCGCTTTTGAGGACGCATCCTGTCTCTTCCCTCGCTGTGGGGTACTAAGGCGCCTTTCTCTTTCTGGCTCTTTTTCTGTGGAAAATGCAAATTTTGGTGTCTTTAAATCGTGTACTCGCACCCTAATTTCTGGTGGGCCAATCTGTGTGCCTCCTTCGGTTGTGTCTCTCAAGGACAGTCTGGCGATCCCGATTTCCAGGCTCTGCAGTCCCTCGCCTTCACCCTCCCGGCTCATTCCAGGAGTTGGCTGGGCCCTGGGCTTCCTCTGGGCCACTGCTGTCTCCTGTGCCTGCCCCTCCAGGGTCTTTCCATGGAGCCTGGCTGCCCTGAGTCCCCCTTCCTGAGGGGTTCCCTCGCAAAGTCTAGGGTCACCGAGCTCTGTGGGCAATGGCATGCTCTGAGCAGGCATCACTTCTCGATCCTGTTCTGCCCTCTCCTCTCTCCTGCTGCCTGTGGCAGCCCCAGTCTCCTCGAGGCTATCACCCCAGGGCCCCAACTCTTCCAGGACCCCAGCACGGCCCACCCCACTCTGGAACCCCCTGCCTGGCTGTCCTGTCGATGAAGGGCCCTGTCCCGAGCCTGTCCTGAATCTGAGGTTGAGGAACTTCCGCCTCCTCTGGCTGCCCGGCCCTGCCTTCTGCTCTTGGCGCTCCACCGTGAGCTGGGCCTCTGTGTCTGTGCTTGTAGGGGACACGTCATGTGCGTCCCTAGGTTCGTAGGCCTCTGACGAGCTGTGTGACCTCTGGGGTCCCGGCCCCCGCTTGCTCTTTATGGATTGAAATTTTGGCCAAGAGAGCCTCTCCCTCTGGCTCTGCCTGCCTCTCCCCACCCTTGGTTTGGAGATGAGTCTCTCTTGGTCCCCATCTCCTTCCAGAGTTTTCGTGGGGGTCTCTCTGCACCCATCAGCAACATCCGTGTCCTGAAACATAGGGAGAGGGAATCTGTTGGTGCCAGTCCAAGAAGCCTGGGGCCCTGGCCCAGGGACAGATGGAGTGGGAGTGCTATCCCCTCCCAGGCTCAGCCAGCAGGGTAGTGAAGCCAGCTGGGGCCCTGCCCCCCGGGCATAGTGGTCTCACCTCCTTCTCCTTGCCCTGTGGGCCGTGCTGGGCATCGCTGGAAGCCCACTCTTCATCCTGTGGGGCAGGGAGCTGCCGTCTGATTTTGAACTGAACCTTGTACGGCTCTGAATATTGAAGGATTTTGAGAGCATCTTCATATTTTATGTTTTCAAAGAACACGGTTGTACTGAGCAGCTGATCCCCTAGACCAAGAAAGAGCAGCCCCAGGGCCGGGTGTGTGAATGAGACGGGGTCTGCTGTCTTGCCTTGGCTGGCGAGGAGGGTCCCGGGGACATGAATAGGGGGAATCCCACTGAGTCTGCCCCACCAGTCCCCCACTGAGTGCCTCAGGCACAGGCAAGGTGGATGGGGTCCCCCATTTTACTAGATGCAGTGGGTGATCCCAGCCTCAAGCTGTTGAGCAGAGGCGTGAGGAGGTCATCCTAAGCTCCAGGTGTGGTTCTTACCCCTCAATACCCCCCTCCAGGTCCCTCCCATCCTGGTGGGGAGAATGGTGACCCCAGGGATGGAACTGCCATGGCACCTTCTCTCAAGTTAAAAAGCTTGGCGGCTGAGGAGTCCTTCAGCACTTGCTTGACGAAGATCCCCTGGTCCCCACCACCTGTGACACTGTAGCCACTGGCTCCTGCCTCCACCTCTGTCTTCAGCGTCACCTCTGTTGCCTCCTGGACAGCCTGGAGCAGAAGCACATCAGGGCCATGGTGAGCATGTGCCAGTCCCACCATAAGCATCCCTGCTGGGGCCTGTGTCTCCAGAGGATGGGCACCCCACCATCCTTTCCATCAGCCCAGACAACACAGAGCAGAGTAGGGTACCCACCAGGTGGGCTCAGGTAGCTGTCTCTGAGCTCTGGAGGAAGCCAGCTGGAACCTGCCAGAACTCTTGTCCCCACCCCAACCTGCCAGGACTTAGGCACAGCCTGTCCATGCCACCAGGCCCAGCAGGGCACCAGGAGCAGCGCAGAACGGATTCTGCTTTCCCTGTGGCCAGTTTCTCTTTTTCAGCTCCTTCATGCATTCTTCACAAACGCGTGAAGCACCAGTTGTGTGCAAGGCACCTGATGCTCAAGACAAGGAAGCACAGCAATGCCAAGGAAAATACGGGACATTGGGTGCAGCCTGCGAGACCTGGGACAGGATGGGGCCTGTGTCCTGCAGAGCTCTTGGACTGCTGGGGCCTCCAAGGAAAAAAACTAGTTGCTTAAGAGGCAGAGTGCCCTCATCATTGGGTGCTAGCAGAGTCTAGCACCTTCCATAGTTCCATGGCCTGGGTGCTGACTGGCCTTTTCAGCCCCACAGCTTGAATATGCAACAGACACCAGCACTGCCCCATTGCACGGAGGAGAAAATCGAGGTCTGTACAGCCAGGTCTACCTGGCCAGGAGCTTGGCTATGCATCAGACTCCACCCCAGGGAGGGGTGGAGAGGGCCAGGACCAGATGTAGCCTTCTGGAGCCCCTGCCCTTCCCCAGGCCTGACAAGGGGGACAAGAACACCCCTCCTCCCCAGGGCACGGGGCACACTGCCAGCCTCTTTGCTCCTCCCCTGCCTGCTCTGACCTCGGACTCTCTGGCTGGATCCCTTGAGGACCGACACACCTCTGTGACCCTCAGCTCCTGCTGTACCCACCTCTGGACGACTCATCCTGAAAAATGTCCGTGAGTCCCCTGAATCTCGCTTCCACCAGGATCTCCGTCTCCCAGCAGAACCTTGCCTGCCGGGGGCGTCTTCCTGCAGCCACAAGTGTTGGGAGTTAGGCACCTGCCCCAGCTCAGGGACAGGGAGGGGCACAGGTAGGCTGGTGCCAGACCAGGAGCCCTCCCTTCAGAGGGGCCCAGAACTTCCAACACACAGCTGTGTGCAGAGGCAGCCGAGTTCCTCCAGGCACATCCACAGAGAAAAGGCAACTCTCGGCCTTCCTGCTTCCCGACAGGGCCCAGCCTACAGCCCACAGCACCCACCCTACAGCCCACAGCGCCCATAGGGAAGCCCCACAGCAACTGGAGTTTTGTATGGAGGGAGATAAGAAATTCAAATTGTACAAAAATGAATCCTTTCATAGACATGCCTCCTCTGATCCCTTCCCCGAGTCCTTGTCTCCAGAGGTAGCCATGGGGCCCTGTCCCCAAAGACAGCATGAGTGTGTTACACAGGTGCAGGGATGCACACACCCTGTGCCCCTGAAACACAAACACAGTAACATGAGGCCTGTCCCCATCAGCCCATACGCATGCTCACAAGAGCTGCAGGGCACCTCCATCCCACTGTGCCCTGGCCGGCCACAGGGAGGGACCCAAGGGCACAGAGGAGTCTGAGAGGACATCTGAGTGGGCACTGCCCAGTGGGCAGCGGGGCAGGGCAGCAAGGTTGAACAGACATGCGTGAGTTGCCCACACAGGGCGATGCAGGAGGAGACCTGGGTGCCTGTGGGGCTCTGCCCAGCAGGCTCACCTGGAGTCCAAAGTCGGCAGCCTCAGTCGTGTATTCGTAGACAGGTGAAGACCCCTGCGGCCGTGGTCGAATGCCCTCATCCGCAGGCCCTTCAGTCACCTGACGGGAGAGAATCCAGTTATTTTTGCCACTCGGTTCTCCCAGGGCCCAGGGAGAATGGGGGCAGGGTATGAGGAGGACACACTTCCTCCTGCTCTCACTTACAGAGTGGTCATCTTCCGTTTCTGCACCTGGCTCCCCGGGCTGCAGCTGACGGCCGGACACTGCAGAGAGAGTGGCTGTCAGTGGAGACAAGCAGGCTGGGGGAGCAGATCGGGGCCCGGGGGAGGGAGCCAGGACTGTATGTACACTGTGGAGGTGTCATAGTCCTTTCCTGGACACTGGATCGGAGAGCAAACTCAGGGGCTGGGGGAAGATCTATAGCCAATGGGCTGGAGAGGCTGAGGCATCACGTCAGGTAGCAGTGAATTGAGACTGGACTTATTCCAAGTTGGAACAGATTTAGTCCAAGAAAGTGACTAAACAAACACAAGGCGTTTGTTATTGTATAACCACACCCTGGGAGGATCAGAATCCAGAGCTGCCAGAATATATTATCTAAAATGTCCAGCAGCCACCAAAAAATTACAAGTTACGCGAAGAAACAAGAATGTATGGTCCATACTGAGAAACAAAGCAGTGAATGGAAAGTGTCTCTAAATGTCTACTAATGCTGGGTTTAATACAGACTTCAAAGAAACTATTAAAAGTTTGTTCAGGCCGGGCACGGTGGCTCATGCCTGTAATCCCAGGACTTTGGGAGGCTGAGGCGGGTGGATCACCTGAGGTTGGGAGTTCGAGACCAGCCTCACCAACATGGAGAAACCCCATCTCTACTAAAAATACAAAATTAGCCAGGCATGGTGGCACATGCCTGTAATCCCAGCTACTCAGGAGGCTGAGGTAGGAGAATCACTTGAACCTGGGAGGCGGAGGTTGTGGTGAGCCGAGATTGTGCCATTGTACTCCAGCCTGGGCAACAAGAGTGAAACTCCGTCTCAAAAAGAAAAAAAAAAGTTTGTTCAAAACACAAAAACAAATCATGTTTAAAAAATTAATGGAAAATATGTTAACAATGGCTCAATGAAGAGAGAATCTCATAAAGAAATAAAACTTATTTTTTAAAAGCAAGCAAAAATTCTGGAGTTGAAAATTTACTACTGGGGTTCACCAACAGATTTGAGATACCAGAAGAATTATCAACTTGTAGATTAATATAAATTAACCAATTTGAAGAACGGGGTCAGGGGGAAGATTGTTTGAAGAAAAACAGAGTCTCAGAGCATTAACCATAAGATAAAGAGGCAGAAGAGAGAGTTGAAGAAGTGATAGCTGAAAACAATCTGCAGAATCCAAGAAGCGCGACCAGACCTAAGCAGGAGAAACACAGAGATCCACACCTAGAAACGTCACAGTCAAAATGCTTAAGAGAAAGGGCCCCATCACATAATAAGGGCACAAAAATACAACTAACACCTGAATCACATCAAAACCATAGAAGCTACGAGAAAGTGGAACAATATATTCAAAGGGCTGAAAGAAACTGTTGTCAACGAAGAATTTGATATCAAGCAACCTATCCTTCCAAAAATAAAGGCAAAATAGTCTGGGCATGCTGGCTTATGCCTGTAATCCCAGCACTTTGGGAGGCTGAAGTGCGAGGATTGCTTGAGCCCAGAAACTCAAGGCCAGCCTGAGCAATATAGTAAGATCTCATCTCTACAAAAAAAAATTTTTTTTTTGAGACGGAGTCTCACTCTGTCACCCAGGATGAAGTGCAGTGGCACGATCTTGGTTCACTGCAACCTCCGCCTCCCAGGTTCAAGTGATTCTTCTGCCTCAGCCTCCCGAGTAGCTGGGACTACAGACACGCGCTACCATGCCCAGCTAATTTTCGTACGTTTAGGAGAGACGGGTTTCACCATGTCGGCCAGGCTGGTCTTGAACTCTTGACCTCGTGATCCGCCTGCCTCAGCCTCCCAAAGTGCTGGGATTACAGGCATGAGCTGCCGTGTCCGGCCCAAAAATTTTTTTAAAAATTAGCGGGGCATGGTGGTGCATGCCTATAGTCCCAGCTGCTCAGGAGGCTGAGGCGGGAGGATAGCTTAAGCCTGAGAGGTTGAGGCTGCAGTGAGCTGTGATTGCACCACTTCACTCTAGTCAGGCAGAGCAAGACTCTGTCTCAAAAAAATAAAAATTTAAATTTTAAAAAAAGGAAAAATAAAGGCATTCCCAAATGAACAAAGACTTGGAAATGTCATTGCTAGCAAATCTGCCTTACAAGATATACTAAAGAAGTCCTTCGGACTGAAAGGAACTAATACCAGACACTAAGTCAAATGCACAGGAAGAAATGGAGAATGCAGAAAATGGTAACTATGCAGGCAAATATAAAAGACTCTATGAATATATATTGTCCTCATTTTATTTCTTAACTTCTTTCAAAAACAGAGGATTGTATAAAGCAAGGATTGACAAACTTTTCTTGAAAAAGGCAATATAGTGGATATTTTAAGCTTACCAGGCCACATGATCTCTGTTGCAACTCTGCAGCCATAGTACAAAAGCAGCTATAGATTATAGATAATATGTAAATAAATGAGCAAAACTGTTTCAACAAAACTTTACTTGTAAAACAAAAAGGAGGCTGGATTTAGAAGACAGACAATCATCTGTGAACCACTTATATAAGGCAACAATTCTAACACCATATTGTTAGGATTATAACATATATAGATACAGTATATACGTGACAATAATAGCAAAAAGGAGTAGGAGGAGAGGGTATACAGTCAGCCTCTCATATCAGTGGTTTCTGTATCCTGAGTTCAATGAAACTTGGGTCAAAAATGTTCTCCCAAAAATTGCACCTGTACTGAACACGTGTAGACTTTTTTTCTTGTCATTATTCCCTAAACAATATAGTATACCAGCTATTTACATAGCATTTACATTGCATTAGGTATTATAAGTAATCTAGAGATGATTTAAAGTATAGGGGAGGGAAGATGTATGTAGGTTATTTGCAAATACTACATTGCTTTATAGAAGGGACTTGAGCATCCATGAATTTTGGTATCTGAGGGAGGTCCTAGAAGCAATCCCTCATGGATGCTGAGGCACAAGTGTACCCTGGACCAAAGTTTCTATAATTTACCAGAATTAAGCTGGCATTGCCTGGGGCTGGGAGTGGGAAGGGAGATTGATTGTAAATGGGGTTGAGAAAATTTGGAAGGTGATGGAGGTCTTCCAGAACTGGATTGTGGTAATGTTTGCACAACTCTATAAGGTTAGTAAAATGATTGAATTGTACATTTACAATGGGTGAGTTCTATGGTTTATAAACTGTACCTCAATGAAACTGTAAAAGAAAAAGGTAATTAACTGTATAAAACAAAAATAAGTCAGCACGGTGGCTCACACCTGTAATCCCAGCACTTTGGGAGGCCAAGGAGGGCAGATCACTTGAGGCCAGGAGTTTGAGACCAGCCTGGCCAACATGGTGAAACCCCTCTCTACTAAAAATACAAACATTAGCTGGGCAGGGTGGTGCACGTCTGTAATCCCAGCTACTCAAGAAGCAGAGGCAGGAGAATCACTTGAACCCAGGAGGTGGAGGTTGCAGTGAGCTGAGATTGTTCCACTGCACTCCAGCCTTGGTAACAGACCAAGACTCTGTCTCCAAAAAAAAAAACAAATAAAATAAAATGTATCTTAGAATTTTACAAATATAGAAGTAAAGCATATGACAGGATGGGGATGGAGTGCAAAAGTTGCTGTTGTGGGCCGGGCACGGTGGCTCACGCCTGTAATCCCAGCACTTTGGGAGGCCGAGGCGGGCGGATCACGAGGTCAGGAGATCAAAACCATCCTGGCTAACACAGTGAAACCCCGTCTCTACTAAAAATACAAAAAAATAGCCGGGCGAGGTGGCGGGCGCCTGTAGTCCCAGCTACTCGGGAGGCTGAGGCAGGAGAATGGCGTGAACCCCGGGGGGCGGAGCCTGCAGTGAGCCGAGATCGCGTCACTGCACTCCAGCCTGGGTGACAGCGAGACCCCATCTTAAAAAAAAAAAAAAAGTTGCTGTTGTGAAGATCTTACATTATACTTAAAGTAGGACAATCTTACTTGAAATTATACTGTAATAAGTTAAATATTCAGGGTATAAAGCATAATGCAACCATTAAAAAAATAAAAAGATGTATAGGTAATAAGCCAATAGTGGAACCAAAATGGAATGCTAGGCTGGGCACAGTGGCTTGTGCCGTAATCCCAGCACTTTAGGAGACCGAGGCAGGAGGAACACTTGAGGCCAGGAGTTTGAGACTAGCCTGGGCAACACAGTGAGACCTCATCTTTAGAAAATATTTAAAAATTAGCCATGCATGGTGGCGCACATCTGTATTCCCAGCTACTCGGGAGGCTGAGGTGGGAGGATCACTTGAGCCCAGGAGGTTAAAGCTGCAGTGAGCCAAGCTCATGCCACTGCACTCCAGCCGGGGCAGCAAAGCAAGACCCTGTCTCAAAAAACAAACAAACCAAAAAACACCTAGATCTCCTTTTTGAAACACTGCAGTAAAAACTGGCAAAACTGAAAGGAGAAATAAATCCACAATTATTATACAATAGGAGATTCTAACACTCTTAGGAAATGATAACCTTACAAAGTAGAATAGGGGAAGATACAAAACACTTGAAGTACCCATCAACCAACGAGACCAAACTGGCACTGGGAGAACACTCCTGACAGCAGCCGGTGCATGCTGCTCTCAGGTGCACAGGGGACAGTCACTGAGACAGGCCCCATGCTGGCTCAGAAACCTGTCTTGACGAATTTAAAATAACTTCAGTCATCCGAGTTCTCTTCTCTGACCCCCAGTGGAATCAAGACAGTGCGGCAGAAACACAAATCAGTGAACAGAAAACAAAGTCCAGAACAGCCCCACACTTACATGGCCAATTCATTCTTGTTTGTTGGTTGGTTGGTTTTGTTTTGAGACAGGGTCTCACTCTGTCGCTCAGGCTGGAATGCAGTGGCACAATCTCAGCTCACAGCAACTTCTGCCTCCTGGGTTCAAGCGTTTCTGGTGCCTCATCCTCCCAAGTAGCTGGGATTACAGGCATGCGCCATCATGCCTCACTAATTTTTTTTTTTTTTGGTACTTTTAGTAGAGATGGGGTTTCACCATGTTGCCCAGGCTGGTCTTGAACTCCTGGCCTCAAGTGATCCACCTGCCTTGGCCTCCCAAAGTACAGGCGTGAGCCACCATGCCCGGCCAAATTCTTGTCAAAGCAGCCCAGTTATTCCAACAGAAAGCAAAGTCTTTTCACCGAATGGTCCTGGAACAGCTGGGTATTTACTGGGAAACCAATAAACCTGGACCCTTCCATCCCATCACTCATGAAAATGAATTTGAAATGAATCATAGAGGGGAATGTAAAACCAAAAACTATAAAACTTCTAGAAGAAAATATAGGAGAACTTCTTTAACACCTCGAGGGCAGCAAAGTTTTCTTAGGATACAGAAGGTAAGGATCATAGAACGAAAACTGATAAATTTAAGTTCTCATAATTTAAAACACTGGCCTTAAGAGCTTTCATTTTCCTCAGAAAACGAAAAGGCAGTGAATGTATCTGGCAAAGGACTTGCATGGAGCCTGTGTACAACTCAACGGAAGAGAAAAAGCTCAGCTAAAAATAGGCAGCAGATTTGAACAGACATTTCACAAAAGAAGATGTACGAGTGTTCAATAAGTACAAGGAAAGATGCTCAACATTTTCAGTCATCAGGAAAATGCAAATCAAGACCAATGGAACAGAACAGAGATCCCAGAAACAGACACACGTACACAAAGCTGTGATGATCTGTTCAACACATGGCCTGGGATCCATGGGATATCCATATGGAAAAACATTAATCTTCGCCCCACCTCAGCCAGAGAAAATTAATTTCATGTGGATTACAGATCCAAAATTAAAGGCTTAACAATAAAATTTCTAGAAAATAAATAGAAATTACTTTTGGAGTAGGGGAAAAATTCTTAAACAGAACACACAAAAAATGACAGATATTGGTCTATATTAAAATTAAGAGCTTCTGGCCAGGCGCGGTGGCTCACGCCTGTAATCCCAACACTTTGGGAGGCCGAGGCGGGCGGATCACGAGGTCAGGAGATCGAGACCATCCTGGCTAACACGGTGAAACCCTGTCTCTTCTAAAAATACAAAAAATTAGCCGGGTGTGGTGGCGGGTGCCTGTAGTCCCAGCTACTCGGGAGGCTGAGGCAGGAGAATGGCGTGAACCCGGGAGGCGGAGCTTGCAGTGAGCTGAGATTGCGCCACTGCACTCCAGCCTGGGCCACACAGCGAGACTCCGTCTAAAAAAAAAAAAGAAAAAAAAAAGAGAGAGAGAGAAAAGAATTAAGAGCTTCTGTTCATCAAAAAACACCACTAAGGGCATGAAATGTAAATTAGTATAGCCATGATAGAAAACACTATGGATGGTTCCTCAAAAAATTAAAAATAGAACTACCATTTGATCCAGCAGTCCCACTACTGGGTATATATCCAAAGGAAATGAAATCGATAAATTGCAGCTATCTTTGCCCAAAACACAGATTGGGCAAAGATACCTGCAATACATTTACCAAGCAAAGGCCTCCAACCCAGAATGCACAAAGAATTCTTGCAAACCAAAAGACAAACAACCCGATAGAAATATGGGCAAGAAAACACTGGAAAGGTAGCTCATAGAAGAGGATATTCAACCAGCCGATTAGTATATGGAAAGATGGCCAGCATTTCTAGTCATCTGGGCAATGCTAACAAAACCACGAGGTGCCATATGCTCCCAGGAGAATGGCTGAAATGGAAAAGTCGAGGCAGACCACCTGGAGACAAGGCCTAGGGCAGCTGGAACTCCATCCTGGTGTGGGTTGGGGGTCAGCTGGCGCAACCACTTGGAAACAGCCTGGTAGAGCCTTACCCTGTGGCCCAGCAACTCATAGCCAGGGGCAGAGCCAAGAAATATGCGCACATATGTCCCTCAAAAGATGGATGCAGGAACATCCATCTCAGTATAATCTGCAGCACCCAGAAACCAGAGATTCAAATGTCCATCAACAGTAGAATAAAAAAAAATGCGAGGTATTTGTCCAATGGAACAGTATATGGTATAAACTATGCCTATGTGCAACGTGGATGAAGTTCACAAACACAAGGTTGAGACACAGAAGCTAGATATAAAAAGCGCTCGTACCGGGGGAGCCCGTCACATCCAGCTCACAGTCAGGCTCAGGCCACCTAGGGCTGAAGTCACCAGGGGGAGCAGGCAGACAGGGTCTCCTGGAGAGGACTAATTACTTGGGTGTGCCATGGTTTGTACCCTTTCTCCATAAAAAATTTTAGAATTCTATATAAAATCAAACACAATTATAAACTTTACACTAATAAATCTGAAAATTTCGATTGATTGGATATATTCCTAGAAAACCCACAAGAAGAACCAAACTTGTCCAACCCACGGCCCACAGGCCGCATGTGGCCCAGAACAGCTTTGAATACGGCTTAACACAAATTCATAAACTTCCTAAAACTTTATTACACTCTTTTGCAATTGTTTCTTTTAGCTCATCAGCTATCATTAGTGTAGTTTATGTGTGACCCAAGACAATTCTTCTTCTTCCAATGTAGCCCAGGGAAGCCAAAAGATAGGACGGACGCCCCGATGGATAATCCAAGTATTTTTGTAACGATTTAAAAATCAACATGGTGAAACCCCATCTCTACTAAAAATACAAAAATTAGCTGGGCATGGTGGCAGGCGCCTGTAATCCCAGCTACTAGGAAGACTGAGGCAGGAGAATCACTTGAACCCAGAAGGCAGAGGTTGCAGTGAGCCAAGATCATGCCATTGCACTCCAGCCTCAGCAACAAAAGCAAAACTCTGTCTCAAAAAAAAAAAAAAAAAAAAGAAAAGAAAAGAAAAGAAAAAATCAAATCCCTTATTTAAAACCGTCCCACAAAAAGGACTCCAGTCTCAACCCCACTCTGAATTATACTCTAAATATTCCAAGAAGAAACAGTACCAATCTTACGCCAACTCTGGCGCCCTGGCCTGGGCTCCAGGGCCTCCCTCCTGCAGTGACAAGGAGGGTCTCAGAACTAAGGCCCCCATCCCTGCCCCAGACCCAGTTGCTGGTAGGACACTGATTGGGAAGGAGCATGTCCCTATCCTTTGGGGTGGTGTGCTGGCCTCGGGGACCAGCTGCTCCCTGTCCCCTGCGGTAGGTGTCCTGGCCTTGGGGACTGTCCCACGAAGACAGATGGGGAGGCCCAGTCCCGGCAGTGGTCTAGGTCTGGCTGCTCCTCTGGCCAGTGTGCTGTGTGGCCCTGAGCAAGCTCATCCCCTCTCTGAGCTTTCATTCCCTCATGGATATGTGGACCACCCTGCCTGCCCTGACTGTGGGTTGCTGGGCTACAGACACTGCTCCCGCAGAGGCACCCCCAGGGCCATGCCTGCTCATCCCAAGAGCACCTCTGCCTGCGCGGGCCCCTGCCACTCCCTCACCGCTTCACGGGCCTTTCCTTGCCCTTCTGCAAGATGGCTCACAGCCCAGGTCCCCTCTGGCTCTGCTCTCAGGCCTGGCAGGGCTGGAGGATGGTGTCTCCTGGAGGAGGTTCTCTCAAGCGAAGGAAGAGAAGGGCAGGAGGTGAGGGCAGGCAGGGCTGGGTCAGTGCCAGGAGGCATCAACACTCACCCCCACGTCATCCCGGCCCCGCCACCTTCCTACTGCTCCGGGGGCCAGGCCCAGACCCCTGGCCTCCATAACCCCCCAGCAGAGCCACAACCTCCGTTTCCCCCACCTGCCAAACCAGCCTTGCCCACGGTGTCAGCCCAAGAATTGTACCCCTGGCAACCCCACAACACGATCTCCTCCACAGGCCCCTTCTCCCTAACCAGGCAGTGAAGGGGCAAGACCCTGTCTCCCTTCTGCACAGCTCTGTCCTGGCCACCTGGGCCCATCTCACTCACCTTTGCATTCAGACACTGCCCCACCACCTGACAGGGCCCCTGCTGCTCCCACCTGGACGCACCCCCAACCTGCACAGACAGAACTTGGCCAGCCCCACCGCTCTGCCTCCCAGATGGCTGCCAAACCCTCCACTCCTTGCCCACCTGCCCCCTCCCACTCCCTCCACGTGGCCCTGCCAGGGCTCCCCAGTGCACCCCACAACCCTGAGGGACCACCAGCTGGGGCCACCCCAGCCCCTCTGGAGCTGCCTGGAGCTCCAGCCACACCAGACCCACAACAAATTCGTGGGACGGGGTGGTGCCAAGGAAAGGGACAGGAATCTGGCCAGAGCCTGCCCACCGCTAAGCCAAGGGCAATGGCAGGTAAGCCACTCTCTGGCCTCAGTTTCCCTTCCTGCTCTGCCCAGACCCTGCCGCTCAATCCCCAAGGTGGGTAACATATGTGAAAACTGAGGCTGGGGGAGGGGAGCCACTTACCCAAGGGGACCCAGCCAGTAGGTGTGGAGCTGGGGCAACTACCTAGCAGGGCTGGGGGCAGAGGAGGGTCCCTGGGTCACTTGGCCCACAGCTGCTCCCCTGGCAGCAGGTGCAGCTGGGGTCATGAGTGGGGAGGGGCTCCACTGCCTCGGAGACCGGGTGTCCCAGGCCCTGCCTAGCACTCAGGGTGGGGCAGGTGTTCTGAGGCTGCCCAGAAACCCAGCCGCCTCCCCGTCCCTCCGCAGCCTCCCCAGCCAAAAAGCCCCACCCAGCTGGCAGGAGCCTGGATGGGTTGGGGGTGGGGGGCAGCTGCTGTGAGGCCCAAGAAAGGGTCAGGAGGGCAACTCCTCGGAGAAGGGACTCGCCAGGCAGGGAAACACAGGTCTGCTGGGCTGGGGGTGGGCACCACGGTCAAGGGCCCCTGAGCTGGGCACAGCCGGCTGCACTCCCAAATCTCTCCAGGGTAGTCTTGTGGGTGTTGGGGCCGGTGAGGGAGGGTGTCGACAGCAAGCCCTGGGCACACCCTGTGCTGGGAACCTGCATGGGGGAAGGAGGAGGAGACGTGACCAGCCCTGCTCCTGCTGGCCCTCGTGCCTGGTCCTGCCACTGGCCCACGCGGGACAGTCCCCAGCCCCACCCTCAGCCACCGCACTGGGAGCGGCTGTTCCTACACTGCCTGTAGTGGGGATGGAGTGCAGAGGCTCAGCGAGCGGCAGACCTGCCTCTGGCCACAGAGCTGCGCAGTGGGGACCCCTCCAGTCACTGGGCTGGCAGGAGCCTGGCCCAGGAACACAAACAGGAAGGGGGAAATCCTGCCCGCCTCGGGATAAGGCTGCGCAGCCAGGCTACCGGCCTCGGACCCGCGCCAGTCGGGAGAGAGAGGAAGGCCCCCAGTATCCCAGTCCCCCGCCAAGAGCACCGCCTCCCAGGCCCGAGCTCCTGAGGAAGCCCCGCCTCGGCCGCAGAGCGCAGGGGAGGCCGCCTTTGCCCGCCCGGCCTCCGGTTCTCCCAGACAGGCTCTGCAAGTGGCCCCATCACCTGAATCATGACACTGTTTGTTGACGGTCACCAAAGCCCCACTTCACAGAGGAGAATGTGGAGGTGACTCGCCTGAGCCAGGCCCAGCTGGTCAGGCCGTTGGCACCTGGTTCCTTCCCCAATGCCCTTCCCCCACTCCCCGGGCCCCCCAGCGCCCTGGCCTCAACACTACCATTAACATTCCTGCGGGTGAAAACTTGAACCTTGTGGAGGGACCCCGGGACCCAGGTCAGTCCCTTGCATGCCAGGGCAGGTGGGGGTGGTACCACAGTGAAAGCCGCAGAGGACACCCACCCTGGCCCAGAAAAGCTGCCTCCCCGAGAACTGGACTATCCTGGCGCAGGGCCTGAGCAGGCGGGGCCTCAGGCAGTGTGTCTGGGGGACGAGCAGATCCTGGCCGGGAGGCGGGGAGGGGCCGAGCGGGAGGGGAGAAGGAACACAGGCGGGGAGTGTGGCAGAGGCTCACCAACACCCCTGCTCCACAGCTGGGTCCAGATTGAGGACTCCCACCAGCCACCAGCTAAATGAGAGTTCTTGGAGGGTCCAGAACAGGTCCGTGGGGGGAGGAGGTGGATTTTGCTTAAACAAAATCCAAGTTTGCCTCTAAACTGGCAGCCCCAGGGCCCCATCTCTGGCCTCCAGGTGGGAGGGCATGGTTGGGTGCATTTGCAAGTCCCCAGGGCCCTGGGGGCTGGCAGGGAGGAGACTGGCTCTCCAGTGGCCGGAAAAGTCCATCCTGGGTGGGAGGAACGAATGGCCCACTCCAGGTTTGCAGGTGTGTGTGCACACGTGTGTGCTCACAGGATGTACGTGCTCAGGTGCTAGGGCGTGTGTGCACTTGTGTGTCTGGCCTGGGCTCCTCCCTCTGAACACCCATGGACAGCCCAGAGTGAGGCCATGGAGGCGGGAGCCCTGTGGGAGTCACTGCCCTCGGGCTGGAAACCTGGTGCCCACCCAGACACAGGCACACACAGCCGGCCGCACTTGGGCCTCACCCAGTCGTGGAACTTCATGAAGAAGGTGCCAAGCGGGCTGACTGTCATGAGACCTTCAGACTTCCCTGAGCAACATCCCCCGCCCCTCCCCGATGCTTCTTGAGATAACTCTCTCGGGATGAGCTCAGGCTCTTGCTCCTGCCTCTGTGTCTGCCTCCAAGGCTGCAGGAGGGCTGGGGAAGCCAGACTCAGTCCCCTAGACCTGGGAGCTGGGCTCCTTGCCCATCCAGCAGCCATTCCCCACTGCAGCCCAGCTGCACCCGTGAGGCTATTCACATCACCCTCTCCCGAAACAACCTTTCGTAGCTCCCTGGTGCCATCCATCGGTCAGACTGGCCTGGCAGCCTCTCCGTGCCTGCTCTAGCCCTAGCCGACATCCCCAGCCTCTCCAGCCCTCACTGTGCCTGCCTGGGCCACAGGCGCTCTCTCTCTGGGCTTTCCCAGGCTGTCTTCTCTGCTGGGCAAATTCACAGACTGAGCTTGGCCACCCTGCCATGGCTTCTGGACACTGCCGGCTCCCTGGTCCCCAGAACACTTTGCTCACCAAGCACTCAGAGCCTGGCACACAGTAGGTGCATAATAAATGCTAGTGCAGGCAGTGCATGGGAAAAAGGAAGGAGCTTGTCAGATCTCCTGGAAAAGCCTGGTAAGCCTGAGGGTGGGAGCCAGTTGATGGGGATGGGAGGGCAGCAGGTGGGCCCAGTTCATCTCCTTCTGCTCCTGGAGAAACTGAGGCACAGGGTAGCACATGTGCCACCTCTCCAAGGGATTTGGCAGCCAAAAGGAACAGCCCCATGCTCCCATCCATCCCAGGCGGGCTAGCCTGAGCCAGTTTCCCTGGGCTGAAAGGCCGGCCCCACAGACGTCCAGGGCAGTGTGACCCTGTGATGGAGCTACCCATCGCCCCAGGCCCCCACAGCCCACCTCGGGCACCCCCAGGAGAGTAAACCTGGCCTTTGGAAGCAACCACCCTCCACAGCCACCCAGGGCCCCTGTGCACCAAGCAAGCACACGGTCATCTGAGGACCCTTCTCCAGGCCCCACGCCCACCTTGGGGACTTGCAGACCTGCGGCTGCCCTGAATGTGGGTGCTCTTGGCATTCACCTCCCCCCACACCCAGGCTCCTTGGAAACAAGAGCCACTGTCCCCTACCTGCCCAGGGCCCACAGCTTGGTGTCCTGCCACACACCTTGTATGGCCTGGGCTCCGCCGGCACCCCAGGGACCAGGACCCAGGAGAAGGGGCTCCGGGGCTTTCTCCCTGACATCCCTGCCCAGCCCGCTGGCCCTGGCTGGAGCCACGGTGAACTAACACCCCTGCCCGTCTGTCAGCTGCAGGTCGGGGGATGCCTAGCCCAGCTCTGTTCCTCCAGCCCCCCTTGCTGGTGGCCTGCTGGCCCCCACAGACCCGCGGAAGAGTGAGGCAAGCAGGTGTCCGGACATGGACACAGGAGCCACTTACCAAGGAAGCTACAGACGCTCTCCCAACTGGCCCAGAAGCGAAGATCCCAACTGGCCACCTCCCCCTGCCACGCCCGGTTCTTCCCTCCACAGCTCCTCCCCCCATTGTCCCGCCTCTGCCTGCTCCTAGGGCTGGCTCTGGACCCTGCCAGGACCCCCACATCCCACCAGAGGGAGTGGGCGGGTCCCCTGATGGGCCAGGAGCCTGGCCAGCCCCCAACACTCACTCAGCTTCTTGGAGCTGGGGACCCCACCCTGAGTGCCCACCCCCAGCCTGAGCAGCTGACTGCAGAGGAACAGACCGCTCTGAGTCACACAGCCAGCCCAGTCTGGTGAGTGCCTTAGTGTGCGCCAGGTCCTGCTGTGTGGACAGACACAGGCCTGAGGCAGGTCCCTCCTAGGCAGGCTCTGCACAAACCCTGTGTCTCAGTTTCCCTATGGGGGCCAGGACAGAGGCTGGCCCAGAAGGGAGGAGAGGCATAGCCTAAGGGCCTGCCCCCATGGTCACTGGGCCAGTGACCTTGGGGCCTGGTCATCTGCCACCTGCCTGAGCCCCCAGGGCAGCCGACCCTGGCCTCCCTTCAGCCCGCTCAGCCCAAACTCACAGCGGCCACCACACCTCGAAGCACCAGGGTATCTGGTAAGCAGGGTGCGGTGGGGCTCAGGAAGCAGCATTTTTTGAAACAGGGTCTCTCTCTCACCCAGGTTGGAGTGCAGTGGTGCGATCATGGCTCACTGCAGCCTCAAACTCCTGGACTCAAACCATCCTCCCGTGTCAGCCTCTCAAGTGGCTGGGGCTCCAGGTGACGCCACCACACCTGGCTAATTTTAAAAATTTTTTGTAGAGATAGGATCCTACCATATTGTCCAGGCTGATCTCATACGCATGGGCTCAGGTGATCCTCCCGCCTTGGCCTCCCAAGTGGCTGGGGCTGCAGGCACACACCAGCACGCCTGGCTAATTTTTAAATTTTTTGTAGAGACAAGGTCTCCCTGTGTTGCCCTGGCTAGTCTCAAACTCCTAGGCTCAAGTGATCCTTCTGCCTCAGCCTCCCAAACTGCTGGGATTACAGGTGTGAGCCTCCGCACTGGCCTAGCTTTTTTTTTTAACAAGCCTCCCATCCTTCCCCGTCATTTCAATACAAGTGGTGGCTGAGAAACACCTGAGTCCCATGACCCCAAGTCCCCCACTATCCAGAGCTCCAGCTGCCTGGCCCACCTCCTGGTCACCTCACCCTGCTGCACCCTGGGCCCTTAGCCCCCACTCCTCTTTGCTCTGGGCAGCCAGGAGGCTCCAGCAGGACTCAACCAGCTGTGCTACGTGTAGCCCCCCTGGGATCCCAGTGTGCCAGCCCTGTGCCCATAGCCTGGGTGTGGACGTGCCTCCAACAGGCAGTCTGGAGCAGGCCCACACAGCCGAGGCCCAGCCCAGGCCTTAGGGGCAGCGAGGGGTCAGACCCAGCCTGGGAGGTCAGCGATGGAACGGCTTGCACCTGCACCAGGCCCCAACGGCATGGGAAGAGGTGGGAAGGTGCAGCTGAGAGGGCTGCCCCCGCCACGGGATGCCAGGGTGGCCTGAGGTGGGCACACAGAGAAGGGGTCCTCAAGTAGGCCAGAGGACTTCAAGGGCAGGGAAGGCTCTGTCCCAGCCCCAGGGCAGGGGCACTTGCCGGCAAATGGGGTGGGAGAGGCCTCAGGGGCTCCTCAGGCCTGAAAGGTGGGGACCTGATTCCAGGCCCCTTCTGGGCCTCCCCCCATTGCAATACCCTAAAAAGGCTGACACAAAAACCTAACGGTCACAAAGATAGAAAACGACTCTATTTACACGGAGGCAGGAAAGCTGGCCACGTCTGCTCCAGGGACACTCCCAGACAGCTCTCACCTGGGAACGCTGTTTACTGTTTACCACCTGACACCCACACTCAGCCAGGCAGGGCAGGGCTGGCTGAGTCAGCGCCGTACCCAGAGGCCCAGCCTGCTGGAGTGGGACAGGAAGGAGACGCTGGCACAGAGCGGGGCCGTCATGCCAGACACAGCACTGACCCCCGCAAGAGCCTTTGCTGGGGCCCCCACCCCAGCTACGCCCACCTCACAGCAGCCAGAGGGAGGTGCCCTGCACAGCTGGCCACAGCGCTGGCCACGCAAGCCCTTCCCAGACCCTCGCTGCAGTGCGGCCAGTGTGGTCCGCCAAGCCCTGGAACACATGACGGAGATCTCCTCCTGGTGCACCCTCCCCAACGCGGACAGCCATGGGAACGCACCACACCCTGCCCCAGGCCCTCTCCAGACTCTAAGCACGTGCCACTGGCTCTGCCTGGGGCACCCTCCCAGCTCAGATCCTGGACTTGCTCCCCCGCCAGGCACTCAGAACCGAGCCCTCGGCTCCAGAGCCCCTGGCGGTGGGTGCCCACAGCACGGTGCAGACACACAGCAAGGGATGGGGTCAGGCTGGAGGCCCTGGGCTCTGGCTCAGGGGGCCACTTACTGGGAAGGGTAAGAGCTGGAGAGCCATGCTTCACACCTGCCCCTGTTGCTACCCAGTCCCAAGAGAGGCACACTTGACCACCAGCAGGCGGGTGCTGGGCAGGGCCTTGCTCACCTGCCTCAGTTCCCGGGGGCCCCACCTACCGGACCCCTGGCACCACGTGGTGGGACTCAGTGGTCAGGCAGGTGTCTGATCAGCTGGAGGGACGGCAAGCAGGGGCTCTGCTAAGCCACCACATCACAGACCCTGAGACCTAGGCCATCCGGCATGTCCCGTGATGCGCACTGAACAGCTAGTCCTGGCTCAGAGCTGCTAGGACCCAGGACCAGCTAGGAGTCGCCATGGGAACTCGGCTGCTGGCGGGGGCCAGGGAGGGCTGAGGGCAGCGGATGGTGAATCAGCCGGGAGGAGGCCAAGGCGTGAAGCTCGGCATTCTCAGGGCGTGTGTCACCAAGGAGCCCGCGGTGCTGGCTCACCCAGGAGCCAGGCCTGCCAAGCAGCAGGAGCAGGGCGAGGACCGAAGGCTGTGGCCCTAAACAAAGGGGCCTTAATTCCACCTGGTGGGGGTGAGTCATGGGGCCTCCTGCCCACCCAGGCGCCATCACCTGACAGCCCCTCCAGCCGGCAGGGCTCACACGGACATAGCCCAGTAAGGGTCCCCCAAGTGTCCTGCCCCTGCCACATCCCGGGTACCCCCAGCTGCCCCTGCTTGGCTATACCCTCAGCAGCGTCCAGGCAGGGGTGTGGCTTGAGATCCCTTTCCGGACTCCTGCCTGGAACAGCCTGGGCAATTGCCTAGCCTCCCACCACCGCCACCCCTGCAGGAAGGAGTCCCTCCCAAGAGCTCTGCAGAGAGGAGGCCCCGATGCCACTCCCACCCTCACAAGCACACATTGGGTCAGCAGGTCCGAGTGCGCAGCAGAGCTGGCAGGGCAGGGACCCGCAGCCGGAGGGGAGGGGAGGGCGGTGGCTGCAAAAACCTCTGCCTGGCCTCTGTGGGGTGCGGGGATGGGGGAGTACCGCCTCCCGCCCCAGCCCCTCCCCATCCCCTGCCTCCTGGGCTCAGCTCCATGTTTCCATTTTAGAAAGTGCTTCTGACTATTAAATATTTATCCGAGCAAGGAAGGCCTTGACTCCCGGCCAGCCGATGACTTCCAAAAAAAGAAAAATAAAGGGAAATCTGGAGGCCCAGGCTGAGTGCAGGTGGGGCCTGGTGGAGACACCCTCAAGCTCGCAGCGTGGCTGGGGATCCCGTCACCCTTAGAGCGGGTGGAGGGGAGCAGAGGAGCATGCCCCGTCCTCCTTGTGTGTCCAGTTAAGCCTCCGCTAAGCTCCCTTAGCTAACCTGGCCTCCACATCCCCCACGGAGCAGCTTCCTTCCCACCAAAACTGCCCTAAGACCTATGGGGCTCCCCGGTGCCCTCAGGACAAAGCCCTCCCTCCAGCAGCTGACGCTGCCACCTCTCCATCCTCACCCCACCCCGTCCCAGATGCACTGGGTTGAACAACTTGCAGGTCCCTGACTTCGCCCTCAGCCTCTGCAGGCTCCTGCTGCTTTGCCTCCGCTTCTTTTTCATGACCAGTCCCGGTCTCCATTGGGCCAGTTGTCCTCCAGGGAGCCCTCTCTGGCCCTTCTGTGCCCCCTAAGGCTGCACTGGCCACAAAAATGGGATTCACATTTGTTGACTGAACAATGGGTGGATCCTTCCTCTGCTGAGCTATGACCTCCCAGGTCCCAGGGTTCCCGGGGTGGCTTTGAGACCCAGAAGGATGGGTGAACAGGCCGCCAGACAGACGGGGAAGCACCCCCACAACTCACACCATCCCTGAGCGCAGGGTCCGTCTCTGCCAGCCGGAAGACCAAGCTGGGAGAGTGTGGCATTTTACTCCTGAAGTGGGTGGCAGGGACCCCCAGATGGCCAGTGCCCCCCACTTGCTGGGGCTTGGGGGCCTTTCCTCCCCAGCACCTATACTTCTCCACACCTGGCCAAGCCAGCCCCTAGCTGAGCCTGAAACACAGAGGCCTTCCGCATAGGTGTCACAAGAGGAAGGACACAGAGCGGGCCAGAGTCTAAGGGAGAGCTGGGAGTGGGCCCAGCAACCCAGGGGACTTCCCAGAAGAGGCAGCTCCTAGCCCAGCCCAGGACAGAAGAGCTTGGCCAAATGGAGAGAAGGCAATGAGGGCATTCCTGTTGTAGGCCCAGCCACGACGAGCCCGGATGGGAGTGGGCACTCAGCTTCCTGGGCATGGAGAAGGCCGGGAGGGAGCGGGCTCCTGGGGCATTGGAACTGGAGGCTCTGCGGGCTTGACCCTCCTGTCCACTTCTGAGCCTCACCCCCTTCCCTGAGCTGCACCAGGTGGGCACTGCCTGAGGCTTGGGGCAGGAGCCAGAGGCCAGCAGGCAGCCCAGCCTCCCTCCCTGGTGGTCCAGCTTCTGTTTCCCCACCAGGGAAAGAGCTGGGGTTGTTAGGAACACACTTACAGCATCACTGTCGGTGGCTTCTGAGAGGCCACCTCACTGGAGGGCACTCCAGGATGCCCTCTGCTGCCTCCTCCTCAAGGCCCATTCCTGCCACTAGCGGCTACAGAGGGGCTCCTTTGCCTGCGGTCACCCTGCCTGGTGGGGCAGGGCAGAGCCAGCACCTGTCAGAACAGCATGTCACCGACCAAAGCGTGCGACATTCTGCTCTGGCCCCTAAGAGCCCAGGGAGTCACTGCGTCACTGTCCCCAGCCTCAGTGTCCTTGTCTGCAGAATGGGAATACAGCCCTCCCCCAGTGTAGATGACCCAGTCAGGGAGACACCAGGGTGGTGACAGACCCGCCCGCGCTGTCACTCGGCATCCCTGGCTGCGTGGAGCTAGCAGCACAGGCAGCTGCAATCACTCCTGACCCCGAATGTGAGGTCCTGACCCACATTTGCAGCCTGAGGCCCTGAAGAGGGCACCAGCGAGGCACAGAACAGCGAGACCACCTCCACAGCTGCCTTGCTTTGCACCCTTCTTGGGAAAGGGCCCAGCCATCTCATGACCCCCACCGCAGAGAAGAGACCACCCACACATCTTCGCATGGTATCACCACCTGGGGCCTTCCCAACACGGTGGTGCTTTCTTGGGGGGTCGTGGGAGGTGCTCAGGCCACACCGGGGCAGCAGGTGCAGGGTGGGGGCCGGGGCCGGGGAGGGGTTCCCTGTCTCCCCAGTTATCAGGGGCCCAGCTCTGCCCCTGGGAAAGAGGCAACCTGCCCCTGGAGTAGGCAAGAGTGTGACACCCAGAGCCCACTGGGAGTGAACTGGCTGGTGTTACAGTCGGCAGCGCTGCGTGGGGTGGTCCCAGCATGGCCACCAGGGGGCAGCCTCGGCACAAAAGCCGCCCAGGAGATGGCTCCCTGCTGGGCTGGTGCCTGGTGTGTCGGGCAGAGGGCAGGTTTGGACTGGACAGGAAGACGAGAGCAGGGGAGAGTCCGCCCATCTCCAGCCTGCTGAGAGGAAACTGCAGGTGGAAAAGGCCTGGACCAAATCCAGGCTGGGAAAGGCAGTAGTTGGCAGGGTGCTTGTCAGGAATGCACGTTCCTGGGCCGCAGGGTTGGGGAGGGTCTGGGAACCGGTGTGCTGGACAGAACTCCCAAGGTCTCTGATCTTGCAAGTCTCCTACCAAAGCTCCAGCGAGAGCCACTGACCTTATTCCCTAAGAGCGGATGGTTCCGTAGGCTGGACACAGGGAGGGACTGCCCCAGACGGGCTGGGAACCATGAAGCCAGCACAAGCCTCTGTGGAGGCAGGGGGTGGATGAGATGGTCCTGGACCCTGCAGCTTGGGAGTCTCTGGGTGCCCGTGAGTGAGGAGGAAGCAGAGCAGAAAGGCTGTGCAGGGAAGCTGGGGGCAGGGTAGTGGTCCCATGCCTGGGGGCCCTGCCCTTCTCCCTCTGAGGAGGTCGACCTGCAGCCATGTGGGCAGGGCCAGTCATAGTGAAAGAGGAGGGGGCCAGGGGCCTCCAGCCCACCGGAGCCATCATCCTCCCGCTGCTGTGCCCAAACACCTTGGGCTCCCATCTGCGACACCGTGAAGCAGGTGCTGTAGGGGCCTCCCTGCTCTGGAGCCCCCCAGACAAGCCTCCCACCCTAAGTGCGCACCAGACAGACAGGCCACAGGAGGGGCCTTGGTAGTGCCTGCTGCAGCTGGGGGGCATGCCCAGGCCAGGGGCACCCCTCTCACCTGCAGCATTGTCGGCACCATTAGCATTGACCTGTTTTCCCCAAGGAGTGGGGTCCAGCCTGCACCAGTGCCGGCCAGCCCAACCCCCTGGCCAGTGGCTGCCAATGCCCTGGGTGTGGTCAGCTGCAGCAGCATAGACCCAGCGCCCAAGGGACTGCCCTGCCCCCCTCAGCCCTGCCCTCCAAGATGCTGAGACACCCAGGCCCCGGAACCAGGCCCAGTGCAGGGACAGACACACAAAGAGCAGCAGGTACACATGCCGTAGCCTGCGGCTCAGAGGGAGGCTACTGACCATCCCTGGGGGCATGCCAGTAGGTAGCACCCACTTTCCCTTGCCCAGCACTGCGGGACCCTGTGGCCTGACTTTGACCCCATTCAGGCCCCTCACCAGGCCCCAGACCTCAGGCCTAGCCCTGCCACAGCCTCCACCTAGCCAGCGACCCCACCACACAGCCACACAGTAGACGCAGCCCAGCCCTGCCTGGAAGCCCCGGACCAAAGTGGAGAGCCCAGACTCCTGGACCAGCCTGGCTGCTCTCCCGCAAAGCAGGTGAGAGGGCAAGCCTGGTGCAGGTGCCCCGGGTCCCGGCGGCCCCGGCTTTCACGCCCCTTGCAGACACCAGCCCTGCTCCAGAGTGCGGTAGCACCTCCCAGGAGGCCGCCTCTCGACCAGACAGCGTCCCAGGAGCGGGGCAGGAGCGAGAAGGAGAGACAGACAGGGACCGCGAGTGACAGAGGGAGTGAGCGACAGAGACGAGTCAGCCACCGAGAAACAAAGTGAGCGACAGAGACAGTCTCAGAGGCCGGGAGAGGAGCAGGAACCTACAGCCACGGACAGGTAGAACGCGAGGCATGGGAGAAGAGACTCCAGCGGCCGGGAAGGCCCAGAACCACGCGCGAGTCCCGCAGGCGTCTCCGAGTCCCCCGCCCCCAAGGCCCGCACTGCGCGCCCCTGGACACGCCCCGGCGCGCGCCCTCGCGCGTAGCCCACCCGCCCCAGGGGAGCGGGCTGCAGGCGGGGAGGGGCGCACCGCTGCCGGGGGTTCCGGGCCAGGTGGGCAGCACCATGTGGAAGCAGTCGCACATCGCGGCGGCCAGGCGGTGCGGGCCTGGCGGCCCGTCGCGTCCAGTCGCTGGTCCCGGCTCCGGCGCACGGGGCGGGCGGGCGGGAGCCGCGCTCTGCCCCGCTGCCCTGCGCTGCCGCGGGCGGCCGACCTCGGACTGCGGACACCGCGCGCCAGGCTACCCAGCCGCTCAGCTAGGACCCCGCCCGGCTCCGCCCAGCCCTGCCGGGCCACTGCGGAGCGCGCTCGCGGGCGGTGCCGTCGGCCTCATTCAGCCCATTGGCTGCCGTCGCCGCGGCCCCGCCCCTCCCAGCCAGGCCCCGCCCCACCCCGCGCCCCCGGCCCGCCTGTCGCGTCCGCAGAATTAACTTTGGACTCCCGCCAGGGAGCGACCTCTGGATCCCCGCACCGAGGCTCCTGGACTTGCCGCTGTCTTCACCTCCCATTCCGGGGGAGACAGACACTTTAGTCAGAAGCTGGGGTGGGGGGCAGCCTGCGGGGACAACAGGGGTCGCGGGCACCGCAGGAGGTGATCTGGCAGCATAAGGACAAGATAGAATTCTGCAGGGGCTGGTGGGTGGCAGATACGAGGACGCGGCTGAGAGCGTGCAGCGGGAACAGGGCGCCCCGGGCAGGGCTGCGGGGTGGGCGCCGCGTGCGGGAGCGCCCAGCGCTGGGGGCAGTCCTGGAGCCAGAACCCCGCCCAGAGTCATCCTTTCTGCTGATTCTTGTCAAGAGCCTAGGGCCTAGGACACAGCGGCAACCAGCACCCCACTGGCCCTGCCCCAGGGGCTCCAGGTCTGGCGTAGACACAAGCAAGCCTGTAAGGATGAGGCGTTCTGCAGGGCGGCACTGCCCTGGGGGCGGGGGAACGGAGGTCCTGGAGGGCTCCTGGCAGTGTAAGCTGGGACCTTAGGGGTGAGACATGTGCCAGGCAGTGTAGGAAGCGTTCTGGAGAGAGGGGACAGAGTAGCGTGTGTGCAGAGAATGGGGGCAAAAGGGCTGGGGTTGAAAGTCAGGCCCAGTGGGCGGGGGCAGGGCAGCAAGGAGGCTGAGGGGGCTCCTGTCGGTAGGAGGTGCCACTTAAGGCTCCAAGCAGGGTCTCTGAGCGTGGTGAGAGCTGAGGAAAGACTGCGCAGGTGGCTAGGGGTGTTGGCATGGGGCACAGCTGGAAACAGGAGCAGTGGAACCACGGCCATGGTATGGGAGGGAGTGAAAGGATATGCAGGCAGAGGGGACTTGGTGAGGATCAGAGTGCAGAGGGTGGGAGCCTCCCTGGGATCTAGCTTGGGCACCACACAGAGGCAGCACACCTGGGGGTGTGGACAGGGAGGGCAGGGGCCCAAGGGAGTTCTAAGAGTTTGGTGACGCCTGGCCTGGTGTAGACCCAAACCGGGCATACCCCAGAAGGAGTGGAGTTCTGCAGGGATTGTCGGGGAAGGCAGGGCTGGAAGAGACCCAGGAGAGGACCGCCACCTCCATGAGGAGCTGCCTGGCAATGTCCAGGGGTGTGGGTCAGATGCAGGGACACACACACACACGGACACACATACGGATACACACACACATACATACATACAGAGATAAAGACACAGAGACACACAGACACACACGGACAGAGACACAGACACACAGATACACAGGTACACATACAGACACACACACAGAGGCACACACAGACACACACAGAGACACACAGACACACATGGACAGAGACACAGACACAGAGATACACAGGTACACATAGAGGCACACTCACACACACACAGACACACACACAGAGACACACAGACACATACACATAGAGACACAAACACACATGCTCTGTCATACACACACACACACACACACACACACGGACACCTTTTCCTGGGGTGGGAAGAGGCCAGGCTGTACCGGAAGGGCCAGGCAGACACACACACTCATAGATAAGATCACAAACTCACCAAGACACAGACACAGGCCACCTGAGATATTTGATACACTCAGGCCTGCATGCATGAACACCCACACCAGGATACAGACCCATGCACGTGTATACATACACACAGGGGCACACGCATTCCTGGGCTCATTTGGAGACCACGCACAGCTAGCGGGCCCAGGTGAGCCACCCGGGCACGATGACTCACCCTAGACAGTTCCCGTTAGCCGCGCTGCAGCCACCGGGCAGCCATCCAGCAGCAGGTCAGATGGACGCCAGAGCCACTGCTGGGAAGAGGCCCTGGCAGCCTCCTGCCAGTGAGCCCAGGCATGATGGGCACAACCTTCTCCCTCGTGTGGGGACCTGGCGCAGGTCTTACCCCACCCCCTCGCAGTGTCCTTTTTTCGGGGCTGAGCAGTGTTGCCTGGGGTCCAGAGGCCCTGCACTTACCTCCCTCCCCAGGAGCCCACCCTGCTCTGGTCACCTGGAGTCAGTCACTCCCTGGACACAGGGAGAGAGCCACTAGGGTGCCTGGGTGCATACACCTCTGTGTGTGTCCCTGGATGTGTCTATGCCTCTGCCTGGTCTGCTGGGGTTTCGCCCGCTAGTCCTCTGTGTCTGAGTCTGGCTGCAGGGCCTGGGAACGAGGGGCCGCTCAGGGCACTCACCCACCTTTGTGTCCTCAGCCCCTTTAGGTGTGTGCCCTTGACAAAGTCATGTGGCCTCCTGGGTCCCCATCCAAATGAAGTGGCCCCTCTCCTGATTGTCTGGCGTGATCTGCGCAGGGCTACGGGGACTCCCCTTGGCTTTGCGGGATGGGTGAGGATGGAGCCCTGGGTGGGGAAGCCGAGGTTGCCCCCGACATGTCCCTGTCCCTGGGCTACTACCTGCTGCCCCTGCCTCTGTTTTCCTTCAGCAAGATGAGAGAACCCTCCAGGCCATCTTGGTGGGGGCCGAGTGAGAGCGCAAGTTCAGCGTGGCGTCACGGGAGTGTGGGGACCCCACACTTGGGAGGACTTTGCCCTGGTCCTGCCCCTCAGCCTGGGGTGGCTGAGATCTTCCCCTAGCTGTGTCCACTGGGCCTGTCCTCCCCTGGCTAAGAAATGGTCCCAGAACCAACCACAGCTGCCCAGGTCCAGGAACTTTGCCTCTGCCCTGCACGGGGCTGCCCACTTCCAAGGTGGGCACAGACACACACACGCAGCTGCGCCATGCTCCCCTGTGGCCCCAGAATTCAGGATGGGGTCTGGGCAGGGCCTGCTCCACCCGGAGGCCGTCCCTCCCTTCTCCTGCCCACTCTGAGACAGAGGGCTGGTGTCTCTCTGCAGTGGCCTCTGGCTCTGCGCTGCCCTGAGTGCTGGGGCCACAGTCTGGTTGTGACTGTCGGGGAGCTGGGGACTGCCCCTCCCACCCTCCTTCTGGGGGTCTTCTCCTAGCTTGAGGGTTAAGCTGACAGTGTCATGAGTAAGACACCTTGGGGTGTCTGTCCAGAGAGCTTCCCCACCTCAAGGAACCTGGGGTCCTGAGAGCTCTATCTCACTCCAGATGCCTCTGGGAGGGCCTGCAACTTGGGCAGTGTACCCCCACAAACAGGCAGGCTGCGGCTATGTGCAGTTGAGGACTGGCTCCCCAGGGGCCAGCCAGAATCCCTCCTCCCGCCCACCAGGGCCTCAGCAGCTGAAACAGGGGTCCAGGGTCACAGCTGTGGGAGCAGGGGAGAAGATGAGAGGGGCTGCCAGCCCCCATCCCGGGCCCTGCCCGCCAGCTGAAGCCTGCGCTCCTGTCGTCACGCCCAGCTCCAGTTTCCTCCCCATGTGCCCCTCTGAGGACAGATGCCCAGCTAGGGAGGACCACAGAAGCATGCCTGGGCTCAGGAATTCATGCCCCCACCCACAGCATCGCTGGACACAAGCCCAACTCACAGCCGCCCCTGGCACATACAAGGCCCCACACCTGCTGTAGGTGTCACCCCAGGGAGAGGGCATCGCATGCTCTCTCCTGTGCACACAGCCTCCACCTCTTCCCTGGACCACTGAGATGGGGACACTGGCCCAGCCCACTGGTTGCCCACAGCCTTCCTGAGGCTGGGTGCCGGGGCCTGGGTGAGGAGCCGAGGCTCCCCAGGCCCTGATCATCAGCAGAGCCGCTGCCCTGCCCCCATGGCCTGACTGGCGCTGCTTGCCTCCACCCTCTGCAGGCAGGGATGCCCACAGCATCAATGATTGATTCTTGCTGCGGCAGCTGCAGCAACATAAGCAAAAATAGCTCTGCTGTGGTCCCTGCCCCGCCCCAGCCACAGCCTTGCATCCAGCCCAGCCTCGTGCCCAGATGGAGGGGTGTGAGGTGAGGTGGGAGCATCTAGGACTGTCTCAGCCACTGCCTGCCCCTCCTCAGTCTTTTATACGGAGATGATGGGGGAGGACCCCCTGACCAGGTGGGGGACACTTGTCCACCCAGCCTCCCACTCTTGCCTGACCACACTGACTCCTGACCTCTAACCGCCTCACTCTCCCCCAAAGCTGGGTGCCCGTTTCAGGCCTGGGTATTGTCCCCAGGTCCACTTCCTCTGCACCCACACAGCTGGGATCAGGAAATGTGGCAGTGGTGGGGCATGTCAGGGTGCTGCCATCGTTCCACTCGGATGGGTTTCTTCAACCCATGTCTTCATCGGGCTCTCTGGCTCAGCAGTCCGTGTGGGCTAGCCTGGGATCCGAGCAGCAGCAGGTTCCCATGCTGCCGCCTGCAAGCCCTGGCACTCCTGCTGCCAGAGGTGAGGACAGGCACACGCCCCAACTTGCCCTAGGGACTTGGGGCTGAGGATCCCAGAGGACCAGGATGCCTGGGTGCTTCTGGGGACCCCTCCCCAGCCAGTCCTTGCTCATCAGGTGATGCTGGGAGATCCCAAGATGACTGTGGGGCTCTGTGCATAGGTGGCACTTGCCCCAGAACCCAGGCTGGCCCCTTCCTCCTGAGACTAGGGTAGGGAAGCTTGGCTCCTCTGCAGAAGGGAAGGTGCTCCCCACACAGCCATTGAGCAGGGCTGGGGCTCAGGGTGGACCGAGGTGGCTGGAGAGGTCCTGGGAGGGCCACATGGGCTCCTCGTCCCGACCACACTCCACCTGCCCCCTCCATGCCCCTCGGGAGTCATGGCTAATGTCCCCCACACCCAGGCTTTAATGGGAACCCACCCTCTCCGGCCCAGTCTCCCCTAGCAGCTGGGCCAGTTCAATTTGAGCAGTGCCTGCTCCAATCGCCAACCTGGAAGCCTTATCCTCAGCTCGTGCCTTTCAGGCTGTGCCATGAAGCAGGATGGTCTGCCCAGAAGCTGGCCCAAGAAGCCAGCAGCGGCCTAGCAGCCACCTGGGCTGCCCCCACCTCCTCCTGCAACCAGGGTTGGGCACCTGATGTCAAGGTTGCCGCTGCCATTTCCTCTGCACCTTGGCTTCCCCGACGCAGCACTTCTCAGTGGGTCACAAGGGGTCACTCAGGCATATTAGTTCCCTGCTGCTGCCATAACAAAATACCCCCGACACAGTGGTTGAAAACAGCATGTGCGCATTTATCAACTCCAGTTCTAGGTGTGGGCAGGATGGTGTGCCTTCTGGAGGCTTCAGGGGAGATCTGTTTTCTGGTCCCTTCAGCCTCCAGAGGCATCTGCAGTCTCGTATCACTCCGGCTCTGCTTCCATCTTTGCGTCTCCTCTCTGACTCTGACCTTCCTGCTTCCTTCTCAGGACCTTTGTGATTACATGCCTCATCCAGGCTCCACTCCTCCTCTCAAGAGCCTTAATTTAAGCCCATCTATAAAGTGTCTTTGACCCTGTAAGGTCACATAGCCACAGGTTCCAGGGGTTAGGATGTGGACATCTCTGTGGGGCTGTTCAACTGCCACACCAGCTCTTCAACCCATATGGGTCATTTCTATCCTCCAACCACCCTGGGAGTACTGTGCTCCCCACGCTCTTCACGTGGAAGCTGAGGCCCAGACGGGGGTGGGGAATTGCAGAGAACGAGGAGAGCAGCTCCTGTCCCAGCTCTGCTTCTCACGCAGGCCTTTGGGGTGGGGCCTCAGTTTCCCCACCTGTACACAAGGACAACACTCCTCCTGCCCCCCTCCCAGCTCCCTGGGCCTCAAGGACGGCAAGGACGTGCAGTGGATGAGGGGCAGCAGTGGGAACGGACACTGCCCTTAAGCTGGCAAGACAGGCCCAGGCCTGGTCTACAAACCCAGCCAGCTCCTGATCACCATCCTTAGGGTCACTGCGGTGCTGGGGTGGCCAAGCCAAGATCCAGTCCTGGGCAGTCTGACCGAAGAGCTTCCATACTGCATGGCCCGGCTGCTCTGCCCCTCAGGAAGGAGCGGGGACAGGAGGCTGGGTCTAAGGTGCAGAGAATGATCTCATCTTGTCATTTGTAAAATTAAATTGTTCTGTAGCTTGGCTGAGAAGGACCAGGGAGGGAAGGGGTGATTCAAGCAAGGACAGAGTCCAGGCAGGGCCCCAGGCCCCAGGGTGGGAGAAATGCGAGCCTGAGGTAGATAGGGGGTGGACAGTAGGTGGCATGGTTCAGGGCTTCACCAGGGCCAGGCCCTCCCCTTACCCAGAGGAGGCAGTGATGGGGGCCAGTCTGGGAAGGCCAGGGAGGAGATGGAGTCAAGGTTGACTCCTTGAGTCTGGGGGTGAGGGCAGATGGCAGAAGGCCTGGAAGCCCGGAGGGGAGCTGCCAGAGGCCAGCCTAGCTCCTTGGTCGTCCAGTGGCTGGAGAGGGGCTGTCCGTCAGCCCTGCTCTGCCCGGGTCTGGCTGGTGACAAAGGAGGGGAGCACTCCATGCGGCCTGCGAGGGAGGGGTGGAGCCTCCCCGCAGCTCCTTCCCCCAGGAATGGGGACGAGTTAGGGGCGGGCGAGGTTTTGGGATTCAGGAGTCAGCAAGACGGACTTGGCTCTCGCCAGGGACAGGTGGGGTCCTGAGGGGCCGTCGCTCAGCTGCACCCACAGAGGGGTCGGCGGCGCGGCAAGTTAGGCTGCGGGGCGCCGGGAGAAGGGGCTGCGGGTGACGGGTGCGCTGGGACGGACCTGGGGAGCTCGTCGTGAGGAAGAAAGAACCACTCTAGGGCCAGGCCCAGTGGCTCAAGCCTGTAATCCCAGCACTTTGGGAGGCCGAGGCGGGCGGATCACGAGGTCAGGAAATCGAGACCATCCTGGCTAACACGGTGAAACCCAGTCTCTATTAAAATACAAAAAAATCAGCCGGGCGTGGTGGCGGGCGCCTGTAGTCCCAGCTACTCGGGAGGCTGAGGCAGGAGAATGGCGTGAACCCGGGAGGCGGAGCTTGCAGTGAGTCGAGATCGCGCCACTGCTCTCCAGCCTGGGCGACAGAGCGAGACTCCGTCTCAAAAAAAAAAGAAAAAAAAAAAAAAGAAAGAACCACTCGGGCGGCGAACTGAGCACGGACAGAAAGCTCGAGCGGCCCGGCGCCCAGGGCTCGGCCAGTGTGGAAGCCCGATCCCACCCGCAGCGGAGGCGGCCCGGGGCAGGGAGGGCGGGTCCGGGGCGGGTCCTGAACGGCGGGGGCCGGCGCTGGCCTCGCCCCGGATGCGTGCTGACGCCACGGCGACGGACGCCGGAAGCGGAGCTGGCGCACGCCGTTGCCAGGCAACGGGGCGGCGCAGGCAGGAGGGAACGGCTGGTTGCAGGTTTCTCTCGCCCTGGTCCCGCGCGGCCCCGCCGAGGCGGCGACCAAGGTGGGTGCGGGGACTCTCGGGAGCCGTGGGCCAGGCGCTTAGCCGGCCACCTCGGGCCCTGTCCAGGCCCAGGCGTTCCAGGGCTGCTCTGCGGGCCGCGTGCGAGAGGGACTCTCGGGAGGCCCCGGGGCGCCGCACCCACTCCTTCCCACTTGGGACTCCCGCGGGCGCCCGGCTCTCGCTCCTCTGGCCAGCGTGGGCCTCCCAGGCCCCCTCGCGGCTCTCTCCAGAGCAGGAGCCCCACCTTGGGCCGCCCCTCTCACACCTGCCGTGGGTCTGGTACGCGCCTCTGTGTCGGACTCCGCGCCCGCCTGCGTGGGAGGAAGCCAGGACTCCCGGGCGACCGGGCCATTCCTGTGGTTTGTGTCAGTTCCACAGCAGCACGTGGGCACTTTCCACCGTCAGCCACTGGGCAGCCCGGGGCACTCCTGCAGCGTCCCCTGGCCCTCTCCAGGGCAGGGGAAGGTTGGGCAGTCCTGGGCGGCCAGCACCCCGGCGTGCATGTCTCCTGAGCAGCTGCCCATCGGGCCTCTGCTGGCCTGGGGGCTCCAAGATGCAAGGCCGGCGGGAGCTGGGGGGAGAGCCTTTGAGTGACCTCCAGGAGGAAGCAGCCAGCGCTTCCCTCCGAGTGGCACCTGAGAGGCTGAGTGATGACAGTTTGGAATGGAGACGGACCTGCCCCGACCTTCTCCTGTCCGATGGGAAAGCCAGCATCTCCATGCCCCGTGAGGGCGGTTCCACCTGCACTGCCCGATGTCCTGACCCTGGGGAACACAGCAGCACTTGGGGGGAGTTTGAAGGCTTTCGGGAATCTTCAGCCAAGTCTGGACAATTCTCACAGTCCCTTGAACTCCTCGAGGGACCCACAGAACCCCAGCCACCGAGAACCACTTCTGCCCCAAAAGAGTGCAGTTCTCACCAACCATGCCAGGGTGGACCTTGGGTGACAGGAACTTCTGCCGTCCCACCTTCTGAGGTATTTCTGCTGTGCTGTGGTCACCATGTTGAGTGGGACGTGTACACACCAAGAGGCCTACAGCCCTCGAATGCTGTGGCGTGCTGGCCAGGGAGGGGGCTGACAGCCCCAGAGCGTCTGCTTCTCTCCTGGCCTTCGTCCCTGGCCATGTGGTTGGCAGTCCCATCCTGAGGCCAGGGAAGCAATGAGTTGGCAGAGGAGGCTGCAGAAATGGGTCACACGAAGGCCAGGTGGGGGCCACCTGAGCTGGGTCGCTCTTTCTGACCATTCCTCCCCCAGCCTGTCCATTCCCCATTGGTGGGGGCTGCACTGGCCCCAGCTCAGGGCATTTGAGGAGGAGCTTTTTGTCTGAATTCTGAATCTGCTGAGTTCAAAAGTCTCAGAGATTCTAAAATCACATGATCACATTTCAACTTGCTTGTAATGAATTGGGTGACGCGGGATCCAACCTGTCCGGGAGCTTGTAATGAATTGGGTGATGCCCATTCCGACCTGTCCGGGAGCCAGGGTCCCAGCCTTCAGGCCCCTGCCCCCTGCTCTCTTTCAGAGCAGACTGTGGGTGTTTACCGTTTGGTGACACTTCCGCTCCTTCTCTTTTCCTGTCTTCTTCCTTCCATTGTTCCTCTTTCTCTGCCACTTCTTCCCAAATGGTTCATCCCAAGCACCATCATGAGAGATCAGAAATAAAACCAGTGAGGAAGGAAATAAAGATATTGTAGTTCTCAGGGCTGGCCTGTTTTCTCTTCCTTTTCTTTTTTTTTTTTTTTTTTTTTTTTTTTTTTTGAGACAGCCTCACTCTGTCGCTGAGGCTGGAGTGCAGTGGCACTGTGTCGGCTCACTGCAACCTCTGTCTCCTGGGTTCAAGCAGTTCTCCTGCCTTAGCCTCCTGAGTAGCTGGGATTACAGGCATCCACCACCACGCCCGGCTAACTTTTTATATATATATATATATATGTATGTTTAGTAGAGACTGGGTTTTACCATGTTTGCCAGGCTGGTCTTGAACTCCTGACCTCAGGTGATCCGCCCGCCTCGGCCTCTCAAAGTGCTGGGATTACAGGCGTGAGCCACCATGCCCGGCCGGACTGTTTTCTGAAGCAGTTTCCCTGGAATCCTGATGAGATCCACTCTTAATAGAGTAAGGTCTGCTGTAATGCTTGTTTTGAATACAGGATTTGTTTTCCAGCGTGATTGATGTATTAGGGAACAATTAGAGCATAGTTGAAATTTCACAAGAAAGAGTAGATAAATGCAGAAAACTGCCCCCAGCTGAGCTGGGGCCCGTTGGAATACATGAGACTCGCACACGTACACCCTCACACAGCGCTTAGTGCCCCAATGTAGCACACCTGTCAACACCTGGTGTTAGGACTTCACCCGGTTCAGACCACCCTCCTCCTACCCCTTCACACTAACTCAGCCTGCGAGCCTTTGTCTTTTCCAAGGTAAAGTGCTGTGCTTACTGTAGTATGTATAATTTCTTTTTTTTTTTTTTTGAGACGGAGTCTCTCTCTGTCACCCAGGCTGGAGTGCAGTGGCACAATCTCGGCTCACTGCAACTTCTGCCCCCCACCCGCCGGATTCAAGCGATTCTCCTGCCTCAGCCTCCTAAGTAGCTGGGATTATAGGCGTGTACCACCACACCCAGCTAATTTTTGTATTTTTAGTAGAGATGGGGGTTTCACCATGTTGGCCAGGCTGGTCTCGAACTCCTGACCTCGTGATCTGCCCACCTGGGGCTCCCAAAGTGCTGGGATTACAGGCGTGAGCCACCGCGCCCGGCCGCATGTATAATTTCTTAACCAAACTGGAAAACAGCACTGACATTATTGGGTGGTCATCTTTTTTCATGTGTCACTGATGAAGTTTGAATGTTTTGCCCTAACCCCACCTTTCCCATGAGTCCTCTGGTTTTGTGTGATTTTGCTAACTTGGTGATTTTTAGGAATGAATATGTCAAGTGATAGTAACACTAATGGTATGATCAATTACAAATTTCATTTCTATCACAATTATTTCTTTGGAATAAGGTAACGTTATGTATGTCTTTCTCCTAACTTTGGTATGCTTTTCTTCTTTTCTTTTCAGCCCATTCTCAGCTATGAGAACATTTTAAAGTGTGCTTTTCAAGAAATAACAGTCCAGCAGGCAGCTGAAGACGTTTCCACCATAGACCATTTCCTAGAAATAAGCAGTGAAGAAAAACCTGGCGTTGAACGTGTACATAAATTGTGGTAATGAACTGAAGAAATATTTCTTACAGCAACTGCTTTTGTACTTTTGTTTGATAAAAGTAGGTGTGTGAGGCTTTGTTTTTGCCTTTATGGAGAGTAGCATCTCTCCTGAGGTCCCTGCCATCTGTGGGTCATAGGGGTCCTATGAGAAGGGGCAGCACGATTGGCGCTCCAGCTGTGGCCTTCCACTCTGAGCCCTATTCATCCTCCTCCCCAGCCAGCTCACCTGGAGCAGCTGGACCCAAGCCCAGCTCCCCTTGGGTCTCAGTGCCAGTGCTGGTGGAGTGGGTGGGGGCCTCGCATTCAGTGCGAGTGGCTGGTGGGCCTGGGCAGTGGGCACAGGGGCCTTCTGGGGGACTTGGCTGAGTGGGCACCGGCTGCCTCATGGTTCTCAGCCACAGAGTTCTAGAAAACGTTCCACACTCTGGAGCCCCATTGTCAGCCCCAGGCCCAGCCCCAGGGGTGCTCCCGGTGCTGCCTGCAGGGCCACAGGCTCCTAGGGGAAAGTGCACCCGCAGTCACTCGCAGATGGCCATTTTCCAGGGACACACTTTCAACTGAGCATTGAAAGACAGACAGCGCTCGAGTGGATTAGGCCGCAGTGGTTGAGAAGCTCGAGGTAAGTTGGCCCAAGGCCCCAGAGGGAGGAGGGAAGTGAAGGTTGGGGTGAGCTAGCTTCCCTGTCCCTCGGTGTGGTCTGCGGAGTGGGTCTCCCAGCAGCCAGGGGAGAGCCAGGTCAGCCTGCTGATTTTTGTGTCTCTGAGCAGGCCTGGACTTTCAGAGAGCTCTGCAGACAGGCCATTCTGGGCTCCAGCCCTGGCCCACCGTGTCCTCTGCTGGGGTCCAACCAGCACCTGCCCCAGGGTACCCTCTACAGGGGCTTGAGGACAGAGGCCTGGAGCCCAGAAGGCCGCAACCAGCATTGCCCAGATGGCCCGTGTGCCCTCTGTGTGTGGTGCTTCTGCAAAGCATGATCCCTGGGGAAAAACTGTGGAGAATGTGGTCCCAGCAAGCTGACGGTGGGGGTGGGCTCTGTGCTGGCAGCATTGACATCTCTGTCCCCAGCAGCACAACTCGCGGACCCAGAGGCATGGGGAGTCCTGGGTGTCAGGACTTGGCGGGGCTGGACACTCGTGGGACAGAAGGCTGGATGGTACTTTGGGGGTGGAGTAGAGCATGGTTTGTGTGTTCTGAAACACTGGGGTATTTTTGGAAATGGTTTGGTGTTTAGCACATTTGCTCTTCTTCTGTACTCATCTGGAGTGCAGTGGCACCATCTCAGCTCACTACAGCCTCCGTCTCCTAGGCTTAAGCGATCTTCCTGCCTCAGCCTCCTGAGTACTGGGACTACAGGCACCCGCCACTACACCCAGCTAATTTTTGTATTTTTTGTAGAGACAGGGTTTTGCTATGTTGCTCAGGCTGGTCTCAAACTCCTGAGCTCAAGTGATTTGCCCTCCTCAGTCTCCCAAAGTGCTGGGTTTACAGGTGTGAGCTGCCGCACCTGCCCTTGCACTCATTTTCCCTTCCATACTAGAACGTGAACTTCCTGCAGGCAGACCTTCTCAGTCCCTCACAGTGCGTAGCAGTGACGTGTGGCACATAGTAGACATTCACCGTTGGTTTGCTCATTTGTTCTCCTGAGCATGCACTGGTACTCGTAGTTTGGGAGCATCTGTTTTGTACTCAGCACAGTTCTAGGCACTTGAGTGAACAAAACCAGCAAAATATCTGGTCTCACGGAGCTTCCACTCCTTGGAGGAGACAGTAACGGCAGTAAGTCAGCTACTCCAGGGCAGGTGCTGTGAGGCATAGAGGGGGCACGGGAGGTGGGTTGGGGTGTTGAAGGATGGCACGTGTTGTTTGAATAAAAGTATAAATGAACAAATAAATGAGACAGCCCAGTGCTCCTGCAGGGAATGCTGTTTTTATTTGTTTTTTTGTTTGTTTGTTTGAGACAGAGTCTCACTCTGTCCCCCAGGCTGGAGTGCAGTGGCGCGATCTCCGCTCCCTGCAACCTCCGCCTCCCGGGTTCAAGCGATTCTCCTGCCTCAGCCTCCCCAGTAGCTGGGATGACAGGCGCCCATCACCACGCCCGGCTATTTTTTTGTATTTTTAGTAGAGACGGGGTTTCACTATGTTGGCCAGGCAGATCTTGAACTCCTGACCTCCTGATCTGTCAGCCTCAGCCTCCCAAAGTGCTGGGATTACAGGCGTGAGCCACTGTGCCCAGCCCGGGAACACTGTTTTTAGAGTTCTTAACAGCCATACGCCTCTTGGCTTGTGCGCGTCTCGGCTTGCGGGTAAAGGCCAGGCGCCCCGCTGCGTGCCTCGGGCCGTGCCTCATGATCTCCTCAGAAGGCTCTCAAGGTCACCTTTTAACAAGTGCATCTGTTTTCCAGTAACGAATCCAGAAAACTCTGGAGAGCCCTTCAGAGCATACACACCACGTCTACTTCTCAGCGCCTCTGGAGCGAGTCCCGTTGCCAGGAGAACTTCTTTCTTGTTCTCGGAATAGATGCTGCGCAGAAGGTAGGCGGTTTGGGTTGACACAGGGCTCCTGGGAGTGTGGTTGAACTTCACTGTCACCAGTGGCCCTTGGCCGCGCCCAAGGGGTGGGTGCAGGCAGAGGTGTGGGTTCAGGTGGGTTAAAGCCACTAGGTGGCCCCATAAACGTGTCAGGGCCACTGGATGACTCCCGAATGCTTGAGGCAGGAGCCAGCAAAGCCTAGAGCAGGAGGTGGGGAAAGGCTCTGGAAGGAACGGGCCTGAGCCTGCAGCAGACAACGCATTCAGAGATGTGCAACAGTGTGTGTGCACTCATGCCACTGCCGCCGCCACGCACATGCCACCACGCACACGCCGCCACGCACACGCCGCCACACACACGCCTCACACGCCGCCATGCACACACCTCACGCCACCACATGCCGCCATGCACACGCCGCCACGCACACGCCACCACGCACACGCCGCCACGCACACCCCGCCACGCACATGCCTCACACACCACCACATGCCGCCATGCACACGCCACCACGCACACGCCGCCATGCACACGCCTCACACACCACCACATGCCACCATGCACACACTGCCACGGCCACCACTCACACGCCACCACTCACATGCCGCCACGCACACGCCACCAAGCACACACACCACACACGCCACCACATGCGCCACTGCCACGCACAGACTGCCGTGCACGTGCTCAAGCTCCTGGGCTGTCGCAGAAAACGCCAGTCATAGGGAGGGCCGCCTTTTCAGAGATCTAGATTTCAATGATCTTTCCTCATTCTTAAATATTATGGAAATTTTCAAACATGGAAAACTCAAAAAGGGCCAGCCAGGCAGGCAGATTGGCCCTGGTGAAGACAGGGGCATGAAAATGGTTGCCCTGTTGGCCCATGGGCCACATTGGGCTGGCCAGGAAGGAAGTGAAGGGCAGAAAGGAACAGAGAGGCTCCCAGTGAGATTCGCCCTGACTGTGTCATTGTGTGAGGAAAACAGAGAACCAGGAGGCTAGGAAATGGGGGAGGCCTGAATAGAAGCCTCAGGTGCGGGCCAGCTCCGAGTGGCGGCAGCCTGAAGGGTGTGTCTGAAAGTGGCCGTGAAGACATTATTCCCATTGAGCAGTTGAGGGGCGCTGAGGTCCTGAAGGGGAGCGAGGCCTGTGAGCCGGGCATGAGGCAGCGAGTGGCAGGGCGACACAGGGGAAACTGGTGCGCTGACCTTGAGAGGGGCCTGAGAGAACTTTGCAGTTTTAGCATGAAATTAGTAGAGGGGCTCAGGGGAAAAGGAAACAGGAGACAAAATGATGACTGTACCGGCTGTCTGATGGGGTCTGTCTCCTTAGAACCTTTCTGGAGGCCAGGGCCACATCATGGAAGATTGTGACCTCAAAGAGCCTGAAGGACTCCTCACTGTCAGCAGCTTCTGTCTCCAGCATTGCAAAGCCCTGATCCAGACCAAGGTGAGTGGTCACCAAGGAGAGGCCTCAGGGAACCGCGCTGGCGGTGTCCACACATGTGGAGCCCTCCGCTTTCTCTGATGTGAGTCAGTTGCTTGTTTTCTTCCTTTAAGTCTTGTGGACTTCCAGAAAACAAACATTTGTGCTATTTAGGGCAGACAGGCAAATTGTGAACACCACTGCAGGGTGCCAAGGAATATAAATACCATCCGGAAAGACTCTCAGGCCAGAGGACCCAGGATATGGGTGGGTCACGCAGGAGAAGCCAGGGAGAGAAGAGAGCTGCAGGGAAGCTGAGACGCCAGGTGTGGATGACGAGGCTGGAAGGATGAGGCAGGACCAGGCTGTGACTGTTGGGCCAGGGGATGTTGACTCCGCCTGGGCAGCTGTCGTGAACGGATCTGACTGGCGGCTTCAGTCACGGGCCGCTTACCCTACACAGGGTCTGCCCACAGCTTTTCTCTCATGAGCCGCGGTTCTTGCCACAGAGTCACTTCATCACATCATCACAGCCGGGCTCAAGGCAGAAGAGGAGATGGGCAGAGAAGGGGACTTCTTCTTGCAGCTCTCTCTTTTATCAGGGGGAAGAAAAGCTTTTCTGGGCTGGAGTCTGGAGCCCACCCTCAGACCAAGTATTGCAGGAGGGGTGAGATGGCCAGGCCTAGCTCACCTGGTTTCCTGCTCACCCTGGAGACCCAGGACCTTGGAACAGTCGGGGCTCATTGTGTACACCCAGGAGATGGTGGGAGGGGCGCATGGGCGGCTGTGAGCATGAAGAGTGACATGCAGGGAGGCGCAGGGGTAAAGTACTGCCCTGTGGCCTGGTAGGAGGTAACAAGGACCTGAGACTGAGCTGGGACAGCAGGAAGGTTGCATAGCACAGGAGGCAGCCAGGGTCAGCTTCTGGGCAAGAATTAGGCATGAATGTGGCACTGCCCCCAGCTGACATGGGGTGGGTTCCCTGGATGATCAGCACACAGGTGACAGGCGACAGGTGCCATGGGGCAACAGGAGAGGGCCCTGATCGGCCGTCTTCACAGGCTGTCCATCTTTTTGAAAAGCACCATAGCACAGGAGGGTTATCCTAGAGCAGCAGCTGTAAAGAAATGTTCGTGGCTGTGTTGTTCACAGCAGCCGGTGGGGGAGACGTCCAGCCGCAGCTGTTTGGGGGAAGTCTGTGGTGTAGTCCAAGAGTGGCTACTGGAGGGCTGTGAGTGTGCAGGGTAGTGGCAGCCTCCACCAGGGAGTGCCAGACACGTAGCACAAGGGCCAGAGACCCCGCCTAAGATGTGGGCCCACTGCTGTCTTCGGGGCTGGCTGCAGGCCAGAGCCACAGACTGCACCATGAGGAAGCCCCAGCATGTTTTCCCTGGGCGCCTCTCTGGTGACATCCCATGATGAGAAGGTTTCTAAGAGGAGAACCAAGGAGAGAACACTAGGGGGCCGAGAGGCAGGGGGCGGCCAGGGGCAAACGCCCAAGCTAGCGCTTCTCATTGCCCGGGGTGCGCGCGCCTGACTGCTGTCCTCTCATCTCAGCTCTCGGGGCCGCCTGGCAGCAAACAGGGGAGGCTGATGACATGCAGCCGCTTCCTGAAGACCCCCTCATGCGGAGGTGGCCAGCACATCACTATTCCAAGGAAAAGGATGTTCACTCCACGCAAGCTCAAACTGACACTCTTTAATAGCGACGTTTGCTAAAATCAGGAGGACTTTGTACCTTTATGAGGAATTTTTCATTTTCTTCCTGGCTGGGTTGATGTGGAAACCAGAGCTGTCTGTGGAGCTGTTTTCCAGACCCCAGGCCCATTCCTGGGATCTCTCCAACAGGACCTGTCCTGTGTTCTGGGCTTGTCTCGGGTCTGACCAGGAGATGGAGGATGTGTCCTTGGCAGAGCCAAGGGGAGACAGAGGTTTCTGGATGCCATGACAGGCTGTCGGGGTCCAGGTGGCACTCATGGGCCCCCTGCCCCATGTGAATGCTGCTGGCACCTGGTGGGGGGTTGCCCAGGGATGGACCCTGGGCATGGCTTCTGGGCTGCTTAGTCCAGGGGGAGCAACTTGTGGCCAAATCCATGAGTTCAGAGGAAAAGGGGAAGGCACTGAAACGTCACCAGAGAGACAGCTGTTGAGACCGCTCAGAAACCCTCTGTCTGTCACACTCTGCCCTGGCTGCTGTGTGGTCAGGGCACCATGAGGGTGTACAGATGTGCTGTGTCCTCAGAGCCTCGCAGGTGCCCTCACTTACTGCCTGGGCCCCTGCCCAGCAGCCTCAAGGACAGGCCTTTGTCCCTCACGGTTGTGGACAGGAGGTCGCACCACTGGCCTGCGAGAGCCTCTGGTGGGCCCGTGGCTTCCCCCAGTTATCTGCTAAGGAAAACTGTGCTCTTCGAAGGGCAGAGCCAAGAAGTCAGCCCTGACTTTTGTAAAATTTTACTAAATAAAACCACCTGGATAAGCCTGTTGTCACTGGTTCATCAGCTGGGGGGACTGATACCTGAAATCCTGTCCCCAGGGGAGGCCTGAAGTCTTAAGCAAGCAGCCACCCTGGCTGTCTCTTTTCCTGCCAAGGCCACACAGGGGACCATAGCCTCCATGTCACTGTGGTATCAGTGCGATGTGCACAGTGATGGGCAGGAGTTTCCATCATGAGGGAGGAGGAAGCAGATGTCCCTGCACAAACCCTGGCCTCGGCCACCCAGCTGCATAGCCAGCACCATGTTGCACGTGGCTCTAGGTCTGTGATGAGGAGAATTCCTTTTTGTTTGTTTGTTTCTGGGTACCACATGGTTTGGAAAGCTGCCTTTATTTTTCATTTTCAGCCAGGGGAAAGTGGGAATTTAGAGACTGTTTTTCTAACACACAGCTTCCTTCAAAGGCACTGTCTTTTGGGCCCTGCCAGCAGAGCCCCTCCAGGAGATGCCCTGGTTTCCTAACCTTTAAAAGTTAGACTTTAACAAGCCAAAATACTCCATCCTGCTCCTCCCACTCCAAGATTCGGGTTCAGACTGTGCCATGGCATCATGGTGTCACCCATGGTGGCCCTTGCTCCTCACCTGGCTGGATGTTGGTGACCCACAGACCTCAGAAGGCCAAGCCTTTCTTCTGACTTCCCTGTGGCCTCACAGGAACCTCAGAAGCAACAGGTTCCAAACCTGACTTCTGTGGCACCCACTAGAGAAGAGAGGCCCTGCTGCTCTCGTCCCCAGAGGGGAGTGAGAGGAAGAGGCCCCTCAGAGTCAGGTAAGGAGGGACCAGGCGACGTACATGCAAACCACTTGTCCACTAGTGCGGCTGCCAAGCCCCCAGGGTCTGGAGGACCCTGCAACAGGCAAGTCCAAAGCTCCCTGGCCTCCCTCAGGTCCACACTGAGTGCTCAGGAAGAAAGTGCCAAAAGCTGGGAGTGGGGGCAGGGAGCTGACGGACACTCCCTCGAGAACGCCCCTCTCACAGATATGCTGGGATTTTTGTTCCCAAAGTCTGGAGGCCCAGCAGGGGAGCTGGGACAGTGGGCGGGAGGCAAGCCCCCAAAGGCTGAGGAAGAGGCTGCAAGACACCCCGGGCGCAAGGCGAGGGGCTGGAATGGAGAGCAAAGGAAGCCTCCAGTGGCCAAAAAGGACGGCAGTCCGGCTGAAGAACGGAGAAATCATGCAGCCCCCAAAGCCAGTGGCTTGGCTGCGACACACAGGCTGATGTCCAGAATCACTGTGCTCAAAGCTCAGACCCCACCGAAGCCATGCCCTGATGCCACCCTCAGGGCGTCTGAAGGCCTAACTACAGCTGCAGAGAAGTCCAGAGCTAGCTCAACTACCGGGAAGGACAACTCTGTTCCCACTCTGGCAACCTCACAGTGGAAGGCACGTGCCCCTCTGTGGAACTAAACGTTGTTTGCTTCAGCCTCGATTGTTCTTTTATATGAACTGTCTAGCCTGCAGTAAGACATTACAAGACACATGAAAAGGCAAGAAAACGTGAGCCACAGTGAGCAGTAGAAGCAGAGTCAGCCCCAGTGGTAAAACTGAAGTCAAGGGCTTTGAAGGAACTCTGGGGAGGTGGGGAGGGCCTGTGGAAATGGCGGGTGACATTCACCAAGAGATAGGGATGTTCAGCAGAAACAGGGACACTTCAGTAAAAGACAGAATGAAGATGCTGCAAATGAAAAATACAGTATATAAATGATCTTTAGATGGGTTTAACAGCAGACTGGACATCACAGAGGAATGGATCAGTTAACTTGAAGATTGGTCACTAAAGAAGATCCAAACACAGAGAGGGGAGGGAAGACGACAGAGGGTCCAAGATCTGTGGGCCAAAGTCAGATGGCCTAACTGGGTGTAACTGGAGTCCCAGAGCAGGAACAGGAGAGAATAAAGAAGAAATATTCCAAGACCGAATCACTAAGAACTTTCTGAAATTCATGAAAGAAAATAATCCACAAATCCAAGAATCTCTGTAACTGCAAGGAGGTGACGTGGAGAAAACCGTACCTGAACACATCCTACAGGCCTTAAAGGCAGCTAGGATGGAAACAGGAGATTCATATAGAGAAGCAACGATAGGAACAATGGCTCACTTCCCACCAGAAGGCCACGCACGCACCCACATCTGCGGTGCTGAAGGGAAAAGGAAGGTCAACTTAGAAGTTCACATACATTGAAATATTCTTTAGGCTGGTCACAGGGGCTCACACCTGTAATCCCAGCACTTTGGGAGGCTGATGCAGGTGGATCACCTGAGATCAGGAGTTTGAGACCAGCCTGGCCAACACGGAGAAACCCCATCTCTACTAAAAGTACAAAAATTAGCCAGGCGTGGTGGCGCATGCCTGTAATCCCAGCTACTTGGGAGGCTGAGACAAGAGACTTACTTGAACCTGGGAGGGGAAGGTTGCAGTGAGCCGAGATCACGCCATTGCACTCCAGTCTGGGCAACAGAGTGAGACTCTATCTCAAAAAAATAAAGAAAGAAAGAAAAGAAAAAAATATTCTTTAAAAATGAAGGCATTATCAGCCAGGATACAGAAACCACACCAGTTATCTGAAGAGGAAAAAATGTAAAGAATTACTAGGCCCGGTATGTGGTTCATACCTGTAATCCCAGCACTTTGAGAGGCCAAGGTGGAAGGATTGCTTGAGGCCGGGAGTTTGAGACCAGGCTGGGCAACATAGTGAGACCCCCATCTCTACAAAAAAGTAAAAAAAAAAAATTAGCCTGGTGTGGTGGCGCTCACCTGCAGTCCCAGCTACTCAGGAGGCTGAGGTGGGAGGATTGCTTGAGCCCAGGAGTTGGAGGCTGCAGTGAGCTGTGATCACACCACTGCACTCCAGCCTGGGCAACAGAGTAAGACCCTATCTCTTAAAAAAAAAAAAAGAATTAAGTAGTAAAAGTTGGTTAACTACTAAAAGGGTCTTGGTTTGGTTTGGCTTGGGTTAGAGACAGGGTCTTACGATGTTGCCGTGCTGGTTTTGAACTCCTGAGCTCAAGCAGTCTTCCTGCCTTGGCCTCTCTTTTTGTTTTTTGTTTTTCAATAAAGACTTACTTAATAGGCCCTGAAGTAGCAGGTGCGGGAAAGCAGCTTCTCTGGGTTGGCGGTGAGGTACAGTGAGGAATTAAGGCCTGGCCAAGGCCCCCTGCCCTCCCAGGCTGAGACGCAGGCCTTTCACAGTGAGTGTGGCTATATAGGAACAGGCCTAGGCAAAGGAGCTGAGCTGGAGCTGGTCTGCAGGGACAGCTGGCAGGACAGGTGCCCCCAGGAGCACCCTACTGGAGTGGCTCAGGAGCAGAGCCAGTGCAAACACGGGGCATGCTGGGGCCCATCGTGCCATGCTGGGCTCCTGTGCCAAATAACACTGATGGAGGACCAGACCCAAGAGGGAAGCCCCTCTCCCAGCCAGCTACTGCCGCTTCCCAGCTGTCTGCAGTCAGTGCTGAGTAGAGAGTGGTGCAGAGCCAGCCGTTTCTGCCCACCTCGGCCTCAGATGGACACTCTATCCAGGGCCCATGGGTGTGGCAAAGGCCCTTCCTCCCACAGATGCCAGGCTTGCATTGAGGCTGACAGCTTTCCTCTGCCTGCTCCTGCTTTCTAACCCTTTTGTCCTTCATAAGTATTTCCCCAAATAAACTTCTTGAATGTGTAAATCTGTCCTGGCCTTTGATTCCTAGAGGCCCTGAAGGAACGTGACCATCACCTGACCTGAGTGACACTGCAAAGCCCTCATTCTTTCTAGTGGACGTGGAGCTCTCTCCAAGCAGATAACTGAGCCGTCAGCCACATCAGAGGCCAGGGACATGGCCTTCAGAGGCTTTGGCCATCATGCAAAAAACCTGGCCACCCTGAAGCCTCTATGCTGGAGAAATGTCTGCAGTGATCCCACAGAGATGCTGACAAGATGCCCAAGGACCCAGCTGCTGGAGCTTTCCGGCCAGCATGCCAGCCCTGGGAGGAGGGAAGCCTTCAGGGTGGGGTGCATCCAGCTGCAGCTGCTGCCTGACAGCAGTGGCCTGACAGATCCCAGCAAGAACCACCCGGCTGAGCCCAGCCAAGCCGTGGCATGAGATCATGGCAGTAACAGATGGTAGGTGCTGCATGCTGTGAAGCTAGTGATGGCAGCTACACAGCAGGAGGTCATGAAAACAACACATGTCCAGATAACCAGTGGGTCCATAGAGGTCACTGGAAACTTAGTAATTGAAACTGAATAATGAAAATGGCACTGATCAAAATCTGAGTGAATGCAGTGCATAGAAGGAAATTTATAGCTTTAAATGTTTATATTAGAAAGTAAGAAAAGTACAAAACCACCTAAGATTTCATGTTAATGTGCAAGAAAAAGAGCAAATTAAACCAAAAGTAAGCAGAAAGAAGGAAATAAAACTGAGTGCCAAAATCAACAAAATGGAAAATGGCAGAACACTAGGAAAAAGGGATGGTCCTAAGTGAAGACGTAAGAGCATGTGATGTGCAGCTCTCGCATGACTCCTGATTCAAACAAACCAAATGTAGAGACAACTTCGAATAACACACAGCGAGGAAAAGCAGGCAGCCTCTGCCCAACACAGCCAGGAGACAGCCTCGGAAATCGGAGAAAATATTTGGAAACCATATGTCTGATAAGGGGTTAATATCCAAAATACATAAGGAACTCAAACAACGTAACAGGAAGAAAACCCAGATAACCTGATTGAAAAAATAGGAAAAGGACCTGAACAGACATTTTTTCTTTCTTTCTTTCTTTTTTTTTTTTGCTGTGTCGCCCAGGCTGGGGTGCAATGGTGCAATGTTAGCTCACTGCAAACTCTGCCTCCTGAGTACAAGTGATTGTCCTGCCTCAGCCTCCCGAGTAGCTGGGACTACAGGCGCCCGCCACCATGCCCGGCTAATTTTTGTATTTTTAGTAGAGACAGGGTTTCACCATGTTGGCCAGGCTGGTCTCGAACTCCTGACCTCAGGTGATCCACCTGCCTCGGCCTCCCAAAGTGCTGGGATTACAGGCGTGAGCCACCGCGTCCAGCCAAGCAGACATTTTCCAAAAATATATATATATCTATTTTTATATATATACACACACACAAATGACCAACAGCTATACAAAACCAATGCTCCATATCAGTAATCATCAGGGAAATGCAAATCAAGACTGCAATAAGATACCCCCTCACACCTGTTAGGATGGCTATTCTAAACAGATGAAATGTCGGTGATGGTGTAGAGAAATGGGAATGCTTGTGCACTGTTGGTGGGAGTGTAAAGTAGTACCGCCGCTATGGAAAACAGTATGGAGGTGTCTGAAAAAGTTAAAAATAGAACTACCATATCATCTAGCAATCCCACTACTGGGTATTTATCCAATGGAAAGGAAATCAGTATGTTGAAGAGATACCCGCACCCCCATGTTTATTGCAGCACTAGTCACCATAGCCAAGCTATGGAACCAACCTAGGTGTCCAACAACAGATGAATGGATAAAGAAAATGTGGTACATACGCACAATGGGATACTATTCAGCTGTAAAAAAAAAAAAAAAAAAAAAATGAAATCCTCTCATTTGCAACTGTCTAGATGAACCTGAAGCATTTATGCTAAGCGAAATAAGCTGGTACAGAAAGACAAACCCCACGTGATCTCACTCATACGTGGAACCCAAAAAGTCAAACTCGCCAGGTGTGGTGGCTCATGCCTGTAATCCCAGCACTTTGGGAGGCCAAGGCAAGAGGATCACGTGAGTCCAGGAGTTTGAAACCAGCCTGGGCAACAGAGTGATACCTCATCTCTACACAAATATAAAATAAAGGCCGGGGCCTGACATGGTGGCTCACGCCTGTAATCTAAGCATTTTGGGAGGCCGAGGCAGGCGGATCACCTGAGGTCAGGAGTTCGAGACCCTCCTGGCCAACATGGTAAAACCCCGTCTCTACTAAAACAAAAATTGGCTGGGCATGGTGGTGTGTGCCTGTAGTCCCAGCTACTCGGGAGGCTGAGGCAGGAGAATTGCTTGAACCCAGGAGGCATAGGTTGCAGTGAGCCAAGATCGGGCCACTGCAGTCCAGCCTGGCAACAGAGCGAGACTCTGTCTCTAAATAAATAAATAAAATAAAATAAAGGCTGGGCATGGTGGCTCACGGCTGTGATCCCAGGACTCTGGGAGGCCAAGCTGGGCAGATGACTTGAGGTCAGGAGTTTGACACCAGCCTGACCAACATAGTGAAACCCCGTCTCCACTAAAATACAAAAATTAGCCGGGCGTGATGGTGCGTGCCTGTAATCCCAACTACTCAGGAGGCTGAGGCAGGAGAATCACTTGGACCCGGGAGGCGGAGGTTGCGTCGAGCCAAGATCGTAATCCCTGCACTCCAGTCTGGGTGACAGAGCGAGACTCTGTCTCAAAAAAAAAAAAAGCAAAACTCAACCCAAGAGATTGAGGCTGCAGTGAGCCATGTTTGCGCCACTGCACTCCAGCGTGGGTAAGAGCAAGACCCTGTCTCAAAAAAGAAAGGGGAGTTCACAGACGCAGAGTAGACTGGTGGTTGCCGGGGGCTGAGGGCTGGCTGGGGAGATGGTGGCCAAAAGATGCAAAATTTCAGTTGCAAGGAATGAGCTCGGGGATCTCTTGTACGCAGGGACCGTAATCAGTAACAATGGATTACATTCTTGAAAACCACTAGGAGAGACTGGCTACGGTGGCTCACGCCTGTAATCCCAGTACTTTGGGAGGCTGAGGCGGGTGGATCACGAGGTCAGGAGTTCTCGAGACCAGCCTGGCCAACATGATGAAACCCCATCTTTACTAATAATACAAAAATTAGCCCGGCGTGGTGGCACATGCCTGTAGTCCCAGCTACTCAGGAGGCCGAGGCAGGAGAATCGCTTGTACCTGGGAGGTGGAGGTTGCAGTGAGCCAAGATTGCACGACTGCACTCCAGCCTGGGCGGCAGAGCAAGACTCCGTCTCAAAAAAATAATAATAAAACCACTAAGAGAGTAGATTTAAGTGTTCTCACCCCAAAAAGTGACAAGTATGTGTGGCAGTGCATATTAATTAGCTCGACTTAGCTGTTTCACAGTGTACACATATTTCAAAACATGTTGTACATGATATACAATTTTTGTCAATTTAAAAATTAATTTTTTTTTTTTGAGACAGAGTCTCACTCTGTCACCCAGGCTGGAGTGCAGTGGTGCCATCTTGGCTCACTGCAACCTCCGCCTTCCAGGTTCAAGCGATTCTCCTGCCTTAGCCTCCCGAGTAGCTGTGACTACAGGCCACCATGCCTGGCTAATTTTTGTATTTTTAGTAGAGACGGAGTTTCTCCACATTGGCCAAGCTGGTCTCGAACTCCTGGCCTCGTGATCTGCCCGCCTTAGCCTCCCAAAGTGCTGGGATTACAGGCATGAGCCACCACGCCCGGCCTAAAAATTAATTATTATTATTATTATTATTATTTTTTTGAGATGGAGTTTCGCTTTGTTGCCCAGGCTGGAGTGCAGTGGCACAATCTCGGCTCACTGCAGCCTCCTCCTCCCAGGTTCAAGCAATTCTCTGCTTCAGCTTCCCAAGTAGCTGGGATTACAGGCACCTGCCACCACGCCTGGCTAATTTTTGTATTTTTAGTAGAGACGGGGTTTCACCATCTTGGCCAGGCTGGTCTTGAACTCCTGACCTCATGATCCACCCACCTCAGCCTCCCAAAGTGCTGGGATTACAGGCGTGAGCCACCGCGCCCCACCAAAACAGTTAATTTTTTAAAAAAGAACAGCAACACACACAACCTGGGCAAACCTCACGACATGTAAAGGCCAGGCCCTGCAGGTGCCCATTCACAAGCAGATCAGGCCCACAAATCCTGTTGGCAACGGTGGGGACGCACCTCCCCTACCTTAACCCATAGCAGCTACAGGGTATCTTCCCGTGTAAACTGTTGCCAAGCGGACACTGACAATTCTGGCATGTTCTGGACTCTACTATGTACCTCAATTTTTAAAAGTTAAAAAGGAAATAAAGGGGCCGGGCGTGGTGGCTCACGCCTCTAATCCCAACACTTTGGGTGGCCGAGGTGGGTGGATCATGAGGTGAGGAGATCGAGACCATCCTGGATAACACAGTGAAACCCCGTCTCTACTAAAAATACAAAGAATTAGCCAGGCATGGTGGCGGGAGCCTGTAGTCCCAGCTAGTCGGGAGGCTGAGGCAGGAGAATGGCGAGAACCCAGGGGGCGGAGCTTGCAGTGAGCGGAGATCGCGCCACTGCACTCCAGCCTGGGCGACAGCAAGACTCCATCTCAAAAAAAAAAAAAAAAAAAAAAAGGACAATTTAGGGAGAAAATCAGACATTTGACTATGAAGCAGGTGTTAGATATTAAAGAATTCTCCCTAATTTTCCAGTTACAATATGGTGTAAACCAAAAAGCATCTGAGGCAGCTCTCAATCAAGTCAGAGGTTTATTTTGCCAGAGCCCAGGAAAAAGAAACACAAAACCACAGGAACAGTCTGTGATCTGTGCTTTTTCCAAAGAGAGCAAGATTTGGGGACTTCAATATATACACATATTTTATGAGACAGAGTCTTGCCCTGTTGCCCAGGCTGGAGTGCAGTGGCACGATCTTGGCTCACTGCAGCCTCTGCCTCCCAGGTTCGTCACGCAATCGTCTCGCTCAGCAAATTGTGCTTTCATAAGCTACAGCAGACAAGCGCAGCTGCCTGTGGAGGCCTGTGGCCTTCTACCTGCAGCTGTTTGCTCAGAAACAAAAAGGCGGTTTCTTGAATGAGTCAGTTTCCAGCTTAATTTTTCCCTTTGGCCTAGTGAATTTGGGGGCCCTGAAATTGTATTTTTCTTTCACAATGGTATTGTGGTTGTGTAAGAAAATGTCTTTTTTGGCTGGGCGCATTGGCTCACACCTGTAATACCAGCACTTTGGGAGGTCAAAGCAAGAGGATCACCTGAGGTCAGGAGTTTGAGATCAGCCTAGCCAACATGTTGAAACCCCGCCTCTACTAAAAATACAAAAAATTAGCTGGGCATGGTAGCGGGCACCTGTAATCCCAGGTACTTGGGAGGCTGAGGCAGGAGAATTGCTTGAACCCGGGAGACAGAAGTTGCAGTGAGCTGAGATCGCGCCACTGCACTCCAGCCTGGGCGACAAGAGCGAAACTCCGCCTCAAAAAATAAATAAACAAAAGTCTTTTTAAAAAAGTTTAACCTGGCCAGGCATGGTGGCTCACACCTGTAATCCCAGCACTTTGGGAGGCCGAGGCGAGCGGATCACGAGGTCAGGAGTTCAAGACCAACCAGCCTGGCCAACATGGTGAAACCCTGTCTGTACTAATAATAGAAAAATTAGCTGGGCATGGTGGCACAGGCCTGTAGTCCCAGCTACTCAGGAGGCGGAGGCAGGAGAATTGATCGTACCGGGGAGGCAGAGGTTGCAGTGAGTCAAGATCACATGCCACTGCACTCCAGCCTAGGTGACGGAGGGAGACTCAGTCTCAAAAAAAAAAAAAAGGAAAGAAGTTTAACGTGTTTTTAGGGTCAAAATGTCTCAACATCTGGGATTTGTTTTAAAATTCTTTCAGAAACTCAAAAAGGCCAGGTGCGCTGGCTCATGCCTGTAATCCCAGCACTTTGGGAGGCCAAGGCGGGCGGATCACTTGAGGTCAGGAGTCTGAGACCAGCCTGGCCAACATGGCGAAATCCCGTCTCTACTAAAAATAATTAGCCGGGCGTGGTGGTGGGCGCCTGTAACCCAAGCTACTCGGGAGGCTGAGGCAAGAGAATCGCTTGAACCTAGGAGGTAGACGTTACAGTGAGCCAAGATTGCGCCACTGCACTCCAGCCTAGGCGACAGAGTAAGAGACTCTGTCTCAAATTAAAAAAAAAAAAAGGATGAACAGTGCTAACACCTGGTCAGCCCAGGCAGCAGGCCCGGGGGCTCAGTGTCCTGCTTCCCAGCTCGGGCTCCAGGTGTGTGAACTGTTCCAGGCAAGCCTGCCTGCTTCGGGACAGCACCTCTACCTCTGGCTGGGAGCTCTGCCTGGCCCTCAACTTGCATCCAGAAGGCGAAGCATGGGGAACCATGAGGCCACAGTCGAGGGCCAAGTGTTTGGGGTGGTGGCAGGGGTTGTGGCCTCCTGGGGACCCTCCCAGTCCCCAGTGACCCTCAGCACCAGGCTGGCCAGGCCCACGGGCGAGGAGGAAAATGCACGGCCCGTGCTCCTCGCAGCCGCACCCAGTGTGAGCACGGCTGAGCAGCTCTGCGGGAGTGGTGGCCCCGTGGTCACAGGGACAGGATCACAAACCAGGATCTTCCAACAGGCTGGGATCTGACCACTTCCCCGGCCCTCACCCCCAGCACCCCCTCCAGCTGCGCATGCACATACGTGTAGGTGCACACACACGTGCACACCCTCCTACACCACCCAGCCAGTCCCCACAGCAGGCAGCCAGGATGGAGGCAGCACCTTTCCGCCTGTGTCTCACCGTGGGACTGGGCTTAGGCTGACTTGGTACAGCCAGTCCCCAGGACGGGCTGGGCCTCTGGCCAGGGTCGGGAGGCAGAGGCACCGCCCCAACTGAGCTCTCAGAGCTGGGTAGTGCCCCTTCTTGTTCTCCTGCCCCTCAGTGGGTGGCTGGTCCTGCTGGGTGCCTGGGTCCAGCACAGCTGTCACAGGCCAGGCCACCAGCCAAGGTGGGAAGAACAGGGTGAAGACGGCAGAGCCCCTGGGAGAGCTTCCTGGGACCCGATCTTCAGCTTGTGGGCAGCACGCACCCCACCTGGCTCTTGCCCTGCAGGCTGCCCAGCTTTATCACTGGTGGGGTCATTGGTGGGGCAGCCCCTCCTGGGGCCCAGCACCACAGTGCCCTCTGTCCCCAGGCCTGCCCAGCTCTTTGTAGGGTCCTGGAACGCCCCTTCTCTGACCCCAGCGGGAAATGAACCCACCTGTAATGAAAGTCCTGTCTGTCAACCAAATGCAGCCCATGGGCCTGGCTGTGCTCTGCATCAGCTCCAGTAAGAGGATCACCGGGCAGCCTGGAGGGCAGGTTCGCCTGGCATGCCAGATTTCTCCGCAGCTTGCGATGGAGGCACTTGCAGGGAGGCACATGTGTGAGTGCAGGACAGAGGAGCTTTCATCAGGCAGAGGCTGCGTGTTCATAACATCCCGTCCAGGTTGCTTTGTTTTGAATCTGAGGTGGTTTTCGACTCCACTCTGGGCGTCCACCCAAGAGGTGCCTGTGGACACCCACCCGCTCCCCCAACTCCATGCAACTTGCCAACCTTCAAGTAGATCGGTGTAACTACCCCCCAGTCCGATGGTGTGCAGGAATGTGGGGGCAGCAAGGTCACAGGGCCTCGGGCCAACCCAGGGATGGGGGTAGTTTATACATTTGGGGCTTTTTCACAAAAAGATGAGGGTGCTGAAGGGTCCCTGAAGGCCCCAGAGGTGGCAGGGCCGGGCCAGGCCAGGCAGTGAGCCCGAGCCTGGCGTCTACAGGCCGACGGGAACCACTGCACAGTGGCTGTGGCCAACAGGCTGCTCAGAGCCTATCATTTTTAGGGCCTTTCCTGGACCTTCCACTCCAGCTCGCTGTAGGTTTTCCAAGCCTCTTGTTCTGGCATTGACCAAATTGTCACCCAAGAAGCAGGCCCTCAGTGCACCTCCAGTTCATCCAGCTGGTTCCGACAGCTTCAGGAACAGTCCATGGAGCTGCTCCCAGCTTCCTCTGCAAGGCCCCTGCCGGGCTCCTCTGCGCAGTGCAGAGGCTCATTCAGGCCCAGCGTGGAAGGCAAGGGGGACGGATCTGAGAAGGCGGGGCTTATCTCCCAGGGGCACAGCAGAGTGAGGGATGGGCCGATGAAGTGTACGCCTGCAAGGGGCAGCAAGCAGCCCCAAGAGCTTAAACTGTCCAGCTGCAGCAAGTCTGCTGGAGCGACCAAGCAACATGTGTCACCTCAACTGAGGGCTGCACTTGGCAGTCACATCTTCCCAGACGGGCGATCGCCACTCCTGAGAATACTGCAAAGGCTCATCACTGAGAAAGGGAGGTTACCCTCGAACCCTCAGGCATCCACACATCACAACTCCCCTCCCTGCTTGGCTCCACTACAAACCCTGAGCAGGCACTGAGGACACAGCCACCTCCACACAGGGCATGAGAAGGAACAGCGGCCTTCCTGTGAGTAAATGCAGCAACCCAGCACACACAGCACTGCCACATGGAAAGCTTGGTTCAGGTCACAGCAAAATCCCAGTTTAAGGACACGGCTCGCTGGTTGCAGATAGAAACTTCTAGCAACCCAGAAACCAACTGTGAGAGTTTATGATGAGGGACGTGATCCCACCACTCTGTCTTTAGGTAGACACCAAGGCAACACATCAAGTGTCCACACCTCAGACACCCACCCACCCCAGCCCGGCCCTTTCCGGTGGCTCCGCCAGCCTGCTCACCCGGCTACCTGGACTCCACAGGGTGAGCACAATGTCCACACTTGTTCCGCAGTTTGCTGCTGCGTCCTCCTTCCATCACTGCCGGGCCCACTTCACTAAGGAGTGAACCTGGGAGAAGGCGCCTGGCCCAGATGTGGCCCAGCAGGGATCCAGGCCCAGATGGCTGGGCTCAGCCCTGTGGAGACCACCCCCTCCCACCCCGCCCCGCCCCCGAGGAAATCCTGCGCAGGCATCTGTGGGCGGAGCAGGTAGCGTTCTCCAAGGTGCGCTGTCACCCCTGAAAGGAAGATCGGTTCCCTGGGAGGAGTCTGCTATCTTCATACTGGTTCCATGTCTTCAAATAAACGTGCATTACTTTATAACCCTAGAAACCGAACTTCTGAGGTAGAAGGGGCTCCGAAGCTGTGTGCAAGGCATGCTGCACGTGAGGGGTACCCACCACACGTCAGGAAACGCCCCTGGGAAACTGTCAACTAACATGCCCGCTCCCCTCAGTTTGGCCAGAAGCAAACCGCAGAGAACAGTGCCAAGTTTAGATGACTGGAATTTGTATTTCTGTTTCTGAATAAACATTTTGTAAACAAAATTATTAAACACTTGGAAAATTTCTTCCCAATTAAAGTCAATTTGTACCTACAGACTTAAAAATACCACATACATGGCCAGGTGCGGTGGCTCACGCCTATATTCCCAGCACTTTGGGAGGCCGAGGCAGGTGGATCACCTGAGGTTGGGAGTTCGAGACCAGTCTCATCAACATGGTGAAACCCCATCTCTACTAAAAATATAAAAATTAGCCGGGCGTGGTGGCACATGCCTGTAATCCCAGCTACTTGGGAGGCTGAGGCAGGAGAATCGCTTGAACCTGGGAGGCAGAGGTTGCAGTGAGCCAAGGTCACGCCATTGCACTCCAGCCTGGGCAACAAAAGTTAAATCCTGTCAAAAAACCAAGAATGCCAGGCGCGGTGGCTCACGCCTGTAATCCTAGCATTTTGGGAGGCTGAGGCAGGTGAATCATGAGGTCAGGAGTTCGAGACCATCCTGGCAACACGGTGAAACCCTGTCTCTACTAAAAATACACCAAATTAGCTGGGCGTAGTGGTGGGTGCCTGTAATCCCAGCTACTTGGGAGGCTGAAGCAGGAGAATCGCTTGAACCTGGGAGGCAGAGGTTGCGGTGAGCCAAGATCGCGCCACTGCACTCCAGCCTGGGAGACAGAGCGAGACTCCATCAAAAAAAAAGAAAAAAAAAAAACAAAAAAAAACAAAGCCACACACACGGACTAAACTTGCAGAGAAATGATGCTTGGAAAACAGCTGATTACTCAGCCACTGCGCACCACGGTGGAAACAAGCAGGCTTTGGTGTACGGTGTCACAGGTGAACACGGCGAGTCCAGGGAATGAGACTCCGGCTACACTTCTAAGTCACAGCAGCTGTTCTCTCCTGTCTGTGGTCCTTCCACAGACCCAGTCTGTTTTCCGACCAAGCACCCCTAAAGCGCTCAAAAGTCACATTCTCTGAGCAGTTTATAATTTTGAAGGCTACCAAAACAGGCACTACAACTACTACTAATGCTGAACAAATGATGTTTCTAAAAGATAAAAATGCTATACAGAAACAAAATAGTGCTTTAGATTTATTCCTATAAAACACATACCCTTTAAACTAGGGTCCATGAGGATTAACTTTCGACATCGGGGGCTGTCAGAGGTCGTGGACACCCCCAACTCCAGCCGGGCGCTGAACAATGTAAAAAGAATTTGCTCTGCAACCCTGTGGGGGGGGGAAATAAAAGTAACCCAGCGTCCATTTAATGCAGCCAAGTGCAATTCCTTTCCCCACCTTAGAAAGCACCACCAGATAATACAGCAGAACTGATCCTGCAGAAAGGTTGCTGGAGGGTCAGGCCGTGGTCGTAACTAACACCACATTCCCATTTTGTTTGCTGGATAATTTTTTAATAAAGTGAGGTTTACATCACTGATATTTAAGAATGGCTATATGCACAAAAGAAAACACACCTTTTTGGTTAAGGGGTGAGGAAGTTAGAGAAAGCATGAGAAACAGGGAGCATGTGGGGTGAGGCGGGGCAGGAGTGGAAGGCTGCAGGCACCCCCAGCTCACTCCCTGCCTGCGGCAGCACCCATGACACTACAGATCAAGGGGTTATGAATGACATGGATTCAGATTTCTTTCATTCTAGACTTCAACCTAGCCTTAACCTTTTGTTTCAGCACCAGTCTAACAGAGCAGCGCAGGCGTTTCTCATCCAGCAGCAATGCTACTTCCTCACCCAGGGCAGGTGCATGGGCTGACCCTGATGGGAGCCTCCAGGAACACTGCCTTGAGAAGGCACCACCGAGGGGCTATGAGGTCCCTGAAGACCAACTGGTGCCTGTGATCTACAAACAGACAAATATTTGACCTTTGTCTTCAATGACATTTACATATAAATAGACATAAATAAAATCCTCCATAATTTACTCTTAGGTCTAGGAAGATGTGGCTGTGTGCGGCTCCTGATTTTCACCCAGGTCTCACTGCAGCGCAGGACATAATGAAGAAGTATCACACACACATTTAAAGTAAAACATGATACATTCACACTGTTGACTGAGACTGTAGTGATGCTCACTGCAAAAAACAAAACAAAACAAAAAACCCTTATTTAAACCTTAAAAAAATGAAACACACCAACTGCAATTGTTTAGGCTATAAAAGTTCTAATGTAGCAGCAAAGGATGTTTATAGAAAAAATATACTTTTAAGAAAATAGCTGAAAAAATCTAAAGAGATAAGGTATAAAAAGTTTAAAAAATATATCTTAAGACAAAATACTGCCCAAAACATGTAAAACTGAATTGTAAAAATTCACCTATCTAAAGGTAAAAGGAGGTTGATGCAGCTGCGGCTCACCGTCCTCTACAGTGGGGGACACAAAGAGACACGAGGGGCCCAGGGCTGTGGGGACGTCAGAAGACAAGAAGCCTTCCAGAACAGCCTCTGCCTGGCGCTCCACAGGGGGGAGGTGAGTGGGACGGGCCTAGGGCTGCAGCCCCACTGGTAATGGGCTGTTCTGGGATTTCTCAGAATCAGCAGACAGGGCAGCAAGGCTGGGCCGCTGGCGGCAGGCGCACCCTCCGTGGGAGCCAGTGCTCACGTGTCAATGCGTCAGAGGCGGCTGTGAGCACTCAGGGCTCCTGCTCAGGTCTCCACCAGGATCTCCACCACGTGGTCCAGCTCGCCCAGGTCGGACTTGCAGCTGGAGCTAGGGCCTGGGGTGGCCGGAGCCAAGCCCTCGAGCCCTTCGCAGGGGCCCGGCCTGGCACCCCCCATCATGCCTGTCAGTACTGTGTCCAGGTCGTAGTAGGGGCTGTCCACGTCTGAGAACAGCTCTTCCATGCAGCTGGGGTTTTTAGTCTCCAGCGTTTCAAATATCTGATCAAGTGACTTGTGAAAGCTTCCTCTGTTTTCTCGAGGGCCATCCATCTCCCAGGCGCTGCTCTGCAGGTGCCTTGGTGCCTGTGCTGAGGTGACTGGGCAAAGGTCAGAAACTGGACCCTGTGTGTGGCCGTCCCCCAAGCCAGGAGCAGGATGTGCCCCCTCTTGCCCCCACGCTGCACGGCACAGGATCTCCGTGGAGACCAAGCGGTCGAGCGGCGCCCGCTCTGCAGCCTGGGGTGCCACTGTGCGCCACGTCCCATCCTGCGTCATCTCCTCTTGGATCTGCCGGACCGTGTTGGCAATGAGGACTGAGCGGCACAGGTTGGGCTCCACAAGCATGTGGCAAAGCTGCAACTTCACCAGAGACATGTCCAGGAGCGACTGCCGCTGCAGGCTGTATGAGGACACTGTCTTCAAGCCGGCCAGGGCTCCCTCCACGTCTTCCTCGTGGCCAACACATTTCCTCTTCAGTCCTCGTGCAAACATTGTGTCCTGCAGAAACCAAGGAAGACACCACTTAGCACACGGCAGACTCTCTGCGGACAGCGCCCCTTGGATTTCGTCTGACTGCCCTCACTGTACGCAAGGAGCAGCGACTCCGTAACTGGCAGGGACTTGACAGAGCTGTAACTCCCTAACAGAGCTGAGACGTGGAGCCCAGTGGGAGACCCCCACCCCCAGATCAGCTGCCATCCTGCCTAAGCCAGGCACAGTCACGTTGTTAGAAACGACAAACCTCTCAACTGTACCACGACAGTGTTTTATAGCAAAAAAGATAAATGAACTAAAAATAGGAGAAATATATAAGAGAAATGTAAGTGTTCGAGAGCTTGGCTGAAAATCTGTTTCAAAAATCTAACTGTGGTGTGTACAAAAGAAGAGACCCTGGGGTAACATGAGATTAATGTGAACCGTGCCAGCCTGCAGAGGGCGCAGGGCGGGGGCCGGACAGGGCCGGGCACACACACGTACCATTCTGACTTCCCTCAGGATCCTGCCTCGGACAAAGTCACTTCTGCGTTCAGAAGAGTTAGTGCCTTCCCCCTCAATGCTTTCACTAAAAGCCTCTATATGTCGCAGACAGCCGGGCTGGAAAGCTGTGCCACCAGGAACGCGCAGGGGAAGGACTGCAGGGCTGTATGCTCATCCCATGCAGCGAGTGGTCTGTGTTTCGTGCACAATTCTCCAAGGGACACAGGGTCTCCTGGCCGAGCCTATGTGGCCCTGGACAGTCCCTTGCTCCCACACCCGCCCATGCTGCCTGCCTTAGGGATCACACCCATTCCTTGGCTCCCCCCACCCGCCCCACCAGTTCATTTCTCCCAAGGTGCACAGGCTCTGCCTGGCTGCTTTCTACTTGACATCTCTCAGGTCAATGCCCTCCACTCGAGAGCTCTGACCAGCCCGTACAACCATGGCCTCAGGGGCCACCTCCCCTCTCATCTCAACTCCTTTCTCTTCAAAGGAACCAAAACATGGCAGGGTATGTGTGTGTCCGGGGCAGGGGGGGTGGGTTCCTCACCAGTGTGTTGTGGCAGCCCAGAGCTGGCCAAGGCAGTGTTTCTCGGCGTATGCCTCAGCACTGGCGCTGTTGGTTGAAGATGCAGATTCCTGGATCTTACCCCAGACCTGGGCAACTCCGGGATGGCACCTAAGGCTCAGCCTTGCTGGGCAGGTTCCACTAAGACGCACAGCACAGATGCACTAGATGGACATTGGCCATGTCTACTCTCAGAAGTACAAGTCTGTGCAAACTGTTTTTTTTTTTTTTTAACTGATTCTAAATTGGGACATCTCTGGGGCACTAAAGGCAGAGCAGACAGGAGGGTGGGCTCTGGCTTTTGACAGATGCCATTCTGAGCCAGTGCCGCCTGCGGGGAGCTGGGAGGATGACAGCTGGCTCAGGGCCATACTGGCCGGCAGAGTCTGACAGGACAAGCATCTCACGCATGATTAAGTTTCTCTCTTCTCATGCTTGTAATGTAGTGAAATATTATTTCAAATAATTCAAGTTATGCATAAATAGGGTTACAATCTTTTGAATATGCAAACTTTGGAACTTCTTTTTCTCTTAGTCAATCTGATGGCTCCCTGTGACCAGGGTATACCCAGGTGCTCTTGGAAAGCTGGCGTATGGGAGGCACATGCTGTCTCTGCTCGGGGTCTGGAGACCAAGGATGGGAAGTTTTGCAGTGCGGGAGAACTGGCTGCCAAACATACCCCTTCCCAGGAGCCCCTCTGGAGGCTCCCACCTGCTGGTCCTACCCTTGAATTAACAGAAGAAAGGGTCCCCCTGTTCTCTGAATTTCCCTTCAGTGTCACAGATCTCATCCCCGTGCCTTTAACACATGTAAATTTTAAAAAACTAAGTGACCTCTTGGGCATTTATCCCAGAGAAAAAGCCAATGTTCATGCAAAAAACATGTTCCAGAATGTGCACAGCAGCTTTATTTGTAGTAGCTCCAAATCTGAAACAAGGAAAATGTACCCTTCACCTGGGCACGGTGACACACACTCTGCTCCATTCATGCCACCAAATCCTACTCTGCAATAGAAAGAAATGAACTGTTGATACACAGGACGGATCCTTCCACAGGGGCATTAGGCTGAGGGAGAAAAGCCAACCTCAGAAGGGTGCTTGCTATGGGATCCCATTTATGCCACATTGTCATGCTGACCCAGAGCTGAGGGGTGGCAGGGCTAGAAAGGAACCTGCGCAGGGAGATCTTGGGGGTGAGGGCCCTTCTGCTCCTGGGCTGTGGGGGTGGCCCTACCCTGACTGCACAGCGCCGGACACGCACACATGCGCCTGCGGCAGCCGTGTCATCACACGGACCTGGGGCCTGGCTGTGCATCCTACAAGGATGCCGGCCCTGGGGAGCAGAGGAAGGGCACATAGGACCTCCTGAACACTGCTCTGCAACCTCCCCTGGCTCTACAATTATTTCAAAATTAAAATTAAAGGAAAACTTCCCTAACCCTAGCTTATTTCCCCTACAGCACCCATTTCCCCAGAGCAGCATGCCAGTGTCACCACAGGCACAGCCCTCAGGCTGGGCACCGCCTCTCACACCTGCATACACCAGCTTCTCAACTAATTCTAAATGAAGGACAGTTTACCACCAAAACACATTTACACATTTCTATTACTTTTGGTAAATATTCGAGTTCTTTGTGTCAGCCACAAATTTAACTTTTCAGAGCTTTTCCATCCCAATCCATTGTTTAAATCACTGGCTTAAAATTGCTAAGTATATCGAGAATTAACATAAGGCTATGTCAAACTACAAAGGACACCCTGCGTTGGGGAAAAGATTAAGTCCCACGGGTTCCTCTGTGGGAAGTCAATATACCTTTTAGGTTTTTAGTTTCTCTTTCAACCTATCTCAATCCCAAGCCTGCATAGCAATGGATTAATTTAGGACCCAAACCAAATCCTCTTGAACAGCATGCATTAAGCCCAAGTTTATAGACAGAAGAACCCCTGGCTGCCTCCCCTGACTCTGGAAACCCAGCAGCACAACCCCCATAATGTGGGGCCTACAGGAGGTCAGCACGACTGAGCAGGGCAATCAGGGCAACTCACAGAAGGAACAAGAATACCAATGGGACAGGCCAAGAAGACCCACAACCACACTGGGAACCAGTTCAAGAAGCTGTCCCAAGCTCCTAGGACCCTCTGGGTCCCACTTTCCTTTCCTCTGAGTCCTTAGAAATGCCAGGTCCTGAGTCCAAACCCAACGACAGACCCTCCCGCCCTTTTCTGAAAGCCAGATATGGATACTAGAAGCCTCCCACTGGGGATCTTAAGAGGATGAATTCAGTGCTTGGCCTGGTGCTGTCAGCGGTCCTAAGGGCAGCACTAGCAATACGTGACCGTCAGAAATCACCCTAATAACATCTGCTCTGAGCGAGGGAATATACCAACAAACAATGGCGGAACCACATACAGAAACAGAACTCTCAGCCATTATCTGCCGCCATCAGTCGGAAACCAGCCCTTTACCTTCAGTAACGGGCCAGGAAGCCAGGTTGCCCTAGTCAGACCTGCAGGAAGCCTGGCTGCTTTCTCTAGGAACAATCCAGGAAGCTAAACAATCATTTCCATAGCAAGCAGCCCAAAATGGCCAGGACATGATTAGTAACCGACAACCTCTCCAGTTTTTGTCCCTGCTTCCAATTTAGGACCAACCAGAGAAAGCCAAACATGTTCTAGGCCATCTCACAGGAGCCCCACTTCTTTGTTGTTGTTGTTGTGTCGCCCAGGCTGGAGTGCAGTGGCGCAATCTCAGCTCACCGCAACCTCCGCCTCCCAGGTTCAAGGGATTCTCCTGCCTCAGCCTCCCGAGTAGCTGGGATTACAAGGGTGTACCACCAGGCCTGGCTAATTTTTATATTTTCAGTAGAGACTTACCATGTTGGTCAGGCTGGTCTCAAAACTCCTGACCTCGGGTGATCCACTCACCTTGGCCTCCCAAAGTGCTGGGACTACAGGCGTCAGCCACCGTGCCAGGCCAGGAGCCCCACTTCTAACTGGCCACCCCAGTCCCCCAAGTCAGCAGCCTCCATCAGCCATCCCTGAGCTTCCCTGGATTCCACTGTAAAGCTCTCCTGTTCCCTCACCTGCCTATGAGTTTCTGCCAATCACGAGAGAGGAGGGCCGCACCCTTGCTAGGGGAAGCTCTGGATAAACAGCCTCTGCCTGTTCTCACCTGGTTGCTTATTTCCACAGCTCACCATAGACAATCTGGAAGAGCATCAAAAACCATAAAACGAATTTTCTCCCAGGATCCCATCCACTCAGAAAAACACAGTCACCACCTGGGTTCCTCCTTTCCAGTCGTTTCTCCCAGCACTTTCCTCTCTGCACAAGGGAGGGAAGTTTCACACTACTGACAATTTTCCCAATCACAAATGATACCAGTTTCTAACTTTAGGTGTTTTGGTATTTCTAGCATTTGGCTTCCTTAGCCTCGGCTCTTTACTTACTAGGGTGATGTGCAGGTACATTTTTAAGAGGCTTGATAAACATTATTAAACTGCATCCTAAGAAGGTGGAACGCTCCACCAACTTTCTCCCGCACTATTTCTGCACACTTGCTGGTAAAGCTTCCTCTTGTTTTGCCAAGTCTCTAAGCCCCACAGCTAAGCGTTCCTTCCCTCCTCCACTGAGCTCCACGTCTGTGTTCCTACCCTGTTCCACGGCTGCTCTCCTGCCAGGACCAGACACCCTGGCCTCCCTGTGTAGGTCCTTTTCTGGCCATGCCACCCTTCAGCTCTGGGTCAGCCCAACAATGTGGCATAAATGGGATCCCACAGCAAGCACCCTTCTGAGGTTGGCTTTTCTCCTTCAGCATAATTCTCTTGAGATCCTTGCAAACTCTTGTGTGTCAACAGTTCCCAACAGAGTAGGATCTGGAGGCACAGACGGAGCAGAGTGTCACCACACCCCAGCTGAAGGGAACTTTTTCCTTGTTTCCAGTTTGGAGTTATTACACATAAAGCTGCTATGGACATTCTAGAACATGTTTTTGCATGAACATTGGTTTTTCATTTCTCTTGGATAAATGCCAAAGAAATAATCGTTTTATAAAATTTAGGAGTGTTAAATGCACAGGCAATGAGATCTATCACACCGAAAAGAAATTCAGAGAACAGGGGGAACCTTTTTTCTGTCTATTCAAGGACAGGACCAGCAGGTGTGAGCCTCCAGAGAGGCTCCTGGGGAGGTGGGGGGCGGTCCTTGGCCTAGTTTCATCACTCTCAGTTGTAAGCATTCTTTTTTTTTTTAGATGGAGTCTCACTGTCGCCCAGGCTGGAGTGCAGTGGTGCAATCTCGGCTCACTGCAACCTCCACCTCCTAGGTTCAAGCGATTCTCCTGCCTCATCTTCCCTCAACTTCCCGAGTAGCTGGGATTATAGGCGTGCACCACCACGCCCAGCTAGTTTTTTGTATTTTTAATAGAGCCGGGGTTTCGCCATGTTGGCCAGGCTGGTCTCGAACTCCTGACATCAAGTGATTTGCCCACCTCGGCCTCCCAAAGTGCTAGGATTACAGGAGTGAGCCATCACACCCAGCCACAAGCATTCTTTTAGGACTTAAACAGCCCGGGCACAGTGGCTCATGCCTGTAATCCCAGCACTTTGGGAGGCTGAGGCAGGCGGATCACCAGGTCAGGAGATTGAGACCATCCTGGCCAACACGATGAAACCCCATCTCTACTAAAAATACAAAAGATTAGTCAGGTGTGGTGGCACGTGCCTGTAGTCCCAGCTACTCGGGAGGCTGAGGCAGGAGAATTGCTTGAACCTGGAAGGCGGAGGTTGCAGTGAGCAGAGATTGCACCACTGCACTACAGCCTGAACAACAGAGCGAGACTCCGTCTCAAAAAAAAAACACACACACACAAAAAAAACACTTAAAACAAGTTGAATGTATACGATCTGGTGTATTCTGACAAAGGAATGCAACTCAGCAACATACCTCAATGATTTATGCAACACGGATAAATTTCAAAACATTATGCTGAATAAAAGCAGCAAGACACACACAAAAATATGTACCGTAGGATTCTATTGATCTGAACCTTCAGGACAGGCAAAGCTAATCTAAGTTGTGAAAACACAGAAGGGTAGCCACCATCAGGGTGGGAAATGCTACAAGGGGCCAGAAAGAATCCTCCAGGATGATGGAGATTCTCTCTCGCCCCTTGTAGGACTTGTGTAACCCAGGGACCTGCATAGATGTGCCTGGGTTACACAAGTTCTACAAGGGACGAGAGATAATCCCCATCATCCTCCACTGCATCTCATCCCATGCACAGATCCCATTCTGGTACCAGGAGAATATCCCTGTTCAGTCACTTCAAATCATTCCTCTCCAATGTTCCAAATCTCCAGCAGCTGTTAATTCTGTGTTGTACCCAATATTTTAAAATGCTGACAAGTTTATTACTATTAATACAAAAAAGAGTAAAGCTCACAGGTGCTTTTTACAGTCACGTGACCCCAAAGAGCTGTCACCCAGAACATGTGTTCAGGAGTGAAGAGGATAAGGTTGGGCCCGGAGAAGCTGGCCTGTGAGGATCACCCTGAATTGGGTTATATCTGTGTTTGGGACAAAGTCAGCAAGAGCATGGTCTTAACCAGCCCCGAGGGATGCCTGGGCTGGGCCCAGCTCCCTGAGGGCCTCCTGTGTGACTTCTGCCTGAGGCTGCTTAACTCCTTCTAATATGGAATGAGAAAGGGCCCTATACCATACCGGTGGGGCTGTGGAGCCTAGCTCCCTGCTCAATTTTTTTTTTTTTTTTTAAGACAGAGTCTCATTCTGTCCCCCAGGCTGGAGTGCAGTGATGCAATCTCAGCTCACTGCAACCTCCACCTCCCAGGTTCAAGCGATTCTCCTACCTCAGCCTCCCGAGTAGCTAGGACTACAGGCACGCGCCACCACACCCGGCTAATTTTTGTATTTTTTGTAGAGACGGGGTTTCACCATGTTGGCCAGGCTGATCTCGAACTCCTGAACTCAGGCAATCCGCCCATCTCGGCCTCCCAAAGTGCTGGATTACAGGCGTGAGCCACCATGCCTGGCCCCCTGCTCAGTTTTGAAGCTCTTTCTACACATCTAGTTAAATGCCTAAAATCCCACCAACTCCACAGGTTGTTACCGGGACAGCCAAGCCCTCAGTCAACTCCCAGCACTGCCCTCAGGCTTCTAAACCAAGCACCGACCAGACAGAGAAAAACGAAGAGGGCCAGACGGACTGAGGACATGTCCGACATGGCAGGTGGAACAGCCAACAGGCCACTAGGGACAGAGCAACCTAGGCCCACCGAGGCAGAGGCCAGCAGGGAGCAGCCCCGCAGTGCTGCTCAGGCAAGCAGAGTACAGCTCGGGGACTGGTCCTTCACTACAGCAGCAGTGGCCACACCTTCGTGGCTGAGCAATACCACGAGGCTGGCTGAAAACGCAGATTCCCAGATTCTGATCAGTAGGGCTGGGACGGTTGGGGACAGACTCAACTCTGACCTAACCTGTCACCTTCACAGCTGGACTTGCAGCCACTTCAAAGTTTCGGGTTTTTAAGCAAATCATCAACAATTTCCATTCCTCACACATCAGATAAGCTTTGAAATACTTTATCGGAAAAACAGGGAGAAGAGGAGCAAGGTCTGCAGTCTTGAGTACTGAGTGGGAGCTCCACCTTCCACTACAAGTCTCCTGGAGGCTGTTCATGAACAATTACTGTTATGTTAATTTCAGGTATTTGGTTTTTTTTGTTTTTTGAGACGGAGTCTCGCTCTGTCGCCCAGGCTGGAGTGCAATGGCACGATCTCGGCTGAGACCTCTGCCTTTCTGGTTCAAGCGATTCTCCTGCCTCAGCCTCCCACATAGCTAGGATTATGATTACAGGCATGCGCCATCACGCCCAGCTAATTTTTGTATTTTTAGTACAGACGGGGTTTCACCACGTTGGCCAGCTAGTCTCGAACTCGGGACCTCAGGAGATCCACCCGCCTAGGCCTCCTCTCAAAGTGCTGGGAGGTGTGAGCTACCGCGCCCAGCCAATTGCAGGTACTTTTGTTACTTGGAACGAAACACACTCCTTCTTTTCCCTGAAAACATGTTCCAGTGGCAAGTTGAGGGAAACTTCCTAGCCCCTTTTCCAAGATACAGCCTACTACTCTTCCTAGAAAAGGGGTGTAACTCACTTTGTATTCTGGATTTCCACCCTAATTATAAAACACGGTGACACTTGAAAATAGAGTGGTTGTACGTAGAAAGTTGATAAAACGTAAGTTTTGTGAACAGGCAATGTTTTTCTGTGGCTCGCTTTGAGAGAACGGTTATCTGGGTCCCGCCGTCCCGTGCGTCCCACACGAAGGCCACAGGAGAAGCGAGGCAGCGGAGACCCTCTATTCCAGCAAGCTGTCGGAGCCTTTGCCACGACGATCCTGTTTGCGGGGCGAGAAGCGTCTGAAGACGCGGAGGGAGGCTTGCGTCTGACTTCTGCAAGTGTCTCGGGGACTTTCCCTAGTCCCACCTCGCACCGCCGGAGGAGCCCAGGGAAGACGGCGCTGGCCGACCCGCCCGGGGTCTGGGCCTCCTCCCACATCCGCGGCCCTCTCCGCGGCCGGGCTCCGACAGAGGGGGCTGCGGCGCGCCTGGCGTTCCCTCCGCTGCAACTAGAGCCGAGGTACGGGAAACGCCGCTGCGTACCCCAGCCGGGCCCTCGTGAAGCGGCTCCCGCGTGGGGCCGCCCGCAGGCCTCGGCAAAGCCCCAGCTCCGCGCTCCGCAAGGAACGCAGACGGCGGCCCGGGCCCCTCTGTTCCCCGGGCCCCCTCAGCAGCGGCCACCCCGCGGGGGAACCAGCGCCCAGGAGGGCGGCGAGGGCGCCGCGGCAGCCCCAGCGGTGGTCCCGGGCGCCGCCTCCGCCCCGGACCCAGCGCCAGGAGCCACAGACTCCGCGCACCGCCCCCAGGCTCCTCCGCGCCCTGCAGCACAAAAGTGCACGCCGCCGTAGACGCCCTAGCGGTCCGCCGGGCCCGCTCACCTGACCCGCGAGGCCGCCCGCCGGGTCCTCTGCTCAGCCACCGCCACCGCCGCTGCCGCCAGCTTCCCGCCGCTGAGGAAGGAGCGCCCGACGGCGCGGGGCGGGGCGAGCGACCGCCACTCGGCGTCCACAAAGGGTCGACGCTGCGCTCTCCGCGCGCTACGCCCGCTGATTGGCCACTCGCGGGCCGGGGGCGGGGCCTCTTGTTCAAACCCACGCGGGCGGGGCATCTGTGGCGCGTCTTCCCGCGCTGCGGCGACGGCCGTTGGGGCTCGCGCGCGCCCTCGGTTGCCCCGCCCCCGCCCCTGCGCCCGGCCCCGCCACGCCCACGCCCCGCCGGCTCCCAGGTCTCCCCGCGCCCAGTCCGGCCCCGCCCCGCCAGCTCCCAGGTCTCCGCGCGTCTGGCCCTGAACTGAACGCGCCTGCGCCTGGGGCCCACGTGGGGCCCTCGGGCGGGCGTGGCGGGGCAAACAGAGGTTTGGACTCTCTCGCTTCTGCCTGGCTCAACTTCTCCGCCGAGGCATCCGTGCCGGGGTCGGGAGGAGCCGGGCACGGCAATTCCCGGGCGGTCTGGGCTCCGAGGTCTATCCAAGCCTCTCCAGAGACCGGGGTTATCTCCAAAGGCTTCCTAGGTTTACACGTAAGAAATGTAACGTGAAAGTTCAAAGCAGGGGACACGTGTTTTAAATCTCTTAGTGGAAAAGGTTTTAAATAGGATGCGAGAACCTGCAATCATTGACTTAAGTAATACCCTGAGCGCCTGCAGCAGGCCCGGCAGGCGTGGCTGCAGCTGAGAGCCAAGTGCTGGAAGTTGGGGGGGAATCCTCAGATCAATCCGCAGGTGCGGATGCGCCAAGGTCGGTGGTAAATGCTGAAATGCTGTCGGGAAACCTGGGAGTGACGTGGGGGCGCTGCTCACATAGGTCTCTAGGATAAGGAGCGTCTTAAAGCACCAAAAGGAAGAGTGGACGAGAATTCAGGAGAGGAATGGCTGGGGCAAAGCCCGAGGCAGGGGCAGGAGGCAGGAGCACGTCTCAGTGCAGTGAGAAAGAACCCTGTGATCTCGTGGGAAAGTTTTAAGTGTGAGGGGTGGAGGGACTTTTGGGCTATTCTGGGAGTGGGATGGAGACTACTGGCATGGTCAGCAGAGAAGGAACTGGAATCTGAATTGTGCTTGAAAAGAATCACTGTTCTTATTTAAAAAAAAAAAAAAGGGGGTCTCTTTCGCCCAGGCTGGACAACAGTGGCGTGATTATGGCTCACTGTATCCTCGAACTCTTGTGCTCGAGTGATTCTCACGCCTCAGCCTCCCAAGTAGCTGGGACTACAGAAGTGTGCCACTACACCAAGCTAACTTTTTTTTTTTTTTTGGTAATTTTGTAGAGACAGGGTATTGTCTTGTTACACAGGCTGGTCTCCAACTCCTGGCCTTAAGTGATCCTCCTACCTTGGCCTCCCAAAGTTCTGGGATTACAGGCATGAGGCACCACAACCACCAAGAATCACTGTTGGTAATAGATTTGGAGGAGGTGGCAGGAAGGCTGGAAGTAGAAAATCCCATTAGGTTACTGCCCAGGTAAAAGAAAATGGGACTTGATAAAGGTGACTACCTGAGAATTTAAAGTTTATGCATGTCAAAGTGAAAAGACAAATGGGGAAAAAAGTTTTTCCTGGCTGTATCCCACATAAAGGTTAAATTCCTTAATATACAGATATTCTGCAAATGCAAATGAAATCTAGATCACCAAAGAAAAGTGGTTTGGAAATAGTGGCACCCACCTGTAATCCCAGCTACTCAGGAGGCTGGGGTGAGAGAATCCCTTGAGCCCAGGAGTTGGAGGCTGCAGTGAACTATGATTGCACCACTGCACTCCAGCCTGGGCAGCAGAGTGAGACCCCATCTCTTAAAAAAAGAAAAGAAAAGTGGGCGTAGAATATAAACACAGTTCAGAGCAAAGAAAATACAAATGCTCCTATACAGGCGAATAGATGCTCAGCCCCAATCAGAACAAGAGCAGTGGAAATTAAAGCTATGCTGGAGTGCTGTTTGCCACGGGTCAAATTGGCAAAGATCTAAAATAATGTCTGGAGTAAGATAATATCTTCCAGAGCATATTAGTCTATTCTCATGCTGCTAATAAAGACATACCCGAGACTGGGTAATTTATAAAGAAAAAGAGGTTTAATGGACTCGCAATCATGGCAGGAGACAAAGGAAAAGCGAAGGGACGTCTTACACGGCGGCAGGCAAGAGAGCGTGTGCAGGGAGCTCCCCTTTATAAAACCGTCAGATCTCAGGAAATGTATTCACTATCCGGAGAACAGAACAGGAAAGCCTGCCCCATGATTCAGTTACCTCCTGCCGGGTCCCTCCCACGACATGGGAATTATAGGAGCTACAATTCAAGATGAGATTTGGTGTGATATTTTGACATGTATATACAAAGTATAATGATCCATCAAGGTAGTTAGCATATCCATCACCTCAAACATCATTTCTTTTGTGTTGGGAACATTCAAAATCCTCTCCTCTACCTATTAGAAAATATGCAGTAAGTTACTGTTAACTGTAGTCATAAAATATTAACAGGCTTGCTAGGACATAGGACCAGAAAAAACATAGAAGTCTATGGTTACACCAAGATTGGAGTCATATTTTTCAGTAACTAATGTATTCAGGAAAATTGATGACAAGGAGAACTAGAATCCGTTAAAAAAAAGACTCAAATTGAAGAAAGAGCATCAGTCTTACACAGAGTCTTCCAAATGATAAAGGGGAACTCTTCTTACCAATTTGTTCTACAGGGCTAACAAATTTGATACTAAAACTCGAAAGGGACATGATGGGAGAAAACACACATGGTATTCTCTCTCATGAACATTGTTTAAAATTCCAAACCACATATTAGCAAATCAGATCCAATGATAATGTAAAAAAGGTAACTCATCACAACCAAGTTGGGTGTACTCCAGGAACTGGAGTACAGTTGATTTCACATTGCAAGGTCAACATGATTCATGACAATAGAATGAAGGAGAAAAAAAGTATGAAAATCTCAGTGTAGAAGCATCTAGTAAAATTCAACACCCCTTCATGGTATAATCTTTAGCAAACTAAATATACAAGTACAAAGTTAGGGACAGCCCCAAGACCACCCTCAAGTTTGAAATTCATTAGAAGGACTCAGAGAATTCCCTAGAAGCTATTGTACTCGTGGTTATGGTTCATTACCATGAAAAGGCTCATTAAAATTAACCAAGAGAAGAGGTGCATGGGGCAGCGGCCAGGAGAGGCCATGCGGAGACTCCAGTTGTTCTCTTAGTGGAGTCATAGTGGTATTGCTGGTGAAAATGTGTCACTGGGCCTGAGTCCAGAGTTCATTTACTTCCCAAATGAATATATACATTTATTCTATTGCCAGGCAAAATCCCAGGATATTTTTGAAACCTCACAAAATGCTATTAAAAATCTAGAGAAATGGCCGGGCACAGTGGCTCATGCCTGTAATCCCAGCACTTTGGGAGGCTGAGGTGGGCGGGTTACCTGAGTTCAGGAGTTCGAGACCAGCCTGGCCAACATGGTGAAACCCCGTCTCTACTAAAAATACAAAAATTAGCCAGGCGTGGTGGCATGTACCCGTAATCCCGCTACTCGGGAGGCTGAGGCAGGAGAATTGCTGGAACACAGGAGGCGGAGGTTGCAGTGAGCTGAGATTGCACCACTGCATTCCAGCCTGGGCGACAGAGTGAGACTCTGTCTCAAAAAATAAATAAATAAACATAAAAAATAAAATAAAAATCTAGAGAAATACATGTGGAAGGCTACCCTATAGATAAAGTAAGAAAAAAGAAAAGTATTAAGGAGGACACCCACCTCTATATCAGTTACCTTTTGCTGTGTGACACACTTTCCCAAACTTAGTAGATTCAAAAGGCAGCCTTTTGTTTGCTGGCATTTCTGCGGTTGGCATTTCGGCTGGGGTCACAGCATCCTGTGTCTCATGAGGCATCAGCTGAGCTCACTCAAGTGTTTGGGTCTTGGCAGAGATGACTGACTCATCTCTGCTCTGTCATCCTCCGGAAGGCCAGCCCAGGCAGGCACCAATACAGGGGCTCTTTTTATACTTCCCTCTGCTCTGCTCATATGTGCCAATGTCCAGGTGGCCAAACCACATGTGGCCAAGCCTAGGGCCAGTGTGGACACGAGAAGACAATTCCCTGGAGGACATTATTATTGTTACTATTATTTTGAGACAGAATCTCACTCTGTCGCCCAGGCTGGAGTGCAATGGTGTGATGCTCTCAACTCACTGCAACCTCTGCCTCCTGAGTTCAAGCGATTCTCCTGCCTCAGCCTCCCTAGTAGCTGGGATTACAGGCGCCCACCACCATACCTGGCTAATTTTTGTATTTTTAGTAGAGACAAGGTTTCACCATGTTGGCGAGGCTGGTCTCGAACTCCTGACGTCAAGTGATCTGCCCGCCTTAGCCTCCCAAAGTGCTGGGATTACAGGCTTGAGCCACTGCACCCAGCCTATTATCGTTATTGTTTTGAGACAAGGTCTTGCTCTGTGGCCCAGGCTGAAGTGCAGTGGTGCTCACTGCAGCCTTGACCTCCCCCAGCTGAAGTGATTCTCTCGCCTCAGCCTCCCAAGTAGCTTGGGCTACTGGCACACACCACCACACCTAACCAAACATTACTGTAGTCTACTAATTCTTACCACATACTTGAACATACTGTAAGTAAACTTAAATATATACTTAGTAATGACAGATATTGGTGTATACTGTAGTAAAATTAAACAAATATATACAGATGCTTCTCCACTTAGGATGAAATTATGTCTCAAAAACCCTATTGTAATTTGAAAATATCAAAAATAAGTTGAGAATGCATTTAATACATCTAACCTACCAAACATGCCTTAAGCCTAGCCCATCTTACACATCTCAAAACACTTAGCTTAATCTACAGTTGAGTAAAACCATCTTAACTCAAAGCCTATTTTATAATAAAATACTGACTATGTCATGGAATTTACTGAATACTTTCACTTTTTTCACCATCACTGAAAGTGAAAAACAGAATGGCCGGCTGGGTACTTGGAAGTACGGTTCCTACTGAATGCGTATTGCTTTTGCACCACTGTAAAGTCAAAAAATCGTTAAGTCAAGCAATCATAAGTCAGAGACCATCTGTATCTACAAGAATCCACAGGAAATACTAAAATGAATAGCGAAATGGTGAAAATGGTAAAGCTTTCTCCTATTACTTCCTCATCTCCTGACTCATCTCCGCTCTGACTAATTTCTACCCAACGTTGTACTCTAGGACCTAGCTATTGTAAGAAGGCAAGAAAAAGAAAGAAAAGGTATGAAGATTTGAAAATGAACTAAAATTATCATTAATTTCAGAAAGTTGGAATTTGAACGTAGAAAATCCAAAGGATGCTGGGCGCGGTGGCTCACACCTCTGATCCCAGCACTTTGAGAGACCAAGGCAGGAGGCTCACTTGAGGCCAGGGGTTTGACACCAGACCAGGCAACATAGTGAGACCTTGTCTCTACAAAAAAATTTTAAAAATTAGCCACATGAGCCGGGCGCAGTGGCTCACGGCTGTTATCCCAGCACTTTGGGAGGCCAAGGCAAGCGGATCATGAGGTCAGGAATTCAAGACCAGCCTGGCCAATATGGTGAAACCCCATATCTACTAAAAATACAAAAATTAGCCGGGTGTGGTGGCACGCAACTGTAGTCCCAGCTACTTGGGAGGCTAAGGCAGAAGAATCGCTTGAAACAAGGAGGTGGAGGTTGCAGTGAGTGGAGATTGTGCCACTGCACTCTAGCCTGGGTGACAGAGCAAGACTCTGTCTCAAAAAAAGAAAAATAAAATAAAAATAATAAAATTAGTCAGGTGTAGTGATGCACACCTGTAGTCCCAGTTACTCAGGAGGCTGAAGCAAGAAGATTGCTTAAGCCTGGGAAGTTGAGACTAGAGTGAGCCATGATTGTACCACTGTCACTCTGGGTGACAGAGCAAGACTGTCAAGAAAGAGTCTCAGAAGAGAGAAAGGAAGGGAGGGAGGAAGGAGGAAGGGAGGCAGGGAGGGATGGAGGAAGGAAGGAGAGAAGGAAGGAGGAAGAAAGGAAGGGAGGGAGGGAATCCCCAGATAAATTGTTCAAATTAATAAAAAGTTAATGTGTAAACAAATTGTATACTAACCTAAGAGGATGGATGGGTTTGTAATAAGCAGCTGAGTCTCAGCCAATCATAGCAGCTGAATGTCCACCAGTCAGAGGCTGAAGGCTGCCAAAACATGACCAAACAAGGCAAACACCAAATGTAACCAATCAGGTTATTTCTGTATGTCATTTCCTCTTCTCTGGCTATAAATATAGCTTGCAGAAATTGCTGGGTGATGCATTCTAAACCATTTTCAGTCTGGACTGTTTCCCAGGTACACGAATGTTTTCTCTGCTTACTTAAACTCAGTTATATTTAACTTGTCTTGGATTTTTATTTTTTAATATAGCCAATACAGGAAAATCAATTCTATTTGTATATATAAGAAACCATTGGCCGGGCGTGGTGGCTCATGCCTGTAATCCCAGCACTTTGCGAGTCTGAGGCAGGCGGATCATGAGGTCAGGAGTTCCAGACCAGACTGGCCAACATGGTGAAATCCCGTCTTTACTAAAAATACAAAAAATCAGGTGGGCATGGTGTTGGGAGCTTGTAATCCCAGCTACTTGGGAGGCTGAGGCAGGAAAATCGCTTAAACCCAGGAGGCAGAGGTTGCAGTGAGCCAAGACCACGCCATTGCACTCCAGCCTGGGCGACAGTGTGAGACTCCATCCCAAAAAAAAAAAAAAAGCCAGAAACCATTATAAAATACTTTTTTAATGATGTCATTTGCAAACCACTGAAAACATCAGCACTAGGGATAAATCTAACATTGAATATGTAAGACCTCTACACAGAAAACTACACAACATTGCCAAGAGAAATCTAAATAAATGGAGGAATAAACCAGGCATATGGATTGGAAGACTTACTCTTGTAAAGATATCAGAGACCTCGAAATTTATCTTCAGATTCAAAGCAATCTCAGTCAAAATACCAACCTTTTATGGGAATTGACAAACTGATTCTCACATTTTTATGGCAATACAAAGTGCCAAAAAGAGCCAAAACAACCTTGAAGAACAAGAAAGTGGTGAGCTGGACAATCACTTTGGAGATGTATGGCAGGATCTGCCAGACCTGAGCACACACCGAGCCTATGACTTAGCACTGCTTGTCAGGATGTGTCCCGTAGAAAGGCATGCATATGTTCACAAAAAGATTTATACAATAAAATTTATAGCAGGGTTACTCATAGTAGCCTGGTGAAAGTTGTCCGATTCAAAACGGGATCACTTGTGACAATCCCCTGGCTACATGGAGCTGGGGAAGGGCATGAAGGGAAGTCTCCCGTGTATGATGTGCGCGATTATAAGAACTATCATGAGATGTTTCCAAACCACAGGTCACTACACAAGTCACACAAGGACAGCTAGCTGCTTATACAAGAACACTTGCCTGACACGTGGCCTCACAAGCCCAATCCAAAACTGCGGGAGCCTAGCCAACTCCCAGACTACACGTCCTACCTAGCAACTACCAACACTTGCCAGTCAGAACTCACCAGCTCAGAGCCAGGCACAGTGGCTCATGCCAGTAATCCCAGCATCCTGAGAGGCTGAAGTGGGAGGATCACTTGAGGCCAGGAGTTCGAGACCAGCCTGGACAACATAGTGAGACCCTGTCTCTATAAAAAAGAATTTAATTTTAAAACTATGAAAAATAAAAACTCACCAGCTCTTATAAGACACTTCCAGCTCCAATATACTTTCTTTCAAAATAACCTGTGTAGCCTACGCTTTCCCTAATAAAACCCTAACCTTTTCCCTTCATTCTTTGGACATACCAGAGACCACCATGGTCTGTCTATATGTCCCAGATTGCAGTCCTACTTCTTACACCCAAATACAACCTTTTATTTAAACTTAGAGATTCAACTCTCTGTTTTTTTTTTTTAACTTCTATTTTTGGGGGGACAGAGGCTCGCTATGTCGCCCATGGTGGAGTGCAATGGTGCGATCTCGGCTCATTGCAACTTCCACCTCCTGGGTTCAAGCAGTTCTTCTGCCTCAGCCTCCTGAGTAGCTGGTGTTACAGGCGTGCGCCACCACACCCAGCTAATTTTTTGTATTTTTAGTAGAGATGGGGTTTCACCATGTTGTCCAGGCTGGTCTCGAATTCCTGACCTTGTGATCCACCCACCTCAGCCTCCCAAAGAGTGCTGGGATTACAGGCGCGAGCCATTCCACCCAGTGAAAGCTCCAACCTGAAAACAACCCAAATGTCCCCAAGAGAATGGACACTGGAGGTGGGTATGTTCAACAGTGGCACACTTGTGAGATGAGACGAGCAAACATTGCTGCACACAAACAAATGGATGGGTCCCACAAGCATAACGTTTCGGGAGAGAAGCCAAACTCAGGAGTAATGGCTGCTTCCACAGATGGAAAGCTCAGATGAGGCAGAGGGCACCGTGCCAGAGAATGGCCCTCAGGCAGCACGGCAGTCTCCCAGGACCTGGAGACCATCACTGTCTTGATCTGAATGGTGGTGTTGAATCTGTTTTGTGTGCTCCCTTTCAGGGCATTCTGTGTTTTGACTTCAATAAATAAGTACATTAAGCCAGGCGGGGTGGCTCACACCTGTAATCCCAGCACTTCAGGAGGTCGAGGTTTGTGGATCACGAGGTCAAGAGATCGAGACCATCCTGGCCAACATGGTAAAACCCTGTTTGTACCAAAAATACAAAAATTACCCGGGCATGGTGGCACATGTCTGTAATCCCAGCTACTTGGGAGGCTGAGGCAGGAGAATCGCTTGAACCTGGGAGGTGGAGGTTGCAGTAAGCTGAGATAGGGCCAGTGCAATCCAGCCTGGCGACAGACAGACACTCCATCTCAAAAAAAAAAAAAAAAAAAAAAAGTACATTAAGTACTATGTATCGTACAATGTATCTATGGCTGGATCCCCAGGGGCTATCTCTGGGTGGTGCCCTGGTGGCTGGGGCTCAGGCCAGGCTAGAAGGTTCCATGTCCGTCTTTTTGTTCCTTTGGAATTACCTCCCATGCATATGTATTACCTAGTCAAGGAAAAAAGGCTTCTGTTTAATTAAAAAAAAATGCATTCAGCTTTTCAGCCTCGCAGCTGAGCCCCTTCACTTGGGAGCAGCCTGGGTGCATTTGTGCACAGTTCAGATTCCAGGCAGGACGCTGCTATGGCCCTACCCACCCCCTCATCACTCATCCTGACTCCTGGGGCCAACCCTGGGGCTGTGGGCTGTTGGGTCTGTGGTAGGGTGGAGACCTTAGGCCCATATGTACCAGGAAGTCCCCAGAGAGCCAGTGAGGAGATGCTCAGGACACTCCTGTCAAGGCAGGCCCTCAGCCTGTGACTAAGCCTCCCAGCCATCTTTTTCTTTTCCTTTATGTTGTTTAATATTTTTGTCACAAAGAGCCATGGTCACTGGCAGAGCTGTCACTATTTAAATGGTAGAAAATGCCCCTTTTGGGGCTGGGCATGGTGGCTCATGCCTGTAATCCTGACATTTTGGGAGGCCAAGGTGGGAGGATCACTTGAGTTCAGGAGTTTGAGACCAGCCTGGGTAACATAGCGAGACCCCGTCTACAAAAAATCAAGAAATTAGCCGGGCGTGGTGTATTGGTTTGCTTTCACACTGCTATAAAGTACTGCCCGAGACTGGGTCATTTATAAAGGAAAGAGATTTAATTGGCTCACAGTTCAACATGGCTGGGGAGGCCTCAGGAAACTTATAATCATGGAGGCCATCAAAGGGGAAGCAAGACACCTTCATAAGGTGGCAGAAAGAAGTGCCGAGCAAAGGGGGAAGAGCCCTTTGCAAACCATCAGATCTCTTGAGAACAAATGCACTACGTGAGAGCAGCATGGGGGCACCGCCACCCCCATGACTCAGTTACCTCCACTTGGTCTCTCCCTTGACACGTGGGGATTATGGGGAGTACAATTCAAGATGAGATTTCGTTGTGGACACAAAGCCTAACTATATCACATGGTGTCGCCTGCCTGTGGTTCCAGCTACTCAAGCTGAAGTGGGAGGATCGCTGGAGCCCAGAAGGTCGAGGCTGCAGTTAAGCTGAGATAGTGCCACTGCACTCCAGTCTGGGTAACAGAGCCAACAGATTGGCTGCAATAACAGAAACTGAAAGGAAAATAAATCTCAGGACCCCAAAATCACTAAGCCAACGGGAAAAGTCAAGCTGGGAACTCCATCAGCAAACCTGCCTCCCATCCTATTCCTAAATAAAATAGCTACAAACATAAAAAAGCTATGTCCTTCCCTCAAAATTTGTCCACAGAAAATTCCTTGTGGACAAAAGACACGCAGAACTCAAGAGTCCTCCCTCTGCTCCGGTGAGACAAACGCACAGCTGATGGCTTCTTTGCCCTATTGTTTCACTAAGCTGGACTAAGGCGTAAGTGACTATTCCTATAAATTGTGTATTCAATTAAAGGCTAATCAGAAACTCAAAAGAATGCAAACTTTTGTCTCTTATTTACCTATCACCTAGAAGCCCCCTTCCCGATTTGAATTGTCCCACCTTTCCAGACCATTGAAACGATTCTCCTGCCTCAGTCTTCTGAGTAGCCGGGACTACAGGCACCCACCACCATGTTCGGGTAATTTTTGTATTTTCAGTAGAAATGGGGTTTCACCATGTTGGCCAGGCTGGTCTGGAACTCCTGACCTCAGGTGATCCACCTGCCTCAGCCTCCCAAAGTGTTGGGATTACAGGTATGAGCCATGCACCCAGCCTCAGATACGTTTTGGTTTACCAATTTGGTAACCAACAGAAAGGACTCTGAGGCCGGGCGCGGTGGGTCACGCCTGTAATCCCAGCACTTTGGGAGGCCGAGACGGGCGGATCACGAGGTCAGGGGATCGAGACCATCCTGGCTAACACAGTGAAATCCCGTCTCTATTAAAAATACAAAAAAATAAGCCGGGCGTGGTGGCGGGCGCCTGTTGTCCCAGCTACTCGGGAGGCTGAGGCAGGAGAATGGCGTGAACCTGGGAGGTGGCGCTTGCAGTGAGCCAAGATTGCGCCACTGCACTCCAGCCTGGGCGACAGAGCGAGACTCTGTCTCACAAAAAAAAAAAAAAAAAAAAAGACTCTGAGTGGAGGTGACCCTGACCTTCAACAAATCTATCAGTGATTGGTACCAGCTTGAGCTTTCTTTACGGCTCAAACCAATAGGACAATTTGCTGAAGACTGGGAGCTTCCCTCCCTCCAGAGAATCCCAGATCTCCCAAAATTTGGTTGAGATCTACAGTTTATTTTTCTGTGCAACTGTCAGAGGCGTGTGAACCAGAGCAACTCCACCTTGAATAGGGGCTGGGTAAAATGAGGCTGAAACCTACTGGGCTGCATTCCCAGACGGTTAAGGCATTCTAAGTCACAGAATGAGACTAGGAAGTTGGCACAAGATACAGGTCATAAAGACCTTGCTGATTTAAAAACAGGTTGCAGTCAAGAAGCCAGCTAAAACCCACCAAAACCAAGATGACCACAAGAGTGACCTCTGGTCATCCTCACTGCTACACTCCCACCAGCACCATGAGAGTTTACAAATGTCATGGTAACGTCAGGAAGTTACCCTATATGGTCTAAAAAGGGGAGGCATGAATAATACACTCTTGTTTAGCATATCATCAAAAAGTAACCATAAAAACGGGCCATCAGCAGCCCTCAGGCCTGCTCTGTCTACGGAGTAGCCATGCTTTTATTCCTTTACTTTCCTAACAACATTTATTTCCCTTTATGTACTCGCCCTGATTCTTTCTTGTGCGAGATCTAAGAACCCTCTCTTGGGGTCTTGATCGGGACCCCTTTCTTGTAACACAACTCCTTTTTTTGGAGTTTTACTTGCTTCCAACAAGGAAGGCAAGTTTTCCTGCTTCCATGACGGTGGAAGGCAGATAACTCCTTTCCGGAGTTCGAGCCTGCTTTCAACAGGGAAGGCAAATTTGAGTTTTCCCCTGCTTCTAGAATGGAAGATGGCAGTCTTCAGCCTGAGACCCATTCCTAGGTAAGTAGCTTAATTGGGTTTTCGTCTTGGCTAAAGTTATGATTAACAACCAGCTGGTCTCAGTTTCTCTTTACCATTAGAGTGCTCAGTAATCATATTGTTGGGATCTTTTTTAAAAAAATGTTTTCCGGTCTTTCTCCCATTAGATTTGACCCACTCTACCTGCCTTGGTCAAATCCGAATGAGAATTCCAAATTATGGGGAACAAGGACTTTCTGAATTACCTAAAATTCCTCACAGATGCAAAAGAGAAAACCAAAACAAAACCATACTCTCGGTTTCCGCGTTCGCTCCCCGTCGCGCTCTCGGTTTCCGCGTTCGCTCCCCGTCAGGCTCTCGGTTTCCGCGTTCGCTCCCCGTCAGGCTCTCGGTTTCCGCGTTCGCTCCCCGTCAGGCTCTCGGTTTCCGCGTTCGCTCCCGGTCGCGCTCTCGGTTTCCGCGTTCGCTCCCCGTCGCGCTCTCGGTTTCCGCGTTCGCTCCCGGTCGCGCTCTCGGTTTCCATGTTTGCTTCCTGTCTTACTTTTCTTCCACCCTGTTCCTCCTTCCCCTTCACCAACTTCAGTACCAAGAAAAAAATCTAGAGGTGTCTAATGACTCAAATCCTGTAAAGAACTCAGAACAATGGCACCACTCACCCCTTTTGGGGTGTTCTGTTTTCTTGGTGGCGTTTCAAGAGTCATGGACAGGTCCTTCTGGGTCTAAGGCTCTGGCTCCTGCTACATTACCTGTATTCTTTGGCTTTGTGGGGGTACCAGAGATGACCTTGCGCTATGAGAGGATTTGAGCTTGGCGTTTATAATCATGGTGGGCGAGAGCTACAAAGTTAGGGGTGGCTGAGGACAGTTTATAGGAAGTGGTCTTGGCTGGGATTTTTTCCCCCTGGGAAGTTGTTGTTTAGGATCCTAATTCTAGTTCGGAGGTGCATTTTAAAGGGTCTTCTCCATTGCCTTGTATGCACATTTGCATGAGGAACTCAACTGTTGTTTTCATAGGTAAATGAGAGATTGAGTTTCCTCAGCTCCAAAAAGAAAGGACATTTTGCTTTTCCCAGTGGAAAGGTGCTCCTGGGTGAATGGGGGCCAAGCAGGAGTGTCCGGGGGGTTGACCCGCTGCGATGTGCGACGGTCCTACAGGAAACCCCCAACAAAATTAGTTTAAAAGGTTGTCCAGGAAGCGCATGTAAGAGTGGCTCACTCCGCACTTTGAGCCCTTCTGGAGGTACTTAGACGTCCTGAGAGAGAAATTGAGACACTTAGACCTCCGGAGAGAGAAATTGAGACACGTGAGAGGGCAGCAATGACTCGTGGTGACACTGTGAAGTCCCACCCGCAACCAGCACAGTTTGACCCATGACACTTGCTAGGCCACAGGTCACTTCCTCCTTTTGAGAAAAAAATGTGGGAAACAAATCATCTAAGAATGAGGAAAGCCAAGGAAAGCAACGCCTCTTGGGCCCCCGTTTGGTTTTATGATGCCTCTGTTTGCAAGTGTTTGTATAAAATGGAAATATGGTCTTTCTGTGCACAATTACGTCAAGGAAAATGCAGCGCCTGAGGGTCGGCCTGCAACTGTCAAGTTCCTAAGTGGGTTTTTTTTGTTTTTTCTTTTGTTTTGAGACAGTCTCGCTCTGTCACCCAGGCTGTTGTGCTATGGCACCATCTCGGCTCACCGCAACCTCCACCTGTTGGTTTCAAGTGATTCTCCTACCTTAGCCTCCTGAGTAGCTGGGATTACAGGCACCCGCCACCATGCCCAGGCTAATTTTTGTATTTTTTAGTAGAAACGGAGTTTCACCATGTTGGCAAAGCTGGTCTTGAACTCCTGACTTCAGGTCATATGCCTGCCTTGGCCTCCCAAAGTACTGGGATTACAGGCGTGAGCCGCCACAGCCGGCCAAAGTTCCTAAGTTCTCTATCTCTCTGCTGTGTTTTCCCTGCTTTAAGTCTGCTGTTACTTTTCTACTGAGATAAAATCCACTGTTTGCATCCAACCATTTCTTTTTGTTATTGTTTCCGCAAACCAATGAGTTTGTATTAATATCGCATGGCTAGAGTTCTAAAGTAAAAGCTATAGGATTTTTGAGTGTGTATGTGTGTGTTTATGTGTATATACCTGTATTTTGTTATGTGTTTTTGGCCACAGGTACCAAATTGGCTTAAAGTTATAGAGTACTCATAAATAATAACCGAAATGCTTTTCAAGTTCATGTGACTTAAGTAAAATCTTTAATAAGCTAGCTTTAAAATTTTGGTAAGGTGATATTAGAACAGTCTTATGAATTGTCGGCATACTTTTTTTTTTTTTTTTTGAGATGGAGTTTTGCTCTTGTTGCCCAGGCTGGAGTGCAGTGGCGCAATCTTGGCTCACGGCAACCTCCGCCTCCCGGGTTCACCCAATTCTCCTGCCTCAGCCTCCCAAGTAGCTGGGATTACAGGCATGCGCCACCACACCCAGCTAATTTTGTATTTTTAGTAGAGACAGGGTTTCTCCATGTTGGTCAGGCTGGGGTCTCAAACTCCCAACCTCAGGTGATCTGCCTGCCTTGACCTCCCAAAGTGCTGGGATTACAGGTGTGAGTCACTGTGCCCAGCCAGCATACATTTCTATTTGCATTTATTGATCAAGAGATTTCATTCTTATCCCTGCCAAATAATAAATGGTGCCAACATTTGGCATAAAGCTCATTAAACTATAAACCCAGCCCAACACAGAATGATCTTGGCTTGGGTAAGTTTTCCTGCTTGTGTAATTTTTGATAAATAAGACGTTAATACTGTTTTAATGAAAACAGTTAAATATTGAATTATTTAGTAAAATAACCATATATTTAATCTTAAGGTTTCTACTCACCTAAATATCTGAAATTCACAGGCTATAAAATGGTTGACAGGGAAATAACTTTACATGATGACTCACAGTTTTCATAAATAATGCAGGTAAACTATTAATATAAAATAATTAGGTGTATGTAATGGGATACATACTTGTAGACAAATGCCATAATTTAGAACCTAAAGTTTAATATTAAGTTAAATAGCAGATATTTCCTTAAATAGGTATTTTTCAATTAAAAAAACTAAGAAAACATTCTTTCTAAAAAATGTGTGTTCTTGTTAAAAGATGAATAATTTTTGTCTAATTTATTTATTGTTATTTTTATGATTATATATATTTTTTGAGACTGAGTCTCTCTATTGCCCAGGTGGAGTGCAGTGGGTGGCACGATCTCAGCTCACTGCAACCTCCACCTCCCGGGTTCAAGTGATTCTCCTGCCTTTTTTTTTTTTTTTGAGACGGAATCTCACTGTGTTGCCCAGGCTAGAGTGCAGTGGTGTGATCTTGGCTCACTACAACCTCTGCCTCTTGGGTTCAAGCGATTCTCCTGCCTCAGCCTCCTGAGTAGCTGGGATTACAGGCACCCGCCATCATGCCCAGCTAAGTTTTGTATTTTTGTAGAGACAGGGTTTCACCATTTTGGCCAGGCTGGTCTTGAACTCCTGACCTCAGGTGATCCACCCACCTCAGCCTCCCAAAGTGCTGGGATTACAGGCATGAGTCACCGCACCCAGCCAATTTTTGTGTAATTTAAAGCTTATTTAAAGATTATGTATAAAACAAGGTAAAGGGAACCAGGAAATAAAAGAGATGTAAAGAAAGTTATAAAAGGCCATGGCCAGGAGCGGTGGCTTATGCCTGTTATCCCAGCACTTTGGGAGGCTGAAGTGGGCAGATAACCTGAGGTCAGGAGTTTGAGACCAGCCTGGCCAACATGGTGAAAACCTGTCTCTACAAATATACAAAAATTAGCTAGGCATGATGGCGGGTGCCTGTAATCACAGCTACTCGGGAGGCTGAGGCAGGAGAACTGCTTGAACCCGGGAGGCAGAGGTTGCAGTGAGCTGAGATCGTGCCACTGCCCTCCAGCAGCTTGGGCAATAGAGTGAGACTCCATCTCAAAAAAAAAAAAAAAAAAAAAAGGCTGGGCACGGTGGCTCATACCTGTAATCCAGCACTTTGAGAGGCTGAGGTGGGCATTATCACCTGAGGTCAGGAGTTTGAGACCAGCCTGACCAACATGGTGAAACTCCGTTTCTACTAAAAATACAAAATTAGCCAGGCGTGGTGGCACATGCCTGTAATCCTAGCTATTTGGGATGCTGAGGCAGGAGAATTGCTTGAACCTGGGAGACAGGTTGCAGTGAGCTGAGATCGCACCATTGCACTCCAGCCTAGGCAACAAGGAGCAAAATTACGTCTCAAAAAAAAAAAGAAAAGAAAAAAGAAAGAAAAATAAAGAGGCATTTTTAGTATTAAAAAAAAAGTTGGCTCGGTGCAGTGGCTTATGCCTGTAATCCTTTTTAGCACTTTGGGAGGCCGAGGCAGGTGGATCACCTGAGGTCAAGAGTTCAAGACCAGCCTGGCCAACATGGTGAAATGCCGTCTCTACAAAAATATAAAAATTAGCCAGGCACAATGGCACATGCCTGTAATCCCAGCTACTCAGGAGGCTGAGGCAGGAGAATTGCTTGAACCCAGGAGGCAGAGGTTGCAATGAGTCGAGATCATGCCACTGCACTCCAGCCTGTGTGACAGAGCAAGACTCTGTCTCAAAAAAAAAAAAATGCTTAGAGAAAAATAATTTTATATGAGAAAGAATCTTGTTTGGTGAATTTTTGTCCTAGAATAAAATGACTGGTTGTTCATGAAAGAGGGATGTTCAGGACAAACCAGAAAGTCCAAACGTCATGAATGGTCTGTGTAAATCATAAGAAGAGGATTTATGGAAAAAACTTTTATAGTTGTCATAATTAAAGGGAAATTGTTTATAATGGTCTTTCTAGAGATTAGGTTTTGATATTTAAAAACTTCCTAAAAAGTTGGTTTGAACAATGAAATTTTCCTAAGGTATTGCTTTACTCTTAATAAAGTTACACAACATTATTATTTTTGTATGCAAAGTTCAACTTCATTGCACCTCTCTGTTTTCCGCTTTCTCTCCCCTTTTAATAGGCCTGAAAGAATAACTCTGTCCTTCAACTAGTGTTTAACTCTTGTAAGTTTTTTATTCTTCAGCTTCTGTTTATTGTGACCTGATGCTAGAAAATGTTTTGTTTTAGAGTTCTAAAGGACGCGTTTCCTTCCAACATAACGTTCTGTGCTCTTGCTTTAAATTGTTCTATGGATCCAAAAATTTTCGCTTATGACCCAGGAAACACTCTTCCTATTGTGGAATGAGACCACCACTTCTCCTGTTGTCCTTCCCAGCTTCTCCCCCACCTCCCCTTTTCCCTAGTTTATAAGACAAGAGAAAAGGGAGAAAGCAAAAAGTTGGAAAGAAACAGAAGTAAGATAAATAGCTAGATGACCTTGGCGCCACCACCTGGCCCTCGTGGTTAAAATAATAATAATAATAATAATAATAATAATAATAATAATAATAATAATGTTAACCCCTGACCAAAACTACTGGTGTTATCTGTAAATTCCAGACATTGTATGAGAAAGCAATGTAAAACTTTTTGTTCTGTGAGCTGATGTATGTAGCCCCCAGTCACGTTCCTCACGCTTACTTGATCTACCATGACCTTTTCACGTGGACCTCTTAGAGTTGTAAGCCCTTAAAAGGGCTAGGAATTTCTTTTTCCGGGAGCTCGGCTCTTGAGACGTGAGTCTGCCGACGCTCCCAGCTGAATAAAAACCTCTTCCTTCTTTAATCCGGTGTCTGAGGAGTTTTGTCTGCGACTTGTCCTGCTACACTATGTGTAACTAATTCAAGTACCTTGTCATCAGTTCTGCCTTGCCGGTGATCTAAATGGACTCCCCGCAGGGAACAGCACTCATACTGCAGAAGGTCTTTTCTTTTGCCTTTGGGTAACTGGCTTTTTACACTTTATTGAAATAATTCCTAAGTTGTGATTTGCTTAGAAAAATTGAGATTAAAATGTTTTTAAATTAAAGTTATTACATCTGTGTAATTTTCTGTACGTGCTTTTAAAATCCTTATGCCATTAAGTTACAGGGCTTTGACTCCTGGGTCTAAAAAGGACACCAAGTCCTGCTAATTTTTTTTTTTTTTTTTTTTTTTTTTTTTTTTTGAGACAGAGTCTCGCTCTGTCACCCAGGCTGGAGTGCAGTGGTGCGATCTCAGCTCACTGCAACCTCTGCCTCCTGGGTTCAAGCGATTCTCCTGCCTCAGCTTCCCAAGTAGCTGGGATTACAGGTTTGCACCACCACGCCTGGCTATTTTGTATTTTTAGTAGAGACAGGGTTTCACCATGTTGGCCAGGCTGGTGTGGAACTCTTGACCCCAGGAGTTCCCAACCCACCTCGGCCTCCTAAGGCGTTGGAATTACAGGCATGAGCCACCCCCACTAGCCAAAGTCCTGCTAAATCTTAAACACTGACAGCAGTTAAAGCCTCATCCTCAGACCCGATAGAAGATGCCAGTCAAAATAAACCGCGTTCCTGAGACACAGGCCAGAAATCAAACCAAAACCAGTTAAAACAGTTCAGTTCCTGAAGGCCCAGGGACTATCGCGGAAGAGGCGGGTGTGTGGATTGTAAGGGGTGATTTTGAGAGATAAGTTAACCATTAATGTTGAAGGCACACTGATGTAAGCCCAGCATATGGGCCTCTGTGTCGGATTAACAAGGTTTTCTTGGAGTATTAACCCAGTCCTTAATAAAAGGTTATAAAAGGCTTATGGAAATTGTATTTTATACTCAACATGATTAAAATTGTATAGATTGGGCTAGGTGCAGTGGCTCATGCCTGTAATCCCAGCACTTTGGGAGGACCGAGGTGGGCGGATCACTTGAGGTCAGGAGTTCAAGACCAGCCTGGCCAACATGATGAAACCCCATCTCTACTAAAAATACAAAAAAATTAGCTGGGCGTGGTGGCGTGCAACTGTAATCCCAGCTACTTAGGAGGCTGAGGCAGGAGAATCGCTTGAGCCTAGGAGGGAGAGGTTGCAGTGAGCCAAGATCCCACCACTGCACTCCAGCCTGGGTGACAGAGCGAGACTCCGTCTCAAAAAAAGAAAAGAAAAATTGTATAGATTGTCGTGCACTTGGTTTCTCAAGTCGCCCACCTGGCCCTCTTCCACGTGTGCTTTCCTTCCCTTCATTCCTGTTCCAAAGTTCTTTAATAAACATTCACCCCTGCTCTGAAACTTACCTCAGTTTCTCCTTCTGCTTATGCCCATTGGTCGAATTCTTCTGAGGAGGCAAGAATTGAGGTTGCCACAGACCTGTACGGATTCACTGCCAGTAACTCAGATACCTTTCACCAGTAACATGTCAATGGAAAGAATCAAACTCTGTAAAACATTTGAAGAGATTTATTTTGAGCCAAATATGAGTGACCATGGCCTGTGACACAGCCGTCAGGAGGTCCTGAGAACATGTGCCCAAGGTGGCTGGGGTGCAGCTTGGTTTTATACAATTTAGGGAGACACAGACATCAATCAAACACATTTAAGAAATACATAAGGCCAGCCGGGTGCGGTGGCTCACGCCTGTAATCCCAGCACTTTGGGAGGCCGAGGTGGGCAGATCACAAGGTCAGGAGATCGAGACCATCCTGGCTAACACGGTGAAACCCTGTCTCTACTAAAAATACAAAAATTAGCCGGGCATGGTGGCGGGCGCCTGTAATCCCAGCTACTCGGGAGGCTGAGGTAGGAGAATCGCTTGAACCAGGAAGTCGGAGGTTGCAGTGAGCCGAGACCGTGCCACTGCACTCCAGCCTGGGCAACAGAGCGAGACTCCATCTCAAAAAAGAAAGAAAGAAAGAAATACATAAGGCCGCGCACGGTGGCTCACGCCTGTAATTCCAGCACTTTGGGAGTCCGAGGTGGGTGGATCACCTGAGGTCAGGAGTTCAAGGCCAGCCTGGCCAACATGGTGAAACCCTGTCTCTACAAAAATACAAAAATTAGCTGGGCATGATGGCAGGCGCCTGTAATCCCAGCTACTTGGGAGGCTGAGGCAGGAGAATCGCTTGAACCCGGGAGGCAGAGGTTGCAGTGAGCTGAGATTGCACCACTGCACTCCAGCCTGGGCGACAGAGTGAGACTCTGTCTCAAAAAAAAAAAAAAAAAGAAACAGAAACACATTGGTTTGTTCCAAAAAGGTGGGACAACTCGAAGCAGGGAGTGGGGAGCACCTTCCACGGGTAACACATCACAAGGAATTTCCTTGTGGGCAATTTGTGTGGGAGGTATGTAGCTTTTTAATCTTTGTAGCTGTCTTGTTTACAAATAGGATTGGAGGGAGGTCTGCCTGCCAGCAGTTCCCAGTTTGACTTTTCACTTTGGCTTAGTGATTTTGGGGTCCCCATATTTTCCTTTCATACTAGCAAATACCCCAAAACCTTCCCACACCCCCGTGGCCACAGTTACTTTGCTGTTCTTGGTCTCAAACTCCTGGGGTGCACTCTTTCTCCACCAGTGGTGTGATCATGGCTCACTGCAGCCTCAATCTCCCGGGCTCAATCCATCCTCCCACCTCAGCCTCCCGAGCAGCTGGGACAACAAGCGCACACCACCATGCCCAGCTAATTTTTGTATTTTTGGTAGAGGCAGGATTTTCCTATGTTGCCCAGGCTAGTCTTGAACTCCTGGACTCAGGCGATCTTTTCACTGCAGCTTCCCAAAGTGCTGGGATTACAGTCATGAGTCACCATGCTGGCCTCCTGAGGCCTTTATGTACCTATGGGCTTGCCAGCCGTCCTCCACCCTCCTCTCCTCTCCAAGCCACTGGGGGCCTTGGGCCAAACTTTGTGGGCCCTGCCCTGCCCTGCCCAACCCTTGCACTTGCTCTTCCCACCAGCCCCTCCTCGTGAGCCTCTGTGCATCCCTCCTCTCCGCCCCCTCCCAGTGTTGCAGGGCTCCGGATCCCAGCCCTCACACCGCCCCTCTGTCACCGCCTACTCCCCAGGCGCCTCTCCAGTCCTGGATTAAACGCCATCCACCCTGCACCAAAAGAACCAGGAGGCCACTGCGTGTCAGCCGTGCCCTTATTTTAAGCACCCCAGTTTAGGCCGAATTCTAAGAACATGTGCTCTCCCAGATTCCCCTGCGCCAGCCCCTGGAACTGGTGCCTCTGCGGAGGTGCCACTCCCAAGGTCGGGCGAGTTTACACGGCAGAGTGGAGCTTAACGCTAATTCCCAAGTGGGCCTGACCTAGTCCCGGGAGCCTTGAAAAGAGGACAGTTTTCTGTGGCTGGTGACAGGAGGGGGAGTCAGGGAGGTCCAAGCCTGGGAAGGCTTCAAGGTGCGGATGCTGGTTTGAAGACAGGGCGGGGGGCGTGAGAAGGAACATGAGCACCCCCCAGAAGCAGGGAGCAGCCATCAGTGACACCACAAGGAGGCAGGGACCTCCTCAGTCCCACACCCGGCTTCCCAGCGACAGGAGCGAGCTTGGAAGGGGACCCTGAGCTCCAGACCAGAGCGTGACCAGCTGCCGCCTGACTCCAGCGTAAGCAGAGACCCACAGACTGCAAGCTAAGAAAGGTGGGCTGCTTGAAACCACGCAATTTGTGGTAACAGGAGAGGAAGACCACCAGCTACCTGAGGCTCCTCCGAAGCACTGGGTTCCTCCTGCAGCCTCTTTCTTTCACCTCCACCTCCCATCTGCCCGCCAGCGTCCTCGGCTCCACCTTCACACACATCAGGATCTACCCACCTGCAACCGCCCGCGCTGCTGCCCAGTTCGGAGGCTCACCTGCACCCTTGGGCCGCCTCCAGATGCTTGTAGCTCTTCCTGAGTATCCAGGCACTTCCACGACAGCCAGCGGGCCCTTAAATGCGAGTTGGCTGCATTGGCCTCTGCTCAGGAGTCCCCGGCACAGCCGTCTCAGGTGCTCAGAGGGAACTCCATTGTCGATGCCTGGCTTCCTGGGCTCTTGCTCCCCGTGGATTCTCACCACTTCTCGAGCACCTGAAGTGCTCCCTGCCCTGGGCTTTTGCCCTGCGCCTGACCCAGACCAGCTGCAAGGTTGCTCCCCACTTCCACTGGTCTGGTCTCAAAAGCACCTGCTCAGAGAGGCCATCCATGGCCCTGTCTGCAGCCCACTCAGCCCTTCCCAGCATAGATGACCCTGGCACGTTGTATACTGGTCTTGCTAATCTTCCTAAGAAAGCAGTGACCTGGATACAGTTATTGTCTCCATTTTCCAGATGAGGACAGCGAGGCACAGAGAGGTTGGGTCACTTGTCCAAGGTCCCAGAGAGTAAAGGGCAGTGCTGGGGTCTCAGCTCAGGCCCTGGGGTCCCAATGTCCACACGTGAATCCTCAGCGTCATGCATGTGTCTCCCTCCAGGCAGAGGGCAAATTTGCTTGCTGTCCAAGATAATAAAGATGGCTTCTCCCTCTGGGCAGAAACTGGGCAGGTTTGCTAGCAGTCCTTTAAATGACTGGTGTTTCCTAACCCAGGGTTCCTTAGCTGTGTGTACAGCATCCACCGGAGCCACTCCTCATTGTCCGTGGGGCTGGGGGGCTGGGGGGAATATGAAGCTCGTGCTGCCTGCTGTGCTGTGAGTAACAAAGTCTTTGTCTCAGACCCAGGTGTCTCATGTCTTGCCCATGTTCAGAACACTGGCAGGCTCACTGTTCACTTGCAAACAGAGGGAACTCTCAGACCATTCATTTCTTCCTTTTTCCTACTTCCCCTTTCCCTCCTCCTTGAGGGCCAGCTTTTAACCTGCCAAGGAGCCAAGAAAGAGACGTTGGAGAGGGCTGGGGATTGCACAAATAAGTAAAAGCATCGGGGATGAAGGATTTGAGGACTCTCGTTTCGGAGAAGGGAGTTGCAAATTAGGAAAGTGGTCAGACTGGACCAACTTCTGGCTGGGTGGATTGAAATTGGAGATATCAGTACAAATCCAGTTCCAATATGGATAGCTGGAAATACAGATGTATATCTATGTGTGTGTATATATCTATGTGTGTGTGTATAGGCATATGTATTTTCTACAGATCTGGAAACAGTGAGCACCCCTAGTGCCCAGATCTTGGATTATTATTATTATTATTTTTTGAGATGGAGTTTTGCTCTTGTCGCCCAGGCTGGAGTACAACGGCGCGATCTCGGCTCACTGTAACTTCTGCCTCCTGGGTTCAAGCGATTCTCCTGCCTCAGCCTCCCGAGTAGCTGGGACTACAAGCATGTGCAACCACGCCCAGCTAATTTTTGTATTATTAGTAGAGACGGGGTTTCACCATGTTGGCCGGGCTGGTCTTGAACTCCCGACCTCAGGTGATCCACCCACCTCAGCCTCCCAAAGTGCTGGGATTACAGGTGTGAGCAACTGTGCCCTGCCTTCTCTACCATTTTGTGACACAGAATGAAAGTCCTCACCAGGGCCATGCCCTTGAACTTCTCAGCTTGTAGAACTGTGAGCTAAGTAAACCTCTTTTTTTTCTGATAAATTATGCAGTCTCAAGTAATCTTTTATAGCAAGACAAAATGGACGGAGACCCGCACATACACACATGAGAGAGAAGGGTAAGCCTGACCTCATAGTGGAAACCTCAAATTCTCTCCCCAGAAACGGTGTAATAATTGCTTATTCATTAATGAATGCAAAATGCTTACTAATTAACTTTTCAGTGGGGAATGGCGGCAGACACCATCATACCCAAGCGATGAGGGTTATCATCACCAGCGATGGCCAGATTGGCCCCGTGGGCCTCCGGTAGGTTGCTGTAAGAGGAAAGTCTCACTTCTGAGGGGTTCCTCCTGGAAATGAAGAAGCCACAGGAAACAGGCAAGGCTAGAGCGAGGGCCATCCCACAAAGACCCATAAGACCCACAAAGACTCACTGAGACAGCGGGGAAATTGGCAGGGGCTCTGCGGAGTCGATGGGGACATTGGATCAGTGGTGGCTTCCTGATTTTTCAAGGTTCACTGCAATTACTTGGGAGAGAGTTCGTTTATTTCCAAAATACTCTCTGAGCTGTTTAGGGGAGCAAGCCTGGAGTCTGCAGCTTATTCTCAAATGCCATATAAGCAGGAGCGAGAGAAGGAATAGCGGGGCAATGTTCACAGATGGCGAATCTGCAGGACAGGAATATCCGGGTCTCTTTGCACGGTGTTTGCCACCTTCTGTAAATTGGGATTTTTTTTTTTTTTTTTTTTTTTTTTGAGACGGAGTCTCACTGCAACCTCTGACTTCCTGGTTCAAGCGATTCTCCTGCCTCAGCCTCCCGAGTAGCTGGGATTACAGGCACACGCCACCACGCCCAGCTAATTTTTTTTTGTATTTTTAGTAGAGACGGTGTTTCACCATGTTGGCCAGGATGGTCTCGAACTCCTGACCTCGTGATCTGCCCGCCTCGGTCTCCCAAAGTGCTGGGATTACAGGCGTGAGCCACTGCGCCCAGCCCCAAAATTGGGAATTATTTCAAAATAAAAAGCTGGATAAATGCATACACACAAGGCAGTATCGCGTATTTTCCACGAGTGCCTGTGCAGGCAGGTAAGGATTTAGGAAAGGTCTGGAAGGATGTGCAAAATGTTCCGCCTGCGAAGGTTCCGCGGTGGCGGGGACACTGCTCCGGCTCCGCTCCCGCCCGCCCGAGCGCTCGGATGGGGCCGCCTCTGCACTGCGTGGCCACAGGCGCGGCCCGGCTGCCCACGGGCGCCCTTTGCAGCTGCTGCCCCCTGGCGGCCGCGGGCGGCTACTAGCGGGAAAGCGAAACCCGCCCGGTCCATTCAAGCCCCGCTGCCTGGCGCCCTCTAGGGTCGTTCTTGGGAACGGGCGGACCTTTCGTCAACACTTTGCCTGCAAGATCCCCCATTGGGGGAACCGAGGAGGAAGTTAAAGGAAGATGTGTGTTTTTGAGCGCTGCTTTGTGCCAGGCTCATCTTAGGTGTGGGACGTGTACTATCTGAATTAATACCCCACCAGGCCTGTGGGACAGTCACTGTCACCATTCGCAAATTATGGATGAAGAAAGGAGGTACCAAGTGGTGGTATCACCTGTCCATAGTGAGCTGTCCCTCAGGAGGGTGGCCGCCCCACGCGACCATTCAGTGTGCTCTCATTCACACGTTCATTACCCAAGAGCACTGCTAGCACTGGGGGCTGGCTCACTCCTGCGATCCCAGCACCTTGGGAGGCCAAGGCAGGCAGATTGCTTGAGGCCAGGAGTTCAAGACCAATCTGAGCAACAGTGAGACCCTGTCCCTATAAAAAATGTAAAAATTAGCTGGGCAGCTGGGCATGGTGGCACATGCCTGTGATGCCAGCTACTCAGGAGGCTGAGGTGTGAGGATCGCTTGAACCCAGGAGGCAGAGGCTGCAGTGAGCTGAGATTGCACCACTGCACTCAACTCCAGCCTGGGTGACAAAGCAAGACCCTGTCTCAAAAAAAAAAAAAAAAAAAGGATGGATGTGGTGGCCTATGCCTGTAATCCCTCCCAGCACTCTGGGAGGCTGAGGCAGGCAGATTGCTTGAGTCCAGAAGTTCAAGACCAGCCTGGGCAATGTGGTGAAACCCTGTCCCTAACAAAAAAAAAACCAGCTGGGTGTGGTGGTGCACGCCTGTGGTCCCAGCTATTCAGGGGACCAGGAGGTGGAGGCTGCCGTGAGCTGAGATCATGCCACGGCACTTCAGCCTGGGTGACAGAGCAAGACTCTGTCTCAAAAGAAAAAAAAAGTCCTCCATATGTGGTCCCCCCTCATGCTGTCTCTTCCAGGCATGTCCTCCCACATGCCAGGAGGCTGCAGGGCCACCAGGATGTGACCTCCTTGGGCTGTGCTCCCCTGCCCCAACTCCAGGCAGTAGGATCCCAGAATTCCCAACAAAACTCTCCCTGCCTCCCTGGCCTATGCGGCCTCTCCCTGGGCTGTCGCTGTGAGGCATCCACAGCCCCTGCCATGCCAGGCAGAGTGGGGATGGTCGGAGGGGAGCGGGTGTGGACGGGACACAGGGCCTTCCGGAGAGCCTGAGGTGCTGCTTCTGAACTGCTCCTTCCCCTGGTGTGCAGGTGTCTTCGTCACAGTAGGACCTGGGAGAACAGTTCCATAGGTCCGGGGGCTTCTCTCCAGCTGGCGAGGAGGTGTGTGGTCCTCTCTCCCTGTCACCGTTACTCAGGTAACGACAGGGCAGTGAGCAGAGCAGTGTTGCCCCTCCTGGACCCTGTCTGAAGAGGCAACTGTGGCTAGAGGCTGGAGGGCAGGGCGGCAGGGCATGGTGCTGGAGGCAGGGGTGGCCCTCGGGGCTCCCCTCCTCATTCCCGCCTCCCTGCGTGGGTCACAGCGGCCTTCACTGTGGCCTCCTCACTACCTGGGGTGCCCCAGGAGCACCTCGTGGAGGGAGTGCCTGAGTGAGGTCAAGCGGGGCGGAGGAAGGGGTCGATGGTGAGAGAGACAGTGAGTGAGCCCAGACTCCACACAGGGCGGCCCCTAGCGCTGGCCACCTCAGCAGCTCCCACCAGCAGCACAAGCTGGATGACAGGGCCAGGGCCTGTGGTCAGTGGTCAGTGGCTGATGACAAAGCCATGCTGTGACCCTCTCTCACTGCCAGAGCAGACGCGGGGCGGTGAGCAGCCAGGCAGGCCCGTAACCTCCACCTCCCCAGCTGCGCCCGTCCTGCAGGGACTCAACCTGCTGCCCTCCGCCCACAGCCCTCGAGGGTCTCAGCATTAAGGGCTGGGCTGGGCCTCCCTTCTGGGTGCCTGGTCCCATTTGGGCCTCACCCTGGGCAAGGTCCCCGTAGCTGCCCCTCCCATCAGGTAAGCCCCACCCCCCGAGTTTCACTCTGAGTGGTTTGTCTTTGCATAGAGCTTCCCCACCTGATGGTGACTGCCGTGGGTCCCACAGGTCCGGTGTCCATTTTTAAATTTCACTGCAGACATTGCGCTCAGGCGCCCTCTGAAACCGCCACAGAGGTGTCATCCCCAGGTCCCATCGGGCCTTTGTCTCCTGGCCTCCCCGTGTGCAGTGGTGCAGTGCTAGCTCACTGCAGCCTCCACCTCCCAGGCTCAAATGATCCTCTCACCTCAGCCTCCTAAGCAGCTGGGACTGCAGGTGCCACCTCACCCGGCTATGCCTGGTAACTTTCCTGCCACTGTGACACCAGCCAGTTCAGGCAGTCCCTCGCCTGAGCCAGGTACTCTGCGTGTCTCAGCCTAGCCCTGCTGTCCCTACCGGTGGGTGAGACGGCGCCCGGTCCCCAAGGCTGGGATCTGACGTGGGAGCGAGGCTCTTATTTGTTGCTGTGTGGCAGCAAAAGATGAAAAAGTGGACTCTGGCTTCAGAGCTGTGAGAAAACAGTGGTTTTTTTTTTTTTGAGATGGAGTCTCGCTCTGTCTCCCAGGCTGGAGTGCAGTGGCGCGATCTCGGCTCACTGCAAGTTCTGCCTCCTGGGTTCACGCCATTCTCCTGCCTCAGCCTCCCGAGTAGCTGGGACTACAGGCGCCTGCCACCACGCCCGGCTAATTTTTTGTATTTTTAGTAGAGAAGGGGTTTCACTGTGTTAGCCAGGATGGTCTTGATCTCCTGACCTCGTGATCCGCCCGCCTCGGCCTCCCAAAGTGCTGGGATTACAGGCGTGAGCCACCGCGCCCAGCCTGAGTAAACAGTTTTTGGTTGTGTTTTTTTGTTGTTGCTGTTGTTTTGTTTTTTGAGAAGGAATTTTGCTCTTGTTGCCCAGGCTGGAGTGCAATGGCACGATCGCAGCTCACTGCAACCTCTGCCTCCTGGGTTCAAGCGATTCTCCTGTCTCAGCCTCCGAAGTAGCTGGGATTACAGGTGTGCTCCACCACACCCAGATAATTTTTTTGTGTGTGTTTTTAGTAGAGACGGGGTTTCATCATGTTGGCCAGGCTAGTCTTGAACTCCTGACCTCAGGTGATCTGCCCGCCTTGGCCTCCCAAAGTGCTGGGATTATAGGCATGAGCCATGGTGCCCAGCCCGGTTTGTTGTTTTAAGCCACCAACTTGTGGGAACTGGTTATAGCAGCCACAGGAAAGCCCCTGCTGGACATCGTTATGATCCCTTTTGCCCCAGCCCTGAATATTCCAGACTGGTCCAGAACCTCAGCCCCAACTTTTCAAGTCCCTGGTCACGGCTGTCCTCTGGAAGCCTAGGGGCACACTCCTCTCAAGGCAGGAGAAATGTTAACTGTGAAGGTTAAATTGGAGAAATGTTAACTGTGAAGGTTAAATTGGAGAAATGTTAACTGTGAAGGTTAAATTGCATTATTTCTTTTATTTTTATGATTTTTTTAATACCAAAAAAAAGAGACAAGATTTTGCCATGTTGCCGAGGCTGGTCTCAAACTCCTGACCTCAACTGATCCTCCCGTCTCGGCCTCCCAAAGTGCTGGGATGACAGGCGTGAGCACTGCCCTGCCTTGTGCTTTTATTTCTAAACACATTTTCCTAATGTATTTTTCTGATGACTCTCAAGGGGAGGATGGCTGTTTTGGCTGGGTGTGGTGGTGCACACCTGTAGTCCCAGCTACTCAGGAGGCTGAGCGGGGAGGATCGCTTGAGCCCAGGAGTTTGAGGCTGCAGTGAGCTATGATGGTGCCACTGTTCTCCAGCCCAGGCAACAGAGCAAGGCCCTGTCTCTAAAAAAATAAATATTAAAAACAAAAACAAAAACAAAACAAAAACAAGGAAGAGCAACTGCATAGCTGCCTGACAAAACGAGAGCGTGGCTCAGCCCCACGGCCCTGCGCGGCCTCCCTGGAAGCCCCTGTGCTGTGCCGGGCACTGGGCTCCCCATGCAGGTGCTGCGTCTGCCCGGCTCTGTGCTCTGAGTGCATGCGATGTGCCCGAGGTGTCGGGGCAGGGAGGAGGATTGATCTCGATGGTGACCCAGTGAGGTAGGTGTCATTGGCCCCATTTTACAGATAGGGAAACCAGGGCATCAGTGTGACCTGGTCTAGGCAAGGCCTTTGCGGCAGACCCAGATCTGACTCAGCCCCGAGGGTGCAGGGAGCTGGCTTTCTCCGCCAGACAAGCAGGCCAACTGCTGCACTCCCCCCTCAGTAAGGGGCTAGGGGTGGGGACCCCACCCTGTACGGACCCCTCACCAGCATCTCCCCGAGGATGCCGCTGGGGACTCCTGGCACCCCTTGCCTCTGCTGTGGCTGTGTCACACCTGTCCTGCCAACTGTTGTTCTGGGCGTGGACATTTGGGGCTCCCCGTTGAGGACGCCTGGGCTGCGCTCTGGGAGCCAGCAGCTGGCCACCCTGCCCCACGGTTCCCTAGAGGCCCTCCAGCTCAGCACAGACCCAACCCCAGATGAGGGCGCCTGCCCCCTTGGAGGTGGTAGGCTGCCCTATGCCCTCCTGGGCGCTGCCACAGTGCTGGGTGACCTCCAGCATGGTGCTCACTGACATTCTGAGGCAGGAGCCCAGAGGGCCCACAATGCACCACCGCATCCAGGCAACGCTTGCAGAAATGCTCCGCAAATAAAGTCATCGCCACTGATGCGAACAGGGCAGCCACCAGGTACCTCTGCCAGCAGGCGTGCTACCTGCCCACAGCCAAGGGAGCCAGCCAGGCAGGCTGCTGATGAAGAGGCCCCACTGCCTGCCACATGCTCTCTGGGCTCCCGGAAGCCTGGAGGTGTCGCTCCTCCCCTTGGCATGCAGCCACCTTCCATGTGGGAAAGCCTGGGGCCAGTGGTCACGGAGGGAGTGGCTTCAGGAACGAGAAATTGGTAGTTTGTCTTCCAGAGGGGACATGGGCACTGTGGCTGGTGGGCTCAGTGCACAGGAACCACATTGCTGGCCCCAGGACCCCCAACCTGCCATCCCCCTGCCACACAGTGGGCTCAGCAGGACTCCTCAATCAGCCTCTTTGCAGGGCATGGTGACCCTGGTGGGTGCACGGGCCTGGAGAAGGTGTAGTGGTCTGCAAGGGCCACGGGCGACTGCAGCTCCTCGGTGTCCCTGCTGTGGGTGAGCCTGGTGACGTCTGTCTTCATGGACCACTCTTTCCACCCCTTATGGATTCTGGACACTTCTTGGCGGGAATGGTCCGTGGCCAGCACGTAGATAATGGGGTCAGCCACGCCGTTCACCGTGGACAGGCACAGAAACACCACAGAGGCTGTGTACAGCCTTTCCTCCAAGCCGCACATGGCGTTCCTGTCTCCTCTGTAGTAGGAAAAGGCAGCGGCTTTGACGAGGAGAACCAGGTGGTACGGGGCGAAGCAGACTAGGAAGATGACAACCACCGCGATGGCCGAGTGCTTCACCTTGGCCTTCTGGGCAGCGCTTAAGCCCATGCTCTGCTTGATGCTCCTGAAAATCCGGTGGTTGGTGAAGGCGATGATGGAGAGAGGGATGGCAAAGCCAACGGTGAACCTGGCGTAGTAGTACCCGGCAATCCTGCTGTCCATCTGCAGCATGTCAAAGCAGGTCTCCTTGTCTTCCGTCTGGAACACCGGGTAGTGAACGATCCCGACGAGGATGAAGATGCAGGCGGAGATGAGGATGGCGGTCCTCCGGCGGCGGCGGCCCCGACTCTCCAGCGCGTACACCACGGCCACGAAGCGGTCGCAGGAGATGCAGCACAGGAAGAGGATGCTGACGTAGATGTTGCAGAAGAAGATGTAGGCGGTCACCTTGCAGGCCAGCAGGCCTAGGGTCCAGCGGTGCTGGTTGCGGATATAGATGACCCAGAGTGGCAGCGTGCCTGTGTACAGCAGCTCGCAGAGTGCCAGGCAGAGCAGGTAGACGGCCAGCACGTTGCCCTGCAGTACCTGCAGCAGCGCCAGCCACGCAGTCAGGCAGTTGGCCGGCACCCCCAGCGTGCACACCGCGCTGTACACCACGACCAGGACTATCCTGCTCTCTTCGAAGGACACGTTGTTGCAGGTCTTGGCGGAGAGGCCCAGGGAGGCCCACGGGGCAGTGGTGGTCACTGGGGTGGCGTTTCCTGTGGGACAGAGACAAGAGTGAGGACGGGAGTCCCTGGAAACCACCTGGGAGAGACTCTACTGTGGGAAGAAAGGATAGAAGCTTTGTGGTAGCTCAGACTAGACACACGCAGGTGTTTAAAACATTTCCAAATTGATTTTTTAGAGCAATTATTAGATAGTGGATCTCCAACCTAGCAGCGTCATGGACAAAGAATGCAGGCTGGGCAATACTGAATCATTTTTCTTTTTTCTTTTTTTTGAAATGGAGTTTTGCTCTTGTGGCCCAGGTTGGAGTGCAGTGGCACAACCTCGGCTCACTGCAACCTCTGCCTCCTGGGTTCAGGCAATTCTCCTGCCTCAGCCTCCCAAGTAGCCAGGATTACAGGCACGTGCCACCATGCCTGGCTAATTTTTGTATTTTAGTAGAGACGGGGTTTCACCATGTTGGCCAGGCTGGTCTCGAATTCCTGATCTCAGGTGATCCGCCTGCATCAGCTTCCCAAAGTGCTGGGATTACAGGCGTGAGCCATTGTGTCTGGGCAATGCTGAGTCTTTGTAACTCACTGAGGTTTTCAAAAATGTTGCTTCTGGCCCGGCATGGTGGCTCACACCTGTAATCCCAGCATTTTGGGAGGCTGAGGCAGGCAGATCACTTGAGGTCAGGCGTTTGAGACCAGCCTGGCCAACATGGAGAAACCCTGTCTCTACTAAAAATTTAAAACAAATAGTTGGGCGTGCTGGCTCGCACCTGTAATCCCAGCTACTCTGGAGGCTGAGGCAGGAGAATCACTTGAACCCAGGAGGCGGAGGTTGCAGTGAGCTGAGATCGTGCCGCTGTACTCCAGCCTGGGCAACAAGAGTGAGACTCCTTCTCAAAAAAAAAAAAAAAGTTGCTTGTGTGTTTGAAAAGAATGTTGATCCTGTAATTGCTGTGTGAGTGCTTTTCTAAGCAGTCTGTTAGGCGCTGCTACTATGCCCTTCCAGCGCTGACCCACTTTGCCTCCACTTCCCACCTGGCCCCATAGCTGGGCACTGCCTCATCCTAATTCCTAACCTGTAGTCTTTTTTTTTTTTTTTTTTTTTTTGGAGATGGAGTCTCTCCCTCTGCTCTGTTGCCCAGGCTGGAGTGCAGTGGCACGATCTCAGCTCACTGCAACCTCTGCCTCCCGGATTCAAGGGATTCTCCTGCCTCAGCCTCCTGAGTAGCTGGCATTACAGGCATGCGTCACCACACCCAGCTAATTTTGTATTTTTAGTAGAGATGGGGTTTCTCCATGTTGGTCAGGCTTATCTTGAACTCCCGACCTCAGGTGATCTGCCCTCCTTGGCCTCCCAAAGTGCTGGGATTACAGGCGTGAGCCACTGCGCCCGGCTAATCTGTAGTCTTACCACATATTTGCCTGTGTGAACTATCAATTACTAAAAAAGATAATTATAAGCTCCTGTGGGAGTGGTGGATTTGTCCACCTCTCCTTGTATTCTCCCAGTGCTTGCTTTACGTATTTGAAGCTACTGTGAATTGGGGCATAGGAGTCACAGATGGTTCTGTCTTCTTGGTGAATTGATCCTCTTATTACTATGTCATGTGATACCCCTCCTCTCGGTGGCAGGAGACTAATGACCCCACCCAAAAGATGTCTGAATCCTAATCCTTGGGACATGTAGATATGGCAGGTTACACGGGAAAGGGGAACTAAGGTTGCAAGTTGAATGAAGGTTGCTAACTAGCTGACAGTAAAATAAAGAGATTATTCTGGACTATCTGGTGGGCCCAATGGAATCACAAAAGTCCTTAAATGTGGGAGAGGGCAAAAGAAAAGGAGATCAAAGTGATCTCAGCAACCTGCCTCAAACACAGCTCTCCGAGGTCAGAAACTCATCCTTTCCAGCCAGGGGGTTGCTAGAGGTCACGCAGGGTGTGCAGTGGTGTGACTTCCCCAAGCTCTGCCAGCGCCACCAGCTCCAGTGTCCTGGCTGCCCACTCTGGCTGAGTTCATGCTTCTGGGCCTTCTGTGGTTACAGATCATGGAGTCCCACCTCCAGGTCAGCAGGAAGCCGCAGACAGACCTGGCCTCAGCACCTGACGGACGGACAGAGCGTTGCCAAACTTATTGGGCCACAGCAGCCCCGGGCGGGGCAAACTTCAGCTGTGCCCTGGCGCGAGGTCAGGGGTCCCTGGGCACTGTCCAGCCCGCTGGCCTCAGGAACCTTCCACATGCAAATGTCGTAGTTTCCTTGACCTCCCTCCTGTACTTGAGGGCCTGTTGACCTCCAGCACGATGGGGCAAGTCACCCCGAACGGGGTCAGCCCTGCGGCCCCATTGTGTCGCTCTTTTTTTTTCTTTTTTTTTTTTTTGAGACGTAGTCTCAAAAAACTGTGTTGATGCCCAGGCTGGAGTGCAGTGGCGTGATCTCTGCTACTGCAACCTCTGCCTCCCAAGTTCAAGTGATTCTCCTGCCTCAGCCTCCCGAGTAGCTGGGACTACAGGCACTCGCCACCACGCCCATCTAATTTTTGTAGTTTTAGTAGAGACAAGGTTTCACCAGGTTGGCCAGGCTGGTCTTGAACTCCTGACCTTGGGTGATCTGCCCACCTTGGCCTCCCAAAGTGCTGGGATTACAGGTGTGAGCCACCATGCCAGGCCACTTGTTTTTGTGCATTTAAAAAATTCAGCTGGGCGCAGTGGCTCACGCCTGTAATCCCAGCACTTTGGGAGGCCAGGGTGGGGAGATCACTAGAGGTCAGGCGTTCGAGACCAGCCTGGCTAACCTGGTGAAAACTCGTCTCTACTAAAAATACAAAAATTAGACAGGCGTGGTGGCAGGTGCCTGCAGTCCCAGCTACTTGGGAGGCTGAGGCAGGAGAATGGTGTGAACCCGGAAGGCAGAGATTGCGCCACTGCACTCCAGCCAGGGCAACAGAGCAAGACTCCATCTCAAAAAAAAAAAAAAAAAAAAAATTCGGCCCCATGGGCCGTTCATTCCTTCAATCCCAACGCTTTGGAAGGACAAGGCAGGTGGATCACCCGAGGTCTGGAGTTCCAGACCAGCCTGACCAACATGGTGAAATCCCATCTCTATTAAAAATACAAATATTAGCCAGGCGTGGTGGGCACCTGTAATCCCAGCTACTTGGGAGGCTGATGCAGGAGAATCCCTTGAACCTGGGAGGCAGAAGCTGCAGTGAGCCGAGATTGTGCCACTGCACTCCAGCCTGGGCGATAGAGTGAGACTCAATCGCAAGAAAAAAAAATTGAAAAAGTGGAAAATTGTGGCAAAATACACATAACAAGGAATTTACCATTGTAACCGTTTTTCAGTAGCATTGGGCACATTCACATTCTTCTGCAACCATCGCCAGCATCCGTCGGCAGAACCTTCTCATCTTCCCAAACGGAGACTCTGCCCCAGGAAGCACTCGCTCCGCATTTGCTCCCAGCCCCCAGGCCTCCATTCCACTTTGTCTCTGTGCGCTGGGCTCCCCTGTCACCTCCCCACGTGGGTGGGCATCTCTGCGTGTCTTCAGCGTGTGTCCTTCCGTGTCTCACGTGCTCCACTCACCACAGTGTCCTCAAGCTCCCTCCTGTTGCAGCGTGTGCCAGGATTTCCCTTCCTTTCAAAGGCGGGATGGTATTCCATTGTATTCAGTGTGTCCTCCAGGGTCTCGCCAAAAATATAAATATATATATATATTCCACTGTGCCCTTCCATCTTGAGCAATCCTGCACGTGTGGCGTGTGGCGTGTGGCGTGTGGCGTGTTCTGCTCAGCCACGACTCCGCTGACAGACGCTCGGCTGCCTCTGTGCCTTAGCTGAGCTGCTGAGAATGACGGTGTCAAGAACATGAGGAGGGCTGTTCACGTCCCTGCTTTCCGTTCTCCTGGGTCAGACCCACAGTTGGCATTGCTGGATCTCACGGCAGTTCCGTCTCATCTCGTGGGGTGCCTCCGCGCTGTTCTCCACGGTGGTGGCGCTGGCCCACCTTCCCCCGGCGGTGTGCAGGGCTCCGGTCTCCCCACAGCCTCGCTGCGCTTGCTGGGTTTCTCCGGGTGAGTGTCGTGTCCCTTGCTCACCTTCCTCCCTGGGCAGAGGGAGAGAGTGGGTGTGACTGGGCTGCCTCACACTCAGTTGTCACCACTTCGCCCAAGACACAGGCCTGTGGCGGGCGGCGGGGGGCAGTGAAGGCAGTTCTCGGGTGGGAGGCCCAACGCCTGTGTTTGCACTCACTGTTCTTCACCCAGATGGCTCTTTTCCCATCAAACGAGTGCCCCAGCCCCGCTGTGCGAGTCCTGAGCTCAGAGGAAGTTTCGGGCCCCCTACACGGCCCCGTCTCTTTCATGACAATCACAGGCCCTGGGAGGCAGAGCCAGAATCCAAAACACAAGGGGAGATGCAGGCAAGACCCGGGGTGGCCAGAGGGGTCCCTCCCACCTCAGCCTGCACAGAGCCGCTCTGGTCTGTTCCCTCCCCGACTTCCTACGGCTCCCCCACCCCACACATCGTCGCCCGTGCGGTCTCAGTCAGGGCCTCGGTGCCCCTCAGTCCCGCACCCCCTGCTCCAGGCCTCACGCAGCCTTGGGACCTTCACCTCTGGACACCAGGTCCGTGGTGTCTGTGGCTCTGTGCCCATCTGGTGAGGAGGCTGTCCCCCGCTCCCCCGCCTCCTGCCACAAGTGACCTCCTGGGAAGAGAGCCTTCCTGGTGGGTCAGAAGTAGGGGCAACGGCACCAGGAGACGCATGGATGCGGGGGGCTGGTGGTCAGCTCCTCATGGCCCAGACCGTGCAGGGCTCCCCTGGGACCTGTGGGACAGCCCCCTGACTCAGTACTGTGTCGCCCTCCCAGGAGCCACCAACTATGCCCTCATTCCCGTTCCTGGCTTCCCAGAACTTCACGAAAGAATTATGAAATCAGTCCTTCATTTCTCCATGTAGCACCTCTAGATTTATTATTGCTGAGCTAGTTTTTATCTCGATAATCTATTTTTATGCGTTAATTTTTGAATTATGAGACAACATGCTTCATGGAAAAATTCTCATGGGCTTCCTCTTACATGTTCAAAGTCGGAGAAGGCTCTCTCACCTGGCATATTTTGCGGGTTCCAATCTCAGTGTGGCTCTAAGATAAGCTTTCTAAGTACATGTCATGCGTCTTGTCGGTCCTATCAAGACGTTCACTCTGAGAGTTTAAAATGACCTGGAAAAAGAGTAGGTTGAAATTGTTTTAGGGAAATCAGATTGAGTCACAAGTTAACCCATTGACAAACGGCTAGTGAGTATTTACTAATTTACTAAGTGGCCCGTTGATTCGTAGGTGTTTTTTAAATGTTGAGAATCTGCCGTTGCATCCCACATGAGAAACACAAGCAAGGCTCCAAGCCAACAGGCATCAAAACGTCACATTAGCCACTGCGACTACATACGATTCTTTTTTTTTTTTTTTTTTTTTTTTCTTGAGATGGAGTCTTGCTCTGTCGCCCAGGCTGGAGTGCAGTAGCACAATCTCGGCTCACTGCAACCTCTGCCTCCCGGGTTCAAACTATTCTCCTGCAGCAGCCTCTTGAGTAGCTGGGAGTACAGTCGCCTGCCACCACCCCCAGCTAATTTTTTTTTTTTTTTTTTTGAGACAGAGTCGCACTCTGTTGCCCAGGCTGGAGTGCAATGGCATGATCTCGGCTCACTGCAACCTCCGCCTCCTGGGTTCAAGCGATTCTCCTGTCTTAGCCTCCCAAGTAGCTGGGACTACACACACGCGCCACCATCCCCAGCTAGATTTTGTATTTTTAGTAGAGACGGGGTCTCACCATGTTGGGCAGGCTGGTCTCAAACTCCTGACCTCAAATGATCCACCCACCTCGGCCTCCCAAAGTGCTGGGATTACAGGCGTAAGCCACCGCACCTGGCCTAGGTACTCTTCTTGTTTGTCAATTATACCTTTATAAAGCTGGGAGAGAAAAGAAAGTTGATGAGCTTTCACAGAAAACATAAAAATAGCTCCTAAAGGCCAGGTGTGGTAACTCATGGCTGTAAATCCCAGCCCTTTGAGAAGCTGAGGTGGGAGGATAGCTGGAGTCCAGGAGTTCAAGACCAGCCTGGGCAATATAGTAACACCCCACACCTACAAAAATATAAACAGGCATGATGGTGCACACGTGTAGTCCCAGCTACCCAGGAGGCTGAGTTGGGAGGATCGCTTGAGCCCAGGAGGTAGGGGTTGCAGTGAGCTGTGACTGAGCTGCTGCACTCCGGCCTGGCTACAGAGAGAGACCCCGTCTCAAGAAAAAAGAAAAGCTCCTAAAATCTGAAAAATGTTCAACTCCACTTCTAATCAAAGAAATGCAAACATGAATATCTGAAAGACAGTCTTTTAAAATCTTTTTTTGGCCTATCATGTTGGCAAAAATAAAGACCTTTTAAACTCATAGTGTTTGAGAGTAGGCAATGGGTGCCCGTACACGGGACTGACGGAAGTATGAATTGGCTCGCAGCAAAATTTTGCAATATGTTTCCAAAAATCTCAAATGTGCTCTACTTTTGACCTGGCTGATCCCCTTCTAGGAATTTTTCCTGGCTACCCGAGGTGTGACGTGCACATGGCCTGGAAGCTGTGTCACCCACAGCATGAGGGGCCCGGAGGAGGGAGGCATGATGGGCGGGCAGCAGATGGCTCAGGGCATGCAGGGGGGTGGCGCAAGGCGCCCAGGGGCCTGTCCCTCTGCTTCCTTCCCTAACCTGAGGTGCCTCTAAAACAGGCACCACCCTGACCAGCCAAAGAGGGTTTGCAGGGAGGAGAGCGCCCTAAACCCATCCTCAGATGGTGTTTGTGCCTCTCCCACAGCCCTGCAAAGCCTGAGGGTCTCGCTCTGCTGTTTCCGGGCCCTGCAGTGCAGGGATAGAGGCTGAGCCTGGCGGCTGCCTCACTAGCTCCAATCCTGCCTCCCTGGTGCCAGGCCCAACCCCCACCCCATGCTGCCTGGTGCTGCCCTCTATCAGCCGAGACCCTCATGGGAAGCCAGCAGGTGCAGTCAGTCTCCCAGTGCACACTCCCCTCCCAGGGCAGGGCCGGCCCGGCTGCGGGCAGAGCCCCTACACAGCAAGGCCCCTTTGGGCCCGAGGCCTGTATGTTGAGAGGCTGGCCAGGGGCACTCCCTGGAGCCACTTGCTCTTCCCGCCCATCCCACGTGGCTCTTGCAGGAATTCTCTGGAAGCTGCTCAAAAGTGAGGCAGAACCCAGGGACACCCACACCAAGGGCTCTGGGCCAGCAGGTGGGGCTGCCTGTGTGTTGACATCCCCAGCTGCCCTTTCAAGTATATTTCTGTGAAAGGAAAGTATCTTGGGCCCCTTCAAGCTGGGAACTGCTCAGCGCCGATCTGCCTGGCGTTCTATTCAGTCATCCCTCTGCTCACTGAGACAGATGCATATTCTGATGCCTCCTTTGGAGAGACTTATCAGAAACTGAAAACAATGCAACCATTTGTCTCTCGCCTACCTGTGTAGGCGAGAGACAAATGGTTGGGAAGCCCCCTCCCTGCTTCGAGTTGTCCCCACCTTTCTGGACGGAACCAATGTACGTCTCACATATATTGATTGATGTCTCTTGTCTCCCTAAAATGCATGAAACCAGGCTGCGCCCGACCACCCTGGGCACGTCATCAGGACTTCCTGAGGCTGTGTCACAGACGCGTGTCCTCAACTTTAGCAAATAAACCTCCTAAAATGATTGAGACTTGTCTCGACGTTTTTTAACAACTGGAAAAACAGGAAGCCACAATGTTCTCCTGAGATTACAGGAAGCTTGTTAACTTATGGAGAATTTTAAAGCAATACCTTGAAAACACATGAAAAAGTGAGACACTGAGTCAAGAAAGAAACAAGAAAAGCCATCTCCAAAGTGATGCCCCCTTGGCGGTGGGTGGTGTGGGCCGGAGGGGTTCCTGGGCTACCCATTCTGCCACCACCCTGCCACTGGCTGGAGTAAGTATGCACTGCTCCCTGCATCTCGGGCCAGCCCCCTGAGTGGAGATGGTGGGGCAGCGCTGAGGGTCTTCAGACTCTCCCTCGGGTGCCTGTGTGCTGGGCGCTGCCCTCCCAGCTGCTGCTCTGCCAAGATCCGTGTGGCCCTGTCGTCTGGCTGCTGCGCCCAGCTCCAAGGCCCAGCAAGAGATGCAGGGCTCTCTGGCCATGCCCAAAACAGAGGGGTCAGTAGGTGAGGAAGCAGTGAGCCGGAACCAGGAGGGCCAAGGAAGGCAGACCCCCAGCCAGGCAGGGGGCCCAAGTGGGCTGGGGGCATGTCAGAGCCACCTGAGACCAGTCCTGTTCCTTCTGAGCCCCGGGGGTGTGGGGGGCCCGACCAGCCTCACACTGGGCCTGGCTTCCCTCCTCAGCTGCCGAGTCCCCTTCAGTGGCCCTAGAAGCCCACATACTCTTGCTCGCTGGTGTCTACTCCGATTCTGCAGCCGCCCCCTCCCCACCTTTCAAATTCTGAATAACACGAGGCAGGGACCTCTCCTGTCAAATGAGCAGGAGTGAGCACATGGAGCCACTGCCTGAGGCCCCTGGGCCCCATCAGAACGCCTGAGCCGCCCAGGAAGGGGCTCCCGGGGAGTCTGCCTCCTTCACTTTAACTGGACCAAGGGTTCTGGAAACCCTCCCAAACCTGGGAGGATGAACTCTTGCTGGTCCAGGGCTGTGCCGCCCAGTCACGCCAATGCCAGCCGGCAACCCTGGGTCAGAGGGCTGCAAGCACTTCTGCAAAACCAAAGGAAGTGGCAGCTGCAGTGGAAATGCACGCTCCCCTCCCGGGCCCCAGCCGCAGGCAGAGGCTCACAGCGAGGCCCCTCTGGGATCCAGGCCTGTATGTTGAGAGCAGAGACTAGCCAGGGGCAGAGCCGGAGCCACCTTCCCATCCAGCTGGTCCCATGCGGCCCATGCAGCGTGAGCTGCTGACGTCCAGATCCCGCCACGTGCCTGACCTTTGGGCACCACAGCCTGGCGAGGATGCCTGGAAAGAGTCAGTGGGCCCAGCAGGAGGCCCGGTGGGAACAACCCAAGGCAGGGCAGCCGGAGAGCCGGGTCCACTGGGACGTCCCGACTCCCTCGCACCGAGGTCCAGCTCCTCACCACGCATGGCCAACCAGGCTTGGGCGCCGGGGGAGCCCTGCACCAGCCCTTTGCTTATCAGAGCACATCCAGGCTTTGTCTGGCATTCCCTGCCGGACAGGCCCACAGCCTCAGGCAGCCCACCGGCCTCTTCCGAGGGCCTTCCTGGACCAGGGTCCGGGGTCCCGCCAGCACCTGCTCACCATCCTTTTGCCGCACCTGCTACTCCTACTGCCCCTGGGAGCCTCTGCCTCCCCTCGGGGTGAGTGAGCTCAGGATAGGGGCTCAGGGCCCTCTCTCCGGCCAGCCCAGTGGCCCCACCCGCCAGCTGCAGTGTCGCGGTCTGTCCTGGCCCGGGGCCAGGGCTGTTTCCTCCACAGAAAGGGGCGTGGGGTACAGCAGGTCACCCACATTTCAGGCCCTGCTCTTCCTCGGGGAGGGTGCAGTGGGGCCCGGGCCCTCTCTCAGCTTCCCCTGGGGCTGGGTCTTCAAGTGGAAGGACAAGGCCAGGCAGAGGCTTCCTGTGTTGTTCCACTCAGGAAGCAGGCACCACCCTCCTGGGGGGGGGGAGTCCCTCCTGGGCTGTGCATGGGGACCGTCCCTTCCTCTCATCGCCCCAGCTGTCTGGCCCACCAGTGGGGCTCCTCTCAGCTGTGGGGTGGGTGGGAGTGACTGAGCCCTGTGGGAAAGGTCCCCGGTGCAGACTTTCACTTCTGAAACAGCAGCAAGGTGCTCCCAGCCTGCCGGAGGCTTGGGTAGGGGATAGCCCACCATGCTCACAGCACCAGCAATGCCAGCCTGGCCTGGTGGACTCCAGGGGACTCTGTTCTTGATCTGCTCTGAGGGACTATGACAGGCAGAGGCCCCGCTATCACCATCCAACTCCAACTGGATTCAGGGCAGCGTGGCCAGACATGATGGCCATGGTGAGGTCCCTCGGATGACTCCAGCCACAAGACCACAGTGTGTGTGGGCCCAGGTCAGCCTGACACCCCCGTCCACCCATCCCTGAGCTCCAGCTGCATCTCCTGTCCCTGCTGGCCCTGGGCCCCTGCCTCCACCTCACATCAGCAAATGACCAAGCCCCTCATCACCCAGCCTCCATGCTGGGCAAATGTGTCCCTGTCCAGCTCCATCTTCAAGCCACACCTTGGCAGCCCACTGAGGCCAGCCCTCCACTGCTCCCTGGACTTCTCTCTCCTGTGTCCAACCCGCCTTTCTCCCACTCAGCGTGTCAGCTCCGAGGCTGCTCTGCCTCACACTTTCCGTGCTTCTTCCATGAACCCATGTTTTCTCTTTCTTTTTTTCTTTTGCCTTTTTTGCCTTTTCTTTCTTTTCTTTCTTTTCTTTTCTTTTCTTTTTTTTTTTTTTTTTTGAGATGGAGTCTTGCTCTGTTGCCCAGGCTGGAGTAAAGTGGCGCGATCTTGGCTCACTGCAACCTCTACCTCCCAGGTTCAAGCAATTCTCCTGCCTCAGCCTCCCGAGTGGTTGGGACTACAGGCACACCACCACGTCCAGCTACTTTTTTTGTATTTTTAGTAGAAACAGGGTTTTGCCATGTTGCCTAGGCAGGTCTTGAACTCCTGGGCTCCAATGATCCTCCTGCCTCAGCCTCCCAAAGTGCTGGGATTACGGTGTGAGCCACTACGCCCAGCTTTTTTTTCTTTAAATACTATTAAAATTGTTCTCTCTCTCTCTCCCTAACCCTCTCCCTCTCTCTCTTGCTTTATTTGTTTGTTTGTTTGTTTATTTATTTATTTGGAGACAGGGTCTTGCTCCCTCATCCAGGCTGGAGTACAGTGGCAAAATCTCTGCTCACTGAAACCTCCACCTCCCAGGCTCACATCATCCTCCCTTCCGAGTAACTGGGACTACAGGCACCTGCTGCCATGCCCAGTTAATTTTTGTACTTTTATTCTTAGAGACGAGGTTTCCCTATGTTACCCAGGCTGGTCTCGAGCTCCTGGGCTCAAGAAATCCGCCGGCCTCGGTCTCCGAAAGTGCTGGGAATACAGGCGTGAGCCACCATGCCCGGCCAATGAATCCATTTTCCAGATTAGAGAAGCACCACATGTTCCTGGGATGGACATTTCAATAACAGGATCTAGCATGACCTCACCCAGCCACTGTCCCTGGAGCTCTCTGGCCTGCAAGTTGCTGTGCTCCTCCAGTCTTTTAAAATCTATTTTGTAACTTTTTTTTTTTTTTTAGGCTGAGTTTCTCTCTCGTTGCCCAGGCTGGAGTGCAATAGCACGATCTTGGCTCACTGCAACCTCTGCCTCCCGGGTTCAAGTGATTCTCCTGCCTCAGCCTCTGAAGTAGCTGGGATTAGCAGGCGCCTGCCACCATGCCCGGCTAATTTTTTGTATTTTTAGTAGAGAAGGGGTTTCGCCATATTGGTCAGGCTGGTCTTGAACTCCTGACCTCAGGTGATCCGCCCGCCTCGGCCTCCTAAAGTGCTGGGATTACAGGTGTGAGCCACCACGCCCAGCCTGTTTTGTAACTTATGATGGAACTTTTCAGACAGACACAAAAGGACAGAGAAGGAGCCCTGGCCCCTGCCATGTGCAGGGAGCAGTTCCTCATTCCAGCCCATTTGTCAAAAACAGCTCCTCAGGCTGCTGAGGTCTGTCTTGTGGACTATCTGTAATTTCTTTCTTTCTTTTTTTTTTTGAGACAGAGTTTCGCTCTCGTTGCCCAGGCTGGAGTGCAATGGCACGATCTCGGCTCACCACAACCTCCACCTCCTGGGTTCAAGTGAGTCTCCTGCCTCAGCCTCCCAAGTAAATGGGATTACAGGCGTGTGCCACCACGCCCGGCTAATTTTGTATTTTTAGTAGAGACAGGGTTTCACCATATTGGTTACGCTGGTCTCGAACTCCTGACCTCAGGTGATCCACCTGCCTTGGCCTCCCAAAGTGCTGGGATTACAGGCGTAAGCCACCGCACCTGGCTGGATTGCCTGTAATTTCTAAGCTGTTTCACGGTTGCTGGCCATTCCTAGCCATTTCCGTCTTTTACTCCCACCTGCTTTGGCACCAGGCAAACCTATGACCTCTTTTCTGCCGTCACGTTTGAGACAAACCCTAGGGAGGGAAATGTGGAGTCACCAGCTCCAACCTCCCTGCTCCACCACACCCATCCAAAGCCCATTGTCAACTTTCTTATTTTTCCCAATTTGATAGTGTTGCCCAGGCTAGAGTGCAATGGCGCGATCTCGGCTCACTGCAAGCTCCGCCTCTCAGGTTCAAGCGATTCTCCTGCCTCGGCCTCCCAAGTAGCTGGGATTACAGACGTGTGCCAACACGCCCGGCTAATTTTTGTATTTTTAGTAGAGACAGGGTATCACCATGTTGGTCAGGCTGGTCTCAAACTCCTGACCTCAAGTGATCCGCCCACCTCGGCCTCCCAAAGTGCTGGGATTACAGGCATGAACCACCGTGCCCAGCCCCTATCCTCATCTTCTTCCAGGAGCCTCTGCTCTCCCACCTCGGCCTGGCCAATCTCCTGAAATATCATTTTGTGCTCAGCCCAACTGGCCAGTCTTCAGTGGTCAGTCCCAGTCCCTTGCAGTGGTACAGACCCACGTCATGCACTTGACAGAAGGTATTGGGCCCCCCGCCCCGCTGTGCCTGGTGCGCCGAACGCCACTCCAAAGGCCGGTGACCTGCCCAGCTCCAGGATCTTGTCACGTGACTGGGCCAACTGCCACTCACCGCAGCACAGCCCCCACTGCCCTGCTTTTCCCTCTGTGTAACCCCACAAGCAGCACAGGCCCCACAGAGAGAAGCCCAGCCCTTCAGTGCCCCCCGACCAATCACGGAAGCAAGTGGCCAAGGAGAGATTCCAGGGACAAAGTCCAGCCCCCTGACTCACCCCCATCTGGACCAGTAGCCAGGGAAGCCTTTTCCAGAAGAAAGTCTCCAGGAAGGTGGCGGTGACAAAGATACAATGGAAACTGTTGTCCCTCTCCCCCAAATCCTCCGGCCCCATCACATCTGTGGTCACTGGGGGTCCTGGGTTCTCTCGGGAGGGACCCCAGATTAAGAACCCTCAACAAAGCCTCCATCTTTACCAACAAATCACCTTTGCCTTCAGATCCCCCTCTGCCCGCCTCCAGCTCCCAGCCCCCAGCCCCATCCCAGAGCCTGGCCCCCCAGGCCCACTCCCCAGCACGCAGAGCCCAGCGACTTACCCAGGGCCCCGCCTGCGTGGCTAGCCTCGCACCCCTCCCTGCAGTCCTAGCTGAGGTTTCAGGAAGTAGCAGGGGTCTAATTATGTTCTGTCTAGAACTCCCCTAACCACAAACAGGGCTGAGCTAGGGGTTAGCCAACCGGGCTGGGGTATCTTACTGGTGATGACAGCATGGCCTCGTCACCTTCCTGAGGGAGGGAGTGGCAGGAAACCCCAGTCTTACCTCTTTTAGCAATAGCAGCACTCAGAGCCAGGCTCCACTCACTCAGGAGCTCCCAGGCAGGTGCTGGGGCCTGGCGCGGCACAGCGGCTGTCCGTGTGTCCCCAGACAGGCAAGGC